>NC_000011.10:73782968-74085999 GCF_000001405.40 Homo sapiens
AGCAATTCTCCTGCCTCAGCATCCTGAGTAGCTGGGATTACAGGCACATGCCACAATGCCCAGCTAATTTTTTTGTATTTTTAGTAAAGATGGGGTTTCACCATGTTGGACAGGCTGGTCTTGAACTCCTGACCTCAAGTGATCCGCCCACCTCAGCCTCCCAAAGTGCTGGGATTACAGGCGCGAGCCATTGCTCCTGGCATATTATTATTATTATTTTGAGATAAAGTCTCCCCCTGTCACCAAGGTTGGAGTGCAGTGGCACAATCACAACTCAACTGCAGCCTCAACCTCCCAGACTCAAGTGATCCTCTCACCCTCAGGCTCCCAAATAGCTGGGAAAATACGTATGCACCACCACACCCAGCTAATTTTTATTTTTATATTTTGGTAGAGACAGGATTTTGCCATGTTGCTCTGGATGGTCTCAAACTCCTGGGCTGAAGCAGTCCTTCTGCCTTGGTCTCCCAAAGTGCTGGGATGATAGGCATGAGCCATTGTGTCTGGCCTACATTTATTATTTCTTAATTTTTTTGAAGACAAAGTCTCGCTTTGTCGCCAGGCTAGAGTACAGTAGTGTGATCATAGCTCACTGTAACCACAAAACCCTGGGCCCAAGGGGTCCTCCTGCTTGGCCTCCCAAAGTGTTGGGAGTACCCCAGCGTAAGTACCTCTGCACCCGGCTGTATTGAAGGTTTTTTGTTTGTTTGTTTTGCTTTTTAGATCATGATCTCCATGAAATATGCTTCAAGAAAGCTGTTTTTGGAAATAAACTGGCATAGGAATGAGACTAAAGACTGGCAGACCAATTAGTTACGCCAGCACAATAGTTCAGATGGGAGATAATAAAAATGGACCTTGGCTAGTACATGTGGAGGTAAAGAGGAGGGGCATTCAAATGAAGAGACAGAGCAGATAGTTGGAGATGAAGGTCAGAAGTGCCTATCTCATTAGGTCAAGGAGTTATTACTATCCTCTAAATAATGTGTTTCAAAAACTATCTCCACATTTTTATTTTGTAAAATTTGCACTTGTGTCTCCTAACCCCAGGCTGCCAGGCAGGATAATTACACTAGAGGCTATGAGTGGTTTGCTAGAGTGGAATTAGGGTTTTTCTGTTTCTGTTTTCCAGTACCTGTGTGATATTTGGGCCTTGGACAGCAGCAACACAAAGACCTTTTCCATAAGAAAAGGGTTTGGTTTTGTTTTGTTTTGTAGAGATGTGGGTCTCATTATAGCCCAGGCTGGTCTCAAACTTCTGGGCTCAAGCAATCCTGCCTCAGCCTCCCTAAGCGCTGGGATTATCGGTGTGAGCCACCACACTTGGTCGAAAAGTTTTCTTACGTTGAGTAACATGTTTGCAATAACAAGTGGTTCAGTGCAGACCAACCTGAAAGGGATGGGAAGAGGTGGATAAGGATAGCCTCTCAGGTGTCACAGTATCCCTGCTGAGATTACAGGTGTGAGCCACAGCACCCTGCCCCTTCCTGTGGGCTTCTGTGATCTTACTGAACAGTTGAGCTTCCCTCTTGCAGCCTCTTTCATCATCTTTTCGCCCTCTCTCTAGGGTTAGGTAATTCCCACTCACTCAGCCCAACCCTGCACAAGGAGAAAATTCCTGGTAAAGTTCGGGCTGGGGAGTCAGCACCATCTCTTTCTGGCTTTTCCTAGGTAGCCAGTCCTCTTCCACCTCTGGCCTTTTATATTTTTTCTTTTAAGTATGATTTTCTTTGTACCAAAATCATACCAAAAAATAGAAGCAGAAAAGTTCCACTGAAGCTAAAATAGTTTTCAGTTTGAGGTAGCTTAAGGTATATATCTCCACTTAAGCCATAGATTAGAACTTTTGGCACTATGGGAAACTTTTTATAATAGGTGATCATGGAATTATTACTTTAAAGGAAGTTTAACCAGAGATCAAACATAGTCTTTCTAAAGGGCCTCCCTTTATTCTCTTGCTCCCTAAGGCATTCTCTGATGTGGCTGTGCTGAGAACCAGGACAGGTTTTTTTTTTTTTTTTTTTTTTTAAGCTTTAAAGGAAGGTTAGCTTGTAAAAATAAAACCAGAAAGGCAAAGTACTCAATGCTTTTTTTGTGATGCAAGATCTTATAAAAATCTAAAATCCATATTTACTTCTAGGAACTTTAAAAATATTCGCACATTCATTATTTCATTCAACATTTGTTGGAGCTTCATTATGTTCTATGACCTGTGCCAAATGCTGAGGATAGAAAGAAAAATGAACAATATTCCTTTAAAAGTGCTCTAGTGAATCCAGTGGAGATCTAGTGGAGAAGATACATAAGTGAACAAATAGTTACAATACATTGTATTGAGAGCATAAGAAATGAGCTGTGGAAGTGCAGAGAAAGGACCACATTATTTTCGTGGAGTGGTTGGAAATGGCTACACAGGAAAGGTAACATTTGACTTGTGTCTGGAAAGAAGAGTAGGAGTTTTCCAGGTGAATGAATAAAGAAAGGTCAACAGAAATATTGTAGGAGCAAAGGCAGGGAGGTGTGATAGAGAATATCATGATTGGAGAATTACAGGATTTAATATTGGCTATGGAGTAATATTTGTGTTGAAAAGGGTGGAAAGGCCAGCCAGGCTCAGTGGCTCACACCTGTAATCCCAACAGTTTGGGAGGCTGAGGTGGGAGGATTGTTTGAGGCCAGGAGTTCAAGACCAGCCTGAGTAACAAAGTGAGACCCCATCTGTACAAAAATAAAAATAAAAATAATTAGCTGGGCACAATGGTATGTGCCTATAGTCCCAGCTACTTGGGAAGCTGAGGTGAGAGGATCACTTGAGCCCAGGAGCTTGAGGTTGCAGTGAGCAAGATCACATCACTGCACTTCAGCTTGGGTGACAGAGCAAGACTCTGTCTCAAAAAAAAAAAAAAAAGGCTGGAAATAAGGCTAGATAGGTAGATGGGGATTAGATTTTTTTTTTTTTTTCGAGACAGAGTCTCGCTCTGTCGCCCAGGCTGGAGTGCAGTGGCCCGATCTCGGCTCAATGCAAGCTCTGCCTCCCGGGTTCACACCATTCTCCTGCCTCAGCCTCCCGAGTAGCTGGGACTACAGGCGCCCATCACCACGCCCGGCTAATTTTTTGTATTTTTAGTGGAGACGGGGTTTCACCGTGTTAGCCAGCATGGTCTCGATCTCCTGACCTCGTGATCTGCCCGCCTCGGCCTCCCAAAGTGCTGGGATTACAGGCGTGAGCCACTGCGCCCGGCCAAAAAAAAAATTCTAGTTGTTTTGGGAATCCTTATATCTTCGTACAAAGGACTAACCGTCTCCTTCTTCCTTCTTTTTCCCTTTCCCTTCACCTTACCTACCCCAGAGAGTGTATTAATGCAAAGATGGATTTGTATCTTTTTTTTTTTTTTTTTTTTGGGATGGAGTTTCGTTGTCGCCCAGGCTGGAGTGCAATGGCGCCGTCTCGGCTCACTGCAAGCTCTGCCTCCCGGATTCAGGCAATTCTCCTGCCTCAGGCTCCTGAGTAGCTGGGATTACAGGCATGCACCACTACGCCCAGCTAATTTTTGTATTTTTAGTAGAGACGGAGTTTCACAGTTTTGGTCAGGCTGGTCTCAAACTCCCGACCTTGTGATCCGCCTGCCTTGGCCTCCCAAAGTGCTGGGATTACAGGCATGAGCCACCGCACCCGGCCATGTATCTTATTAGATTGTATTTACCTGGACTAGACAAGGAAAGAAACTCTCTGGCTGCCAACCTGCCCTTTTGCAAACCTATAGTCACAGTCCCATAAAATAGATGAAGCACAGGCACGGAAATGAAACAGCTCACCACTTATATAACATTATGTTAACTAGGTACCTTCTTCCTGTCTCTGTTCCTCATCTGTGAAATGGGTATAATGATCCTCAGCCTCATAGGGTTATTGGAAAGACTAAATGAACCCATACACCCATAAAGAACCGACCTGGCACATACTAGCATTTGATTGATTTTTTTTTTCTTATTTAAAATTTCACTTCTAAAACCCCAATAGCATTTATTAGGCAATAATCAATCACTGTACTGGAGGAGGTATGCCTGGTCCATTATATTTCCAAGCATAATTAATTGTCGTATCTGTGTTACCTCAGTACTTTGCACACAATTCTGGTATTTCACTTACCATACTAGATACTAATTATTTGTTACTAGATACTAATTATTTTTTGCTATTATTTTGATTGAGTTCCTCAAGGACTGAGATCCTGACTAATTTATTCCAGCATCTAGCACAGGACGTGGAAATCTGACTTCTAAACTCAATTTAAGAGATGATTGGCTGGGCCTGGTGGCTCACGCTTGTAATCCCAGCACTTTAGGAGGCCGAGGCGGGCGGATCACCTGAGGTCGGGAGTTCAAGACCAGCCTGACAAACATGGAGAAACCTCATCTCTAGTAAAAATATAAAAATTAGGCGGGCGTGGTGGCGGGCACCTGTAATCCCAGCTACTTGGAGACAGAATTGCTTGAACCCGAGAGGCGGAGGTGGCAGTGAGCTGAGATCGTGCCACTACACTCCAGCCTGCGCAACAGAGCGAGACTCCGTCTCAAACAAACAAAAAAGTCAGATCTGTGCTAGACGCTGAAAGGAATTAATCAGACAGGATCTCAGTCTTTTAAGAACTTTCAAATACAGAGAAGAGGTGGTAACAAATCATTAGTGTATAATATTGTAAGCGAAAAATTAGAATTGTGTGCTAAGTACTGGGGTAACACAGAGATGGTAATTAATTCTTTCTGGAGAAACAGCAGTGAATGTGACAACCTGAGTGAGGGTGGAAAGCAGGAGAATTTCTAGACTCTGAATTTCAGAAGCTTCCGGAACTAAAATGATGTGGAAGTTGAGTGAGTCTCGGTGGGATATTGCTGCTGCACCTGGTCAAGGCCGTTCCTTCAGTGTTTTCAGACGCCCTGGGAACGCGGCTGCAGGGTCCGGTCTTCGGTTTGCACAGCTAGAGGCCGCGCAGCAGCAAAGGATGAGCGGAACCTTGGAAAAGGTAACGTAGATTCCACGCACGCGGGGCGCGGGGAGATGGCGGACGGTGCAGAGAGGGGAGATGGCGGAGGGTGCAGAGCGGGGAGGTGGCGGCGCGCGGACATCCGGGGATGAGACACTGGGGCGCCCAAGGTCCTTCCCAGCAGCACATGCGGCTGCCTGGCGTTGAAGGGGCTGAGCAGATTCCTTTCCACCCGGGGCGAACTCTGCCGAGCCGACCCGTGCCACGCCCACACCACATGCCACTCTCTCCACCCAGTTTCTGGAAAAGGGAGAGCTCTGCGATGGGAATCACGACACCAGGATACGGTCCCGATTAACTGTGTGACCTTGGGCAGGTCATTTTATATTTGCATTCAGTTATCAACTTCCAGAATTTTTTCTAAGAATGCAGTTTTGACTTGCTGAACTGATGAGGATGTGAAGCTACCTGGTAATAAGGAAACAGCAGTAATAAACTAGGTTTTTGTTCTTTTCTTTCTTTTTTTTTTTTTTTTTTTTTTGACGGATTTCGCTCTGTTGCCCAGGCTGGAGTGCAGTGGTGCGATCCCGGCTCACCACAACCTTCGCCTTCCGGGTTCAAGCGATTCTCCTGCCTCAGCCTCCTCAGTAGCTGGGACTACAGGCGCGGGACACCATGCCGGGCTAATTTTTGTATTTTTAGTAGAGACGGGGTTTCACTGTGTTGGCCAGGCTGGTCTCGAATTCCTGACCACGTGATCTGCCCGCCTCGGCCTCCCAAAGTGCCGGGATTACAGGCATGAGCCACCGCGCCCTGCAATAATTAACAACATTTTCGTTTCCAAAACCTTATTTAAGTGACTGTCATAAAACCGTATGAACCACTATAAATGTGTTCCTGGGCTTTCTCCCGTTCCCTTAACAGATTTAACAGATTTCATTTGTGCTCTTTCAATTGTATCATGCTGCTTAGATTAATGACTCATTTTAGCAATTTATATTAAAATTTTGTTTTAGGCATTAATTGTGGCAACTATATTTCCATGATTCATAGGTCAGCATGGTCGTTGCAGCTCATGGGTCTACCTGTGGTTACCTTGGGGCTGCCCTTGAATGTGTGAGGGCCCACGCCTCACTTCATCCTTTATGAAACAATTCACTTGTTCACCTTAGCCAGTTTGTAAGAATTTGGCCAAATATGGTGCCAAGATAATAGAAAAAAAAATCAGAAAGTTTCAAAATTCCATTGTTAAAGATGGTCACACTGGTGACTACACTCCTTGATTTGCCTTGGTTCCAAGAAGGGCTAAAAGGGAGGGATTATTTTTCAAGGAATACTATTTCCAACCATTCGGTTCTCCATGTTTCACCATATTGCTCAGGCTGGTCTGGAACTCCTGGAAAAGAGCCCATGGAAATCTGTCATTAAGGCCAGCATCTGACATGGGTATATAAGGCCTCTCGACGTCTGATGCCACTGTTCTCTTCCCGACTCCTTAGTTGCTTTAGTCAGCTAACCTCGTCATTATTTGCCAAATGTAAGTCTGTCTCAAAGTGTTAGTTAATACTTTACATTTATAAGGAAGGTCATGGGATTTGTCAGACAGTTCTGTCTCTTGTTATGACCTTGGGCAAGTTATTTAACTTTACTGCTTCTGTTTCCTATCTGTAAAATGCAGATGATGCCCACCACATGGAATTGTAGAGACTATAGGGAATAATGTAAACAGGAATATTTTGTAAGGAATGAAGGATGATGCAAATAATAATATTGATATTGTTCTATAGTTAATAAATTTTCATTTACACAATTTCATTTGATCTTCACAATATCACGAGATAATCCTGGCAGATGCAACAGATGAGGAAATGGAAGCCTCATGTCTGGTATATAATAGAGACTTTAATGTCATACTGATGGCTTGAATGAATGACTGGAACCTAGGCTTTGTTTTTGTTTAGAGACAGGGTCTCACTTTGTCACCCAGGCTAGAGTGCAATGGTGCAGTCATAGTTTACTAAATCCTTGAACTCCTGGGTTCAAGTGATTCTTTTCACTCAGCCTCATGAGCAGCGGGGATTACAGGTGTACACCACCATGCTCAGCTAATTTTTTTTTTTTTTTTTTTTTTTTTGAGACAGAGTCTCCCTCTGTCGCCCAGGCTGGAGTGCAGTGGCGCGATCTCGGCTCACTGCAAGCTCCACCTCCCGGGTTCATGCCATTCTCCTGCCTCAGCCTCCTGAGTAGCTGGGACTACAGGTGCCCACCACCATGCCCGGCTAATTTTTTGTATTTTTAATAGAGACGGGGTTTCACCATGTTAGCCAGGATGGTCTCTATCTCCTGACCTCGTGATCCGGATCCGCCCACCTCAGCCTCCCAAAGTGTTGGGATTACAGGTGTGAGCCACCGCACCCGGCCTTTTTTTTTTTTTTTTTTTTTTTTTTTTGAGACAGCGTTTCGCTTTGTCACCCAGGCTGGAGTGCAGTGGCCCGACCTCAGCTCACTGCAAGCTCCGCCTCCCGGGTTCACGCCATTCTTCTGCCTCAGCCTCTGGAGTAGCTGGGGCTACGGGTGCCCGCCACCACACCTGGCTAATTTTTTGTATTTTTAGTAGAGACGGGGTTTCACCGTGTTAGCTAGGATGGTCTCGATCTCCTGACCTCGTGATCTGCCCACCTTGGCCTCCCAAAGTGCTGGGATTACAGGCTTGAGCAACCGTGCCTGGCCGCTCAGCTAATTTTTTTATTTTTAGTAGAGATGGGGTCTTGCTTTGTAGCCCAGGCTAGTCTCGAACTCCTGGCTTCAAGCAGTCCTCCCACCTTGGCCTCCCAAAGTTCTGGGATTGCAGATATGAGCCACCACTCCTGGATGAAACCTAGATTATTAGTTGTACCCCTCCTAAGATCCCACTGCCTTTTCTGTTCTTTTTTTTTTTTTTTTTTTTTTTGAGACAGGGTCTCACTTTGTTGCCCAGGCTGTAGTGCAGTAGCACAATCTTGGTTCACTGCAGCCCCGATATCCCGGGCTCAGGTGATTCTCCCACCTCAGCCTCCTGAGTTGCTGGGACTACAGGCACCTGCCACCACGCCTGGCTAATTTTTGTATTTTTTGTAGAGACAGGGTTTTGCCATTTTGCCCAGGCTGGTCTGGAACTCCTGGGCTCAAGCAATCTGCCGCCTGGGCCTCTCAAAGTGCTGGGATTACAGGCGTGTGCCACCATGCCTGGCCCGCTGCTTTTTCTTTTCTGAGTATTTTACATCTCCCTAATATGATAATATTCTTGATTTTCCTCATCTGTGAAATGCAGGATGAAAACCTTTCCTGGCTTTCCTATGTGTCAGACCTTTTCTTCTTTGTAACCCATACAGCCCATTATACTGATCTAACATAGGATAATAAATAATTTGTGCATCTGCTTTCCTCATTAGAAGTTTTGTGGGTATGCAACTATATTTTCTTTTTTTTTAAATTTTGTTTTGAGACAGGGTCTCACTCTGTCACCCAGGCAGCAGTGCAGTGGAGTGATCTCAGTTCACTGCAACCTCCGCCTCCTGGGCTCAAGCGATCCTCTCGCCTTAGCCTCCTGAGTAGCTGGGATTACAGGCACATGCCACCGTGCCTGGCTAATTTTTTGTATTTTTTTGTAGAGATGGGGTTTTACCATGTTACCCAAGCTGGTCTCAAACTCCTGGACTCAAGTGATCTGCCCGCCTCGGCCTCCCAAAGTGCTAGGATAACAGGCGTGAGCCACTGTGCCAGGTTGCAACTGTATTCTTGTCTATATGCACCCACCCTATAGTGTATCTGGCCTAAAGTAGGTACCTGGTAAATGTCGAATGAATAAGTGAACAAACAAATGTTGATATTACCTGGTAAGTACATGGTAGAGCTGGGACTAGAACTTCTAACTCTTAATTCAGTGCTCCTTCCTTGGGGCCCTAAGAAGTTTCTGGCTGCAGATAATCTCAAATTTTATTTTATTTTTGAGACACGGTCTCACTATGTTGCCCAGGCTGGTCTTTAACTTCTGAGCTCAAGTGATCCTCCCACTTCAGCCTCCTGGGTTGCTGGGATAACAGACATGCCCTTCTGTGCCTAACTTCATCTCAAATTTTAGATGAGTGAGAAGCCCAGCTTTGCTAGAATAAAACTGGATAGAGCCAGTACCTCTTTGGGTCAACAGAAGGAGTTCAGCAGGGTGGAACCAGATAAGGCATTCATGCTGATATTTATCAGATCAGTGTACTGATGATCATGATGGCAGGATGGTATCTAGGGAAGTTAGAATGCACCAAGGAAATGAGTATTGAATCACCTGCAGTTATTTTGCACAGAAAATGAATGGCTCTGGAGTGTCATGCTCAGGTCTAGATGCCACTCACTCTGAGATAACCACTATTTTCTCAGGGAATACCTTACCCCTGAACCACAAGGGTATGGTTAGGGGAGACTCTGTGATCACTAATGGTGTGCCAAGTTATGTCTAATATGTCAGCCCAGAAGGAACATCCTTGGGAACTGATCTCAGAGATAAGATGTTTTCACATTTCAGCATTTGAAGGCTAAAGTGGAACAGAGTTCATATGAACAAAATGTCCTCCAAATACATTCAATAGACAGAATTAGGAGGACATTAAAAGACATGAACTAGTAGTACACACATTTTAGAGTACCTAGAAGGGCAGGAAGTCCAAAAGCTCAGAATAATCAAGAAGTTGGCTATTTCCTGGTCACCACTAGACCACAGGCCCTGGAGGAGCTTTTCTATTTTGTTAATGGTTTTATCTTCAGCACCTGTCACACCCTAAGGTACATATTGTTTCACAAATGAGGAACCAAACAATTACCACCACCATTATCATCATTGTTACCAGTTTGACCATTAATAATGCAACTTGTACTTGTTAGCCCTTTTCATGTGTTATCTAATTTAATCATGTCAACAAGTCTATGAAGTAAATATTTTTATAAACTCTTCAGAGATAAGGAAATGAGGTTTAGAGGGATTTACTAATTTGATCAGCAGATATTTATTGGGCACTTGCTGTGTGCCAGAGTGTATGCTAGATGCTGGGATGTAGCAGGTTCCTGTCTTCATGGTGCTTATGTATTTATTTATTTATTTTGAGATGGAGTTTTGCTCTTGTTGCCCAGGCTGGAGTGCAATGGTGCGATCTCAGCTCACTACAACCTCTGCCTCCTGGGTTCAAGTGATTCTCCTGCCTCAGCCTTCTAAGTAGCTGGGATAACAGGCATGCACTACCATGCCCATCTAATTTTGTATTTTTAGTAGAGATGGGGTTTCTCCATGTTGGTCAGGCTGGTCTTGAACTCCCGACCTCAGGTGATCCGCCCACCTTGGCCTCCCAAAGTGCTGGGATTAATAGGCGTGAGCCACTGCACCTGGCCATGGTGCTTATTAACAGATGGACTAATTAAACTTATAACTACTTAACTGACTATGATAAATGCTGCAAATGAAAGATTCAGGGTGCTATATGACTGTGTAACAGAAGGATCCAAGCAAGTCTGAGCAGTCACAAAAGTTTTCTTGAGGACGTTGCATGACTACTAAGATTTAAAGAGTAGGTAGGATTTAGAGAAAATATATTCCAGATAAGGAGAAGAACATGTGTAAAGGTCCTGAAATGAGAACACACTTGGAGTTCCAGAGGAACTCCTAGAGGAAGTTGGGAGGGAGAGAAGCACTGGGGTGTAGATTACGGGAGAGTATGCAGAGAAATAGTATGGGAGTGAGAATTGAGGTAAGGGATTGGATTTATATTTAGGCATGGTGGCTCATGCCTATAATTCCAACACTTTGAAAAGCTGCAGTGGGTGGATTGCTTGAGCTCAGGAGTTTGAGACCAGCCTGGGCAACATGGCGAAACCTTGTTTCGTGTTTTTTTTTTTTTTTTTTTCCCTTTTTCTGGAGAACAGGGTCTCGCTATATTGCCCAGGCAGGTCTCGAACTCCTGGGCTCAAGCTATCCTCCCACCTCTTGCCTCCCTGAGAGCTGGGATTACAGACGTGAGCCACCACGCCCGGCCTGAAACCTTGTTTTGACAAAAAATACAAAAATTAGCCAGGTGTGGTGGCATGTTCCTTTAGTCCCAGCTACTCGGGAGGCTGAGGTGGGAGGATCAGTTGAGCCCGGGAGGCCAAGGCTGCAGCGAGCTCTGTGATCACCCTACAGCACTCCAGCCTGGGTAACAGAGTGAGACCCTGTATCTATCTATCTATCTATCTATCTATCTATCTATCTATCTATCTAAACTATCTGTCTCTGAATAAATAAATAAAATTAAATAAATCAAGGCCGGGCATGGTGGCTCACGCCTGTACTCCCAGCACTTTGGGAGGCTGAGGCAGCGGGATCTCCTGAGGTTGGGAATTTGAGACCAGCCTGACCAACATGGAGAAACCTCATCTCTACTAAAAATACAAAATTAGCTGGGCGTGGTGGCGCATGTGTGTAATCCCAGCTACTCGGGAGGTTGAGGCAGGAGAATCACTTGAATGTGGGAGGAGGAAGTTGCAGTGAGCCGAGATCGTGTTATTGCACTCCAGCCTGGGCAACAAGAGTGAAACTCCATCTCTGGAAAAAAAAAAAAAATTTAAATCAGGTCAGACAAACAAACAAACATTTTAGATGGTGACCACAAGATTGTAAAATTGGGTTAAGTTGTTCAAGAGAATCTAGTTAGGGAATTGAGTTTAATGGAGCTCAGCTCTGGCTTAGAAGTATCATCCAGCACTTGTGTTATGAGGGCAAGTATTTACTTCTTTTCTTTTTTTTTTTTTTTGAGTTGGAGTCTTGCTCTGTTGCCCAGGCTGGAGTGCAGTGGCATGATCTCGGCTCACCACAACCTCCGCCTCCCGGGTTCAAGCGATTCTCCTGCCTCGACCTCCTGAGTAGCTGGGATAACAGGCATGCACCACCATGCCCAGCTAATTTTTTTTTTTTTTTTGGAGATGGAGTCTTGCTCCGTCGCCCAGGCTGGAGTGCAATAGTGTGACCTCAGCTCACTGAAACCTCCGCCTTCTGGGTTCAAGCAATTCTCCTGCCTCAGCCTCCCAAAGTAGCTGGGACTACAGGCACCCACCACCACACCCAGCTAATTTTTTTGTATTTTTTTAGTAGAGACGGGGTCTCACCGTGTTGCCCAGGCTGGTTTTGAACTCCTGAGCTCAGCCAGTCCGCCCGCCTCGGCTTTCCAAAGTGCTAGGATTACAGGTGTGAGCCACTGCACCTGGCCTCATGCCCGGCTAATTTTTGTATTTTTAGTAGAGACAGGGTTTCACCATGTTGGCTAGGCTGGTCTCGAACACCTGGCCTTAGGTGATCCACCTGCCTCCGCCTCCCAAAGTGCTGGGATTACAGGCGTGAGCCTGGACTTCATCTCTGATGAAGTCTGACTTCACCTGGACTTCATCTCTGAATTTTTTTTTTTTAAAGTATAACAGCAGGATCCAAGCAAGTCTGAGCAGTCATAAAAGTTTTCTTGTGACTCTTTTTTAATAATTAAAAAATATAATTCATTTATTATAATATTCACTCTTTTTTTTTTTGAGACCGAGTCTCTGTCACCCAGGCTGGAGTACAGTGGCGCGATCTCCGCTCACTGCAAGCCCCGCCTCCCGGGTTCACACCATTCTCTTGCCTCAGCCTCCCCAGTAGCTGGGACTGCAGGCACCCGCCACCACGCCCAGCTAATTTTTTTTTTTTTTAGTAGAGATGGGGTTTCACTGTGTTAGCCAGGATGGTCTCGATCTCCTGACCTCGTGATCCACCCGCCTCAGCCTCCCAAAGTGCTGGGATTACAGGCTTGAGCCACTGCACCCGGCTTATTCACTTTTAAAGTAGATAATTTAATGGTTTTTAGTATATTCACAAAGTTGTACAACTGTTACCACTATTTAATTCCTGAACATTTTTACCATCCCAAAAGGAAACTCCTTACCCATAAGTAGTCACTCCCCATACTGTCATCTCCCAGCCCTTAGCACCCACTAATCATCTTTCCGTCCTATGATTTGTCTATTCTAGTCATTTCATATAAATGAAATCGTGGGCCATCTGGATTGGCCGCTGCCATCACTCTGGCTGCAGCAGGGAGGCGTGGCCAGAGCCAGTCAGAGCCAGGGACAAGTGGGAGCCCTGCCCCTTCCGAGTTGGGGCGGTGCCCAAGTCATGGCTGTGGATCTAGGCCTCTTGCTCCACGGAGCAAGCAGGAGCTCCGCTCTTCCGAGTGCAGTTACGGCCGCCCAAACTGTGACTGCGGACCCAGGCATCTGTGTACTCTTGTGGGGCCCAGGAAGGCTGCCCCAGCCCTCGCAGGCTCAGAGGTGTCTGCTCCTGCTGCCTGGCTTCTCCCTGCTGTCGACACCAGCTCTGATCTTGGAGCAAAGCTGGGGCCAAGCCCAGGTACTGTCGCAGCCTGGCCAGGTGTACACACATTCGGGGCAGTGCTGACACGCCAGCCTCTTGCCTCCTTGGCCCCCTCTGGACTTTGGGCACCAACAGGCATAGGAGGGAAGCCAAAGCGGGGCTGAAGGCAGCTCAGCAGTGGCCTGCCCGTGCCCCTTGGCACCTACAGGGCACTATGAATGGCAGTGAGAGGCAGACAGCTTCCTGGGCAGAAGGGGGCAGGTTCCCATTGAGACCCCACCTTCAGGCCAGGGAGTGCCTGAAGTCTGGGGCTAGGCTGCCAGTCCCGTGGACAGGAGTGGGAACTTAACGGTACCTTTTCCAGGCCTGCCCATGGCCACCCATGGACAAATCAACATGTACTTCCTTCCCTCTGAGGCTCATAAAAACTTTGGGTCTGGGTGTAGTGGCTCATGCCTGTAATCCCAGCACTTTGGGAGGCTAAGGCAGGCAGATCACCTGAGGTCAGGAGTTTGAGACCAACCTGGCCAACATGGTGAGACCCCATCTGTACTAAAAATACAAAAAAATTAGCCGAGCGTGGTGGTGGGCGCCTGTAATCCCAGCTACTTAGGAGGTCGAGGCAGGAGAATCCCTTGAACCCAGGAGACAGAGGTTGCAGTGAGATCACGCCATTGCACTCCAGCCTGGGTGAAAAGAGTGAGACTGTCTCAAAAAAAAGCAAACAAACCAACCTTGGGCTCAGCCAGAGCTGAACAGACATCGGGACAACCGGCTGCAGAGAGGAGCTATCCACTCTAGAGACTTCTCTGCTGAGAGCTGGGAAGACATTCAGACGACCTGCCTGCAGAGAGGAGCTGCCCACTCCAAGGTCCTCCTCTGAGCTATTCTGCCACTCAATAAAGCTCTTCTTTGTCTTGCTCACCCTCCGCTTGTCTGCATACTCCATTTGTTCTGGTTGCAGGACAAGAACTTGGGACCTGTTTAATGGCAGGGCTAAAAGAGCTGCAACAGAAACAGGGCTGAGATGTGCCCCTTTTTCACCAGGTTGTGGGTGAAGAGAAGGAAAGAAGAGCTGCAGCCCTTCAGGGAGCCCAGACCTGGGAGCTCCCTGAGCCAGGGCTGTGACTCCCTCCTTGGAGCCCTGTGGTTGCTGGCATCTCCAAGCTTCTGAGCGCCACGTGTTCCCCAGTGCCAGCTGTGAAAGCTGCTTGTGGTGCACCTGGTCCGGCCTCGCAGAGAGCCAGTGCCTGTGCCAGCACCTGCAGCTGCCCGCCCTGCTGCAGCAGCCGGCATGTCTGACTGTGCACATTGGCCAGACCCCATGCTCACTCACATACCCCTCACTGGCCTATGCCTGACTTGCCCTTGGCAGGCGTGGGACCCAGGCTGGTAGTGTGAGCGGAGGACAGCCTGCCAAGACAAGTGGGTGAAACAAGCCCAGTGGACCAGAGCAAAATTCGGGCAAAGATGCCACCAGCCACAGACTTTTCCGGCCAGAAAAATGACACTCCAAAAATCCCGTAACAATATGTGAGGCCAGCTGACTTTCCAAGGACTGTACAGCTAGTAAAATGGAAGTGCTGATATTCAAACACAAATTTGTGTTTGGGTTTGGATATAAAACTTGTGCTCCTAACAGCCATAAGGACCCAATCCAAAGGCAGACTTTGATAATCAACATAAATATGTTTAGAAGGTTATGGCTAAAGGAAAGACTGGAAACAAAAACAATTTTTTTTTTCTTTTTTGAGACAGAGTCTCGCTCTGTCGCCCTGGAGGGCAGTGGCATAATCTCGGCTCACTGCAACCTCCACCTCCTGGGTTCAAGTGATTCTCCTGCCTCAGTCTCCCGAGTACCTGGGATTACAGGCGCCCACCACTGTGCCTGGCTAATTTTTGTATTTTTACAAAATACAAAATACAGCCTTTTACAAAATACAGCCTGTTGGCCAGGCTGGTTTCAAACTCCTGACCTCAGGTGATCTGCTCGCCTCAGCCTCCCAAAGTGCTGGGATTACACATGTGAGCCACCTCGCCCGGCCAACAAAAACAATTTTTAAAAGAACTTGAGAAAACCTGGAGGCAATGATTATTGCCTTCAAATACATGAAGGGTTTGACTTCTTGTATGAAAAACAAGAACTGAACTTACTTTGTATGATGTCAGAGTGGGGAACTAGGCACAAACCGTAGAAGTTACAGGGAGATGGGTTTGGGCTTTCTATGTGGGAGAACATTCAGATAGTTAGCAGTGTCTGAAAATGTTTCAGTTTTGACCAGGGAGGTATTTAAGTAACAGATGGATCATTATAGACAGAGAGGCTAGTATTGGTTGCGTACGTGGGAAAGGTAATGGTGAGGCTGGATGTGGTGGCTCACACCTGTAATCCCAGCACTTTGGGAGGCTGAGGTGGGCGGATCACGAGGTCAGGAGTTGGAGACCAGCCTGGCCAACATAGTGAAATCACGTCTCTACTAAAAATACAAAAAATTATCCGGGTTTGGTGACAGGCACCTGTAATCCCAGCTACTCAGGAAGCTGAGGCCGGAGAATCGCTTGAACCTGAGAGGCGGAGGTTGTAGTGAGCTGAGATCGCACCATTGCACTCTAGCCCTAGCAACAGTGCAAGACTCCCTCTCAAGCAAAAAAAAAAAAAAGAAAGAAAAGAAAGGAAGGTAGTGGTGGGCACTGAGAGTGGAAAGCCAGTAAGGAGAATTTGAAGCTTCTGATAAATGAACTTAGGCAGGGACTGGGCTTTTCCAGGATGCCTAAGATGAGAGTAAACTCCTTGTAAGCTTTGGAATGTAGAGCCTGGGCAACATGGCAAAACCCCATCTCTACAAAGAAAAAATTAGCCGAGTGTAGTGGCACACATCTGTAGTCCCAGCTACTTGGGAGGATGAGGCAGGAGAATGGCTTAAGTCTAGGGGGTCGAGGTTGCAGTGAGCCATGGTGATGCCACTTTACCCCAGCCTGGGTGACAGAGCAAGACCTTGTCTCAAAAACAAAAGAATTGGAATATAGATCAAGGTGTTGTTCATCTTGGAATAAAATAAGAGCTGTCATGTAATAGCCGACTTGCTTTGCAACAGGAGTATAGGATATAGTATATAGTAGTAGAGAGAGCTCTGATTGTGGGGTCAGCTAGAACATGACTTATTAGTTGTGTGCATTAGGCATGTTAATTCGCTTTTCTGAGCTTTGATTTCCTCACTATAAAATGCGGTAGAAATATCTACTTCACAGGCATGGAACATAGGCACTGGAGACTTGGAAGGGTGGGAAGGCAGGAGGGGGATGAGGGATGAGAAATTACTTAATGGGTACAATGTTCATCATTTGAGTAATGGTTACGCTAAAAACCCAGATTTCACCAATAAGCAATGTATCCATTTAACAAAATGGCACTTGTACTCCCTAAATCTATATAAAAGAAAATACAAAGAACTATGCCTCACAGAATGGTTGTGAGGATTAAAGGAGATGGTGTTTGGCATATAGCAGGTGCTCAGTAAATGGTAGGATTTTTGAATGGCTATTATCATTAGCTATGAACTTCATTAGTATAAATTGGTATCAGTTTTTTGAGAGGTAGTGTGGAAGAATAGAAGGGATGGACTTTGGATTCAGGCAGACCTGGGTTTGAATTTCTCTTACCAAACCTATAACTTTGGGCAATTTACATAAACTTTTTTTTCCTGTGTAAAATAGAGCCAGTTATCTCAATAATGCCCCATCAGAGAGGGTTGCTGTAACAATTAATTGAAATAATATGGGCCAGGCCTGGTGGCTCACTCCTGTAATCCCAGCATTTTGGGAGGCCAAGGCAGGAAGATTGCTTGAGGCCAGGAGTTCGAGACAGCATGGGCAATATAGTAAGATCCGGTCTCTTAAAAAAAAAAAATTAAAAAGACAAATAGTATGCGTAAAGTGCCTAGTAAATAGGACTCAATAAATGGTAGTAACAATGCTATTTTAAATAATATTTATTAATACACAAATATATTCTGTTACTTTCATGAAACAGCTCTCAGTTGCTTGCATCAAAGACCCCTGACCCACTGCTCTCACCACCCACTCCAGACTCTGATGTCTTAAGCTACTCACATGCTCTAGATTTTGCCCTGTGACTTCAGTTTTTTGGTAGTTGTGCAGTCCTTGCTTGGTTCCTGGCTCATGGGAGTATTTTTGTTACCCAGTGCAGCATCTGTGTCCTCATTCATTCATTCGCTGGCGTCACCATCCTCCTCTTCCACTTGCAGGGCCAGAGCTGCTCTTCATTTGCTGATGGGGAGGAGAGGGTAATTGTAGATACAGTCCCAAAATAGATTACTTTTGTCTGGATAAATAATGCCAAGCATTGCAGGGGAGAGGAAGCACATTTCCCAGAGCTGACCGGGAGAGTTCATACCATAATTTGAATGTCTTCCAGAAAGTTGTCAACTCTTTTTTCTTTTTCTTTTTTTTTTTTTTTTTTGAGATGGAGTTTCGCTCTTGTTGCCCAGGCTGGAGTGCAATGGCGTGATCTCGGCTCACAGCAACCTCCGCCTCCCGGGTTCAAGCCATTCTCCTGCCTCAGCCTCTGGAGTAGCTGGGATTACAGGCATGCGCCACCACGCCCGGCTAATTTTGTATTTTTAGTAGAGACGAGGTTTCTCCATGTTGGTCAGGCTGGTCTCAAACTCCGGACCTCAGGTGATCCGCCCACCTCGGCCTCCCAAAGTGCTGGGATTACAGGCGTGAGCCACTGGGCCTGGCCGAAAGTTGTCAATTCTTAAGCCTGGCTTTTAGATAATTAAAACCTTGGTTATTGTACAGACTCAGAAATCTGAACAATTAAAATGAGAAAGCAGTCTCATTTTGATCTTTTTTTCCCATCCAGTCCCTCTTCTATATGAAGTGACCCATTTAAAAATATATTCTGTTCACTCTCATTTCTATTGTTTGTCATGGTTAATAGATCCCGGCCCTGGAGAGACTTTAGAGTCCTCTGATCTAACTTCAAAGTACATAGCTAGTGGTTGGGGGAGCTGGCCTGACCTCTCCTGGGGCCCCAGTTTCCTACTCTGTCTTTTATGCTGACCAATATTAGGTTAAGTGTATTGCACACATACTTTACAAAGTCTTTTAGTACCTGATTCAATTGTGCTTCTGGGATCATCTGCACATTTTGCCCTTCTGTCTATTCACATCCTTCCCAATCTTCATGGTTTTACATCCTCTGGGAGACTTTTCTTAAGTTTTATCTTTCCGCCTCCTAATTTCCTAAGCACTAACATCTTCATTTATGTGAGAAAAGGTGTAGAATAGTGGGGAAATTATGGATTTTGGTGTCAGAGAAACCCAAGACCCTAGGCTAGCTTCAATAGTAGTTGTGTGACTTTGGGTAGGTTACTTAATCTGTTTCCTCAACTGTAAAGTGGTGATAATAATGCTTATCTTGTAAAGGTATTATGATTTAGACACATGGTAGGTGCTCAACAAAGTAGATGTCGGTGCTTAATATATGGTAGCAATGATTATCATTTATTCACTTCTTTCTAATCATTTATTCATCAGAACAAACCTTGATTGTCTACAATGTGCCTGAGAGGAAAGTGACATGACCCTTGCTCTGAGGATCTCTTGGTTTAGCATAGGGGTTCTTGGGTGATGATAAGAGTTTTGGTGAATCTCCTGAAGTAGTAGGCAAACTCTTTATATATCCTTGCTTATATGCATTTGTCTAGGAAGAGGGTTCATGACTGAGCAGATCCTCAGCAACGTCTGTAACTCTGCAAAAGCTAAGGATTTCTCTTAGCCATCTCCCCCTGGATTTCCTGCCAGGTGTGCTTGTTGTTCGCACCACCTATTTTGACTTCATACAATGCCTGCAATATTGCTTAGCTGTTTAATACAAATGTATGTCTGTGTCTCCAGCCATCCAGATGCCTGAAGGACAGAGATTGTGCATACATTTTTTGATAGCTTTATTGAAATATAGTTCACATAACCTACAATTCACCTATTTAAAGTGTGGAATTCAGTAGCTTTTATTATATTCACAGAATTGTACAACCATTACTACAGTTTGAGAACATCATCCCAAAAAAAAACTCCATACCCCTTAGCAGTCATCCACAGCTCCCCAGCCCTTCCAGCCCCAGGCAGCCACTAATTGACTTCCTTTCTCCATAGATTTCACTATTCTGGATATTTCACAGAAATAGAATCATGTAATATTTGGTCCTTTGTGACTGGTTTCTTTTATTTAGTATAATGTTTTCAAGATTCATCCCTGTAGTTACATTTTGTTTTTATATTCTCTTTAACATTCAGCACAGCAGTTGGCATATAAGCTTTTTTTTTTCTTTTTTTTTTAACTTGAGACAGGGTCTCATTCTGTCACCCCAGGCCAGAGTGCAATGGCACAGTCACGGCTTATTGCAGCCTCAGCCCTCTGGGTCCAAGTGATCCTCCTACCTCAGCCTCCTGAGTAGCTGGGATCACAGGTGTGCACCACCACGCCTGGCTAATTTTTTGTTTTGTAGAGAAAGGGTCTTCCTATGTTGGCCAGGCTGGTCTCAAAATCCTAGGCTCAAGTGATCTTCCTACTTTGGCCTCCCAAAATGCTTGGATTGTAGGCATTAGCCACTACACCTGGCTTATAATAGACTTTTTAAAAATAAGCTTTATTTTAGAATAGTTTTAGATTTACAGAAAACTTGCAAAGACAGTACACAGAGTTCCCATATATCCCAAGTTCCCCTATTACTATTATCTTTACATTAGTGTGATTTATTTATTTATTTTTTGAGACAGAGTCTTGCTCTGTTGCCCAGACTGGAGTGCAATGGTATGATCTCTGCTCACTGCAACCCCTGCCTCCCAGGTTCAAGCGATTCTCCTGCCTCAGCCTCCTCCCAAGTAGCTGGGACTACAGGCACGCACCACCACCCCTGGCTAATTTTTGTATTTTTGGGAGAGACGGGGTTTCACCATGTTGGCCAGGCTGGTCTTGAACTCCTGGCCTCAAGTGATCTGCCTGCCTCAGCCTCCTCAAGTATTGGGATTACAGGCGTGAGCCCCCACACCTGGCCTAGAGTGATTTTTTTTTTTATAATTAATGAGCCAATATTGGTATATTAGCTAGTGTCCATACTTTATTCAGATTTCCTTACTTTTTCTCTAGTGTCCTTTTTCTGTTGCAGATCCCATTCAGGATATTATATTTTATTTAATCGTCGTCTTTTCCGTAGGCTCCTCTTGACTGATAGTTTCTCAGATTTTCCTTGTTTTTGCATACTAGACTTTTCATACATCCATGTTGAAAGAATTAAAATTGTTATCCATAGTGGGCAGGATTTTCTCTTTATGTTATGGGACCTTAAGAACAGACTTTTTTTTTGTTTCTTTCCCGTAAAACAAACAAACAAACAAAAGAACAGACGTTTGTTTGGAAGACTGAAGCAAGGGAATTGCTTGAGTCCAGGAGATTGAGGCTGCAGTTGCTATCATTATATTTGTTTTTTTGTTCTTACCTCCATTGTGAAGTATCATTATCACTGTCATTTTTTAATTTTATTTTTATATTTTAATTTTTTTTTGAGACAGAGTCTTGCTCTGTTGCCCAGGCTAGACTGCAGTGGCGAGATCTCGGCTCACTGCAACCTCCGCCTCCTGGGTTCAAGGGATTCTCCTGCCTCAGCCTCCTGAGTAGCTGGGATTACATATGCCCGCCACCATGCCTGGTTAATTTTTGTATTTTTAGTAGAGACGTGGTTTCACAATCTTGGCCGGGCTGGTCTTGAACTCCTGACCTCGTGATCCACCTACCTTGGCCTCCCAAAGTGCTGGGATTATAGGCATGAGCCACCGTGCCCAGCCTATCACTGTTATTGAGAGAGACAGTGTACTATAATAGAGGCATAGCTTTTGTAGTAAGTCAGTCCTCTTTTTTTTTTGAGACGGAATCTCATTTTATGGCCCAGGCTGGAGTGCAGTGGCGCAATCTCTGCTCACTGCAACCTCCGCCTCCTGGGTTCAAGTGATTCTTCTGTCTCAGACTCCTGAGTAGCTGGGAGTACAGGCATGCACCACCATGCCCGGCTAATTTTTGTAATTTTAGTAGAGACAATACCATGTTGGTCAGGTTGGTCTTGAACTCCTGACCTCGTGATCTGCCCGCCTCAGCCTCCCAAAGTGCTGGGATTACAGGCATGAGCCACCGCACCTGGCCATTAAGTCAGTCCTCTTAGCAGCTTATTAGGTATAATTTTTTGGAATATAACCTCTCTGGGTCTCAGTTGCTTTACTTACGAAATTGTCTTGCAGTGTTTTCAGAATTAAAGAAGATTTAATAAAGCCCCTCTCATGATGCTGTGCATGGCAGATGCATACTAATTATTGATTGATATTAGAAAAAAATAGATTAAGTTGGAAATGGTAAACAGTGAAAAAGCAGTGTGGGAGGGGGACTTCTGTTTTTTGAGCATTTACTGTAGTGGGTGGAATGAGAATGATGACCTTGGTTTGTTTGCATGCTTGGTGTTAATTGTAGGGTAGCTTCTTTGTTAGATAAGAGCCTTTTTGTCCTTTTCTGGTTTGTGTACTGTGGGTTTCTTGCCTCTCTGAGAAGACATACTTGGAGGTCTATAAATGCTTAAGATTGTCCTAACATGGCTGTTTTGCTGTAGGTGCTGTGCCTGAGGAACAATACCATTTTTAAGCAAGCCTTTTCTCTCTTAAGGTAAGAATATTAAAAACAATAATTAAATATAGGTAACATTTGCCTTTGGCTTCATAGTTCACACAGCATTTTTTCATCATATTTACTTGCATGTCTATAAGCACATCATGCATCTCCCCTGCCACCTTGCTCCTTCCCCATTCTCAGTTAATAGCATCTCCATTCATCTAGTTGCTGAGGCCAAAATACTTGCAGTTAATCTTTGATGCTGTTCTTTTTTTTTTTTTTTCTTTTTGAGATGGAGTTTCACTCTGTCACCCAGGCTGGAGTGCAGTGGCGTGATCTTGGCTCACTGCAACCTCTACCTCCCAGGTTCAAATGATTCTCCCACCTCAGCCTCCCAAGTAGCTGGCATTACATGCACCTGCCACCATGCCCAGCTAATTTTTGTATTTTTGTAGAGATGGGGTTTCACCATGTTGGCCAGGCTGGTCTTGAACTCCAGACCTCAGGTGATCTGCCTGCCTCGGCCTCCCAAATTGCTGGAATTACAGGTGTGGGCCCCCGCGTCCAGCCAGATGCTGTTAATTCTTCAACAAAACTTGTTGGCTTTACTTTTGAAATATAAACAGAACCTTTTTTTTTTTTTTTTTAATTGAGGCAGAGTCTACCTCTGTTGCCCAGGCTGGAGTGCAGTGGCATGATCACAGCTCACTGTAGCCTTGACCTCCCATGCTCAAGTGGTTCTTCTACCTCAGCCTCCCAAGTAGCTGGGACTACAGGCATGTACTAGCATGCCCCATTCGTTTTTGTATTTTTTGTGGAGACAGGGTTTTGCCATGTTGCCCAGGCTGGTCTTGAACTCCTGGGCTCAAGTGATCTGCCCAAAGTGAGGGGATTACAGGCATGAGCCACTGTGCCAGACCTAGAACCATTTCTTTCTCCAGTTTTTGCCTCATGCTTTCTGTTATGCTAAACCACTAGGGGCCAGCTCCTTATTTTCTCATTGCCTTTACTACCATCACTTTGCCTCCCAACTGGTCTCCCTAGTTTACCTTTGTCTTCTGTTCTTCACAGTAAAGCAGAGTGATTTTTTTTTTTAAAGAGACCTAACATTATGAACATAAGAATGATTCTTTTAAAGCCAAGTTAGCTCACATCACTCCTTTGCTCCAAATTCTCCAGTGGTATCCCATCTTACTCAAACTAAAACCTGCAATCTTTACCATGGCCTATAGGACCTTCCATAATCTGTATCCTCATTTTATACTACTTACTCAGCATTAGCTGTGCTGTGGTTTGCTATTCCTTGATAATCTAAGCACCTTCCCACCCCAGGATCTGTGCATATTCTTTCCTCAGATATCCATATGGTTTGTCCTATACTTTTTTCAGGTTTCTGTCCAAATGTCATCCCATCCAAGAGGCCTTCCCTGACTACTCTATGTAAAATATACACCCCTCCATCAATCTCTGTTCCTTTATACTTTGCTTTTTCTTTATAGCAGATGTCACCATCTGACTCATTTTTTATATATAAAAATGTTTAACTGTCTTTCCTTGCCCCTTAAAAATAAGCATCATGGGGATACTGCCCTATTCCTAGGCCTACGATGGTATCTGACACATAGTAGGCATTTAATAAATATTTGTTAAATGAATGAATTGACCTTCATAGTGACCTGGTAAAACAGATGATATTATCTCAATTTTATATAAATAACTGGGGTCCAGAGAGTTTAATCTGTTGTTTTAATATGATGGAGCTAATTTGGGTTGGAATTAGGATTCAAATCCAAGTTGTCTTTTTTTTTTTAAACTGTTCTGTGTATAGATTGCTCTCCATTGTTTTTCTTTTTTCTTTATTTTTTTGAGACAGAATCTCTTTCACCCAGGCTGGAGTGCAGTGGCACTATCTCAGTTCACTGCAACCTCTACCATCCAGGTTCAAGCAATCCTCCTGCCTCAGCCTCCTGAGTAGCTGGGGTTACAGGCGCCCACCACCATGTCTGGCTAATTTTTCTATTTTTAGTAGAGATGGGGTTTCACCATGTTGACCTGGCTAGTTTCGAACTCCTGACCTCAAGTGATCCATGCTCCTCAGCCTCCCAAAGTGCTGGTATTACAGGCATGAGCCACCGTGCCCAGGCTCCCCATTGTTTTTCTCTAAGTGTGATGAAATACATTTGGTGGTTTATTTCTCTGTTCAGCAGCAAATATGCACCAAGTGTCTTTTGTGTGACAGCCACAGGATATAAAATAATGTATTGTACATCTTCCCGAACTACTCGGCACTCATGATCCTGGATGATTTCTTGAGTCCTTAACATTTATTGAGGGCTTTCTCCCTTTATTTCCCTTCCATCTTCTTTTTTTTTTTCTTAATCCCAAATGTGATAGTATCCCGTTCCATCTTAATCTATTATCCCATCTTAATCAGTCAACTACTATTTGATAAGCACCTCCTATGGCACCATACTAGCTATTTTTCGTTATCTCTAATCTTCACAAAAAACACTACAAGGCAAATATAAATATCATTTTGCAAAAGAGGAAACTGACTCAGAGTTTAAGATACATTTTCAGTCCCATTAGATTGTAGTATTATTATCTTTTTTTTTTTTTTTTTTTTTTTGAGATGGAGTTTCGCTCTTGTTGCCCAGGCTGGAGTGCAGTGGCACGATCTTGGCTTACTGCAACCTCCGCCTCCCAAGTTCAGGTGATTCTCCTGCCTCAGCCTCCCGATTAGCTGGGATTACAGGTGCCCACCACCAAACCCGGGTAATTTTTTGTATTTTTAGTAGAGACGGGGTTTCGCCATATTGGGCAGGCTAGTCTCGAACTCTTGACCTCAGGTCATCTGCCTGCCTCGGCCTCCCAAAGTGCTGGGATTACAGGCGTGAGCCGCTGCGCCCGGCCACTTCTTCGTTTTTTAAAACTCACCTCAAAATAGTTTCACCTCCCTAGTAGGAGTGACCATACTTTCCTTTGTGTCCTATTTAATTTTGTATGTTTCTGTTCTGGATCAATACTATATTGTGGCTCACATTCGTTTACCAGCACCTTTCCCAACTAGACCATGGATAGAGACATCTTACTTATATTTGCATTCTCAGGATGTGGCACTTTGGCACACATCAGGTCCTTATTAAAGTTTGTGGAAGGAAGAAAGGAAAGAAGGAGTAAGGAAACAGCATTGATGCATCTTTAGTGATAGAATATAAATTTTGCAAACTATGCAAATAAAATATGGGTTTCTAATTGTATTGAACATACTTTCTCCCTCCTTTTAGGTTTAGAACTTCAGGAGAGAAGCCCATCTATTCTGTAGGTAAGCAGTTTTTACCTGATGTAGTTGGCCTGCTTTAAGTGACCCTTTAGCACTCTATAATAATTTTGCCTAGAAGGAAGCCTACCATATCTTTGAGAACAGTGGCCTGAACCAAACCCCACCCCTCCATGTGAGCATGGAATAGAACCATGGGTGAGAACATCAAGTAGTGGCTAAGAGCAAGAGCTCTACAGTAAGTTTGGATTCCAACTGTACTACATATTTATTTGATCTTTGGCTATTTCTCTGTAGCTTGGTTTCCTCACCTTAAAAAATGAGCAGGCTGTGAGGCCGGGTGCGGTGGCTCACGCCTGTAATCCCAGCACTTTGGGAGGCCGAGGCGGGCGGATCACCTGAGGTCAGGAGTTCGAGACCAGCCTGGCCAACATGGTGAAACCCTGTCTCTACTAAAAATACAAAAAATTAGCTGGGCGTGGTGGCAGGCGCCTGTAATCCCAGCTACTCGGGAGGCCGAAGCAGGAGAATCGCTTGAGCTCGGGAGGCGGAGGTTGCAGTGAGCTGAGATTACGCCATTGCACTCCAGCCTGGGGGACAAGAGCGAGACTTCATCTCAAAAAAAAAAAAAATAATGAGAAGGCTGTGCAGCATGGTGAGACCCTGTCTCTACAAAAATTTTTTTAAAAATTAACTGGGTGTGGTGGCACAGGCTTGTGATCCTACCTACCCCAGAGGCCAAGGCAGGAGGATCTCTTGAGCCCAGGTTACAGTGAGCTATGACTGTGCCACTGCACTGCAGCCTGGGTGACAGAGCAAGATCCTGTCTCTTAAATTAAAAAAATTTAAAAAAAAGAGGATAATTGTAATACAAACTGTAGTGTACCATTTGAAGATTCAGTGAGACAAAAGATATAAAGTGCTTGGCCAGGTGCCTCACGCCTGTAATCCCAGCACTTTGGGAGGCCGAGGAGGGCGGATCATGAGGTCAGATCAAGACAATCCTGGCTAACCCAGTGAAACCCCATCTCTACTAAAAATACAAAAAATTAGCCGGGCGTGGTGGCACATGCCTGTAGTCCCAGCTACTCGGGAGGCTGAGGCAGGAGAATTGTTTGAACCCCGGAGGCAGAGGTTACAGTAAGCCGAGATCATACCACTGCACTCCAGCCTGGGCGACAGAGCGAGACTCCGTCTCAAAAAAAAAAAAAAAAAGATAAAATGCTCAAAAAGTAGCAGCTGTAATTATTATTATTATTAATACTGCTACTATTCCAGAACTGCCTTGTATGTCCATCATCAGGCTAGGGCTTTTCTCACACTGTTTAATCCAAAATGAATGTCCATTCAGTCTGATTAACTCAATGGATATCCATCTCTGTTTCAACCCAATTACTTGCCATTTTTGCTTTGTCTATTATGTGAGAAATTTCAATGGAGTTGTTGGATTTTAATGACGTTTGTCATGTGTCTGACAAGTATCAGAGATAAAGGAATGGAAGTAAGGAAGGGAACTAACATTTTTTACTCAGTGCCTACTGTGTGCAAGGAAGTGTGGAAGAGGCTTTACATATGTTAATTATTTTAGAAGATGGCGGCAATGTGTAGGGAATCACCATTTCTACTGGGCCCAAAGCCTAACATCTCAAAATAATGGGCTTCTTTTTATTTATACATTCTCTTGACAAACATGTATCTTACTAGACTGTGTGTTAGATGCTGGTGATACAAAATTAAGAGGATATAGTCCTTGCTATTTAGTAGTTTTAGAAGCTTATTTTTTCCCTAGGAATAATACAATGAACATTTCTTTACCCACTATTTAGATTCAACTTTTGTTAACATTTTGTCATGTTAGCTTCTTAAAAATCAGACATCATGATACTTTACGCTTGAATACTTTAGCTTGGGTTTTTAGAAATAAGGATATTTTCGGGCAGGTGCAGTGGCTCATGCCTGTAATCCCAGTACTTTGGCAGGCCGAGATGGGCGGATCACCTTAGGTCAGGAGTTCAAGACCAGCCTGACCAACATGGAGAAACCCCATCTCTACTAAAAATACAAAATTAGCCGGGCATGGTGGAGCATGCCTGTAATCCCAGCTACTCGGGAGGCTGAGGCAGGAGAACCGCTTGAACTTGGGAGGCGGAGGTTGCAGTGAGCCGAGATCGTGCCATTGCACTCCAGCCTGGGCAACAAGAGCGAAACTCTGACTCAAAAAAGAAAAAAGAAATAAGGATGTTTTCTTTCTTTATTTTTTTTTTTTTATTGTAATTTAAGTTCTGGGTTACATGTGCAGAACGTGCAGTTTTGTTACATAGATACACGTGCCCTGGTGGTTTACTGCACCCATCAACCCATCACCTACATTAGGTATTTCTCCTAATGTTATCTCTCCACTAGCCCCCCACCCCCCGAGAGGCCCTGGTATGTGATGTTCCCCTCCCTGTGTCCATGTGTTCTCATTGTTCAACTCCCACTTATGAGTGAGAACATCCAGTGTTTGTTTTTCTGTGGTTTTTGTAATAGTGTGGAGTGCCTGCAAAGGATATATTAAGCAGCCCATTGGATACACTGATCTTGAGCTAAAAATTTAGGTCTGAGTTGAAACTATAAATATGAAAGTCATTATTTTGTCAGTTTTAATTGAAGCCATGGGAATGAATGTGATCACTTAAGGAGAAAAGGTGGAGAAGAGACCCAGGGATCATACCCTGAGGAATTTCAACCTTAAAAATCTGGGTAGAGGGAGAAAGTCTAATGAAGCTGAGAAAGAGAGACCATAGTGGAGAAAACCTGGATAGTATAGTATCATGGCAGGCAAGAGGAGAGCGTTTCAAGAAGGAAAGAGTGGCCAACCATGTTACAGTTTCAACTGTGCTACTGAGAGACCAGGAAAAACATGAACATGGTAGTATCCTTGGATTTTAGCAATCTAGAGGTCACTGGTGACCTTAGGGAGGGTAGTCTAGGTAGGTGGGGTGGATGGGTTGTGGAAATTAACCATGAGGTGACAAGTGAATGAAAGTCCAAGAGTTAGGAAAAAAATGACTGTAGACAATGCTTTAAAAAAGTTTGAGACTGAATGGGTCAATAAAATATTGGCAGGAACTGAAGAGAGATGTAGGGTGAAGGAGAGGTTTTTTTAAAAATTGTTTATCTCTTAATTATACTTTTTATTTTGAGAGATATAAAAAATATAGAAGAGTAAAAGAGTAATATGTCAAATAAACCCAGAATTGGCAACTATTAACATTTTGTCAGACTTTCATTGTCTTTTTTGTATTAAAACAAAAAGATCTATGTTCAAGTCATCATTATTCTCTAGCCTTGGTCTTATCCCTTATCCTTCTCAACCATAGGCAAAGTTTATTTTGAATTGGTATATATTCTGAGGAAAGTCTTTTAAAAAAATTATTAGGTTGGTGCAAAAGTAAAAATAATGGCAAAAACTGCACTTTTGCACCAACCTAATACTATTAAAATTATCACCTGTTAAAAAATTGAAATGGATGCATATGGGAAGAATAAACTTAAACTGTACAAAAGTGTATATGATGAAAAGTGAAATTTTATTGCCCTTTCCCAGTCTTTTTTTTTGAGATGGAGTCTCACTCTGTTGCCCAGACAAGTGCAATGGCGAGATCTTGGCTCACTGCAAGCTCCACCACCCGGGTTCACACCATTCTCCTGCTTCAGCCTCCCAAGTAGCTGGGACTACAGGCACCTGCCACCACGCCCCACTCATTTTTTGTATTTTTTAGTAGAGATGGGGTTTCACCGTGTTAGCCAGGATGGTCTAGATCTCCTGACCTTGTGATCCAACCGCCTCGGCCTCCCAAAGTGCTGGGATTACAGGTGTGAGCCACCGCGCCCGGCCCTCTTTCCCAATCTTAACTCCCTCATGATATCCACTGATAGCAATTTCTTGTGTATCTTTCAGGAAGATTTTATGTATATATGAAGATTTATATTATGTGTGTGTATGACTGTATCTTAATGCTGGACATTTAGGTCGTTTTTAGTTTTTTGCTGTTTCAAAAAATGGTACACCAGCCATTTTCGTATGTCTTTGTAAACTTGTTCCTGTACATTTGTAAGATAAATTCCTGGAATTGAAATTGCTGAGTCAATGCATTATGAATTGGAGATTTTGATAAGTATTGCCAGACTATCCACCAGAGAAGTTGTATTAATTTACATTTCTATTTTCCGGCCCAAACTGGGTTTTATAAAACATTTACTGTTAGCTGGAAGCACTGGCATGAACTTGTAGTCCCAGCTACATGGAAAGCTGAAGTCCCAGAATGGTCCTTTGAGCCCAGGAGTTTGAGGCTGTACCGCACTTTGATTTTGCCTGTGAATAGATGCCATACTCTAGCCTGGGCGACAGAGCAGGATCCCATGTCTAAATATATATATATATATATATATATTTATTTATTTATTTTTTATTGTTTTTGAGACTGAGTCACGTTCTGTCACCCAGGCTGGAGTACAGTGGCACGATCTTGGCTCACTGCAACCTCCACCTCCTGGGTTCAAGAGATTCCCCTGCCTCAGCCTCCCAAGTAGATGGGACTACAGGCATGCGCCACCATGCCTGGCTAATTTTTGTATTTATTAGTAGAGACAGGGTTTCACCATGTTGGCCAGGCTGGTCTCTAATTCCTGACCTCAGGTGATCCACCCACCTCGGTCTCCCATAGTGCTAAGATTACAGGTGTGAGCAACTGCACCTGGCCTAAAAAAATAATATTTTTTTTGTTAGTGAAAATTATGTCTCATTTTAATTTGTGTGTCTTGAATTTGTCATCTTTTCATATGGTTATTTGCCATTTGTATTTGTTTCCTAATGAATTGCCTATTTATTTACTTATTTTTGAGACAGAGTCTTACTCTGTCACCCAGGCTAGAGTGCAGTGGCATGATCTTGGCTCACTGCAACCTCTGCCTCCTAGGTTCAAGTGGTTCTCCTGCCTCGGCCTCCTGAGTAGTTGGGACTACAGGAATGTGCCACCACGCCTGGCTAATTTTTTTGTATTTTTAGTAGAGACAGGGTTTCACCATGTTGGTCAGGCTGGTCTCTAACTCCTGACCTCAGGTGATTCACCCACCTCGGCCTCCCAAAGTGCTGGGATTACAGGCGTGAGCCACTGTGCCTGGCCCATTTATGTTTTTTTGTCAATTTTTCTATTGGATTGTTTACTTTTTCATTTTTGATTTGTAAGAACTTTTAATATAGTTCTTATATATTAAGGAAATTAGCATTTCTCTGTTACATATGCTTGTACTTTTTCTAGTCATTTATCCCTTGACTTTATGTTTGTGTTTTCTCCATTAAACAGAAGCTTTAGATTTTTATATAGTTATGTTTATTAATCTTTGATTTCTAGATTTTGTTTCATGCTTAAAAAGGTCTTTTCTACCCTAAGATTATTTTTAAAAATCCATGGCTGGGCATGGTGGCTCACGCCTGTAATCCCAGCACTTTGGGAGGCCGAGGCGGGTGGATCACAAAGTCAGGAGATCAAGACCATCCTGGCTAACATGGTGAAACCCCGTCTCTACTAAAAATACAAAAAATGAGTGGGACGTGGTGGCAGGTGCCTGTAGTCCCAGCTACTCCAGAGGCGGAGGCAGGGGAATGGCGTGAACCCGGGAGGCAGAGCTTGCAGTGAGCCGAGATCTCGCCACTGCACTCCAGCCTGAGCGACAGAGTGAGACTCTGTCTCAAAAAAAAAAAAAAAAAAATCCTTCATATTACCTTCTGATAAATATTTTTTCTTTTCAATATGTGGTCCAGACCAGGTGTAGTGGGTTACGCTTATAACCTCAGCACTTTGGGAGGTTGAGGGGAAGATCACCTGAGCCCAGGAGTTTAAGACCATCCTGGACAACATAGGGAGACTCCATCTCTACAAAAAAAAAATAATTAGCCTGGTGGGATAGCGAGTGCCTGTGGTCCCAGCTACTCAGAAGACGAAGACTGAGGTGGGAGGATTGCATGAGTCAGACTGAAGTTGCAGTGAGCTATGATTTTGCCACTGTGCTCTAGCCTGGAAGACAGCACGAGATCATGTCTCAAAAAGAAAAAAAAAGAGTGAGGTGGGGCACGGTGGCTCACGCGTGTAATCCCAGCACTTTGGGAGGCTGAGGCCAGTGGATCACCTGAGGTCAGGAGTTCGAGACCAGCCTGGCCAATATGGTGAAACCCCATCTCTACTAAAAATACAAAAATTAGCCAGGCATGGTGATGCATGCCTGTAATCCCAGCTACTGAGGAGGCTGAGGCAGGAGAATTGCTTGAACCTGGGAGGCGGAGGTTGCAGTGAGCTGGGATTGTGCCATTGCACTCAAGCCTAGGCGACAAGAGTGAGACTGTCTCAAGAAAAAAAAAAAGTGAGGCTGGGTGCGGTGGCTCATGCTTGTAATCTCGGCAGTTTGGGAGGCCGAGGCAGGTGGATCACTTGAGGTCAGGAGTTCTAGACCAGCCTGGTCAACATGGTGAAACCCTGTCTCTACTAAAAGTACAAAAATTAGCCAGGCGTGGTGGTCACACGCCCATAATCCCAGCTACTCCGGCAGCTGAAGGAGAATCCCTTGAACCTGGGAGGCGGAGGTTGCAGTGAGCCGAGATGTCTTGCCACTGCACGTCAGCCAGGATGACAGAGCAAGACTTGGTCTCATAAATAAATAAATAAATAAATAAATAAAACAAAAAAGTGTTCCATCTGGAATTATAAGTGGAGCATGAATATAGTTTCTGCCTCTTAATGAATGAATGAAGTCAGTTGTTTCAACATTTATTAAAATATCCATGTTTTTGGCTAGGCGTCGTGTCTCATGTTTGTAATCTTAGCACTTTGGAAGTTCAAGATAGGTGGATCACCTGAGGTCAGGAGTTCACGACCAGCCTGACCAACATGGTGAAACCCCATCTCTACTAAAAATAGAAAAATTAGCCGGGCGTGGTGGTGCTCCTGTAATTCCAGTTGCTCAGGAGGCTGAGGCAGGAGAATAGCTTGAACCTGGGAGGCGGAGGTTGCGGTGAGCCGAGACCACGCCATCGCACTCTAGCCTGGGCAACGAGAGCGAAACTCCATCTCAAAAAAAAAAAATCTGTGTTTTTCCTGGAGGTTTGAGAATGTAACCTTTATCATATTCTAAGTTCCTGTGTAGATCTGGGATTTTTAAGTTTTTTATTTGGAGTCAGGATCTCTCTTTGCTGCCCGGACTTTGATACCATCACAGCTCACCGCAGTCTTGAGCTCCTAGGTTCAAGGGATCCTTCCACCTTGGCCTCCCAAAGTGCTGAGATTACATGTGTGAGCCACAATACCCAGCCTAAGTCTAGGACTATTTTTTGTTTTGTTTTTTTTACTTAAAAATTTTTAAAAATAGAGACTAGGCCTTCTGCCTCGGCCTCCCAAAGTGCTGGGACCGCTCGCTCTGTCACCCAGGCTGGAGTGTAGTGGCACCATCACAGCTTACTGCAGCCTCAACCTCCCAAGCTCAAGCCATCCTCTCACCTCAGACTCCTCAGTAGCTGGGACTGAAGGCCTGTGCCACCATGCTTGACTTTTATTTTTTTTTTTTTTATAGAGACAGGGTCTCCCTACGTTGCCCAGGCTGGTCTTGAAGTCCTGAGCTTAAGCAATCCTCCTGCCTTGGCCTCTCAAAGTTCTGGCTTCACAGGCATGAGCCACTGGGCCTGGCTTGGAACTACTTTTTATTTTTTTATTTTATTTTATATTTATTTATTTATTTATTTGAGAGGGAGTCTTGCTCTGTCGCCCAGGCTGGAGTGCAGTGGCGCGATCTCGGCTCACTGTAAGCTCCACCTCCCGGGTTCATGCCATTCTCCTGCCTCAGCCTCCCGAGTAGCTGGGACTACAGGCGCCCACCACCATGCCCAGCTAATTTTTTGTATTTTTAGTAGAGACGGGGTTTCACCATGTTAGCCAGGATGGTCTCGATCTCCTGACCTCGTGATCCGCCCGCCTCGGCCTCCCAAAGTGCTGGGATACAGGCGTGAGCCACCGTGCCCGGCCGGAACTACTTTTTAAACTTCATCTTGTTTCATTGATCTGTATATGTATTTGATGCCAGTATGAAACTGTTTTAAAGCTTTTTGGTTACTACAGTTTTTTAGTATATTTTAGTTTTTTATTTTTGAGATGGAGTTTTGCTCTTGTTGCCCAGGCTAGAGAGCAATGGCACGATCTTGGCCCACTGCAACCTCCACCTCCCGGTTCAAGCGATTCTCCCGCCTCAGCCTCCTGAGTAGCTGGGATTACAGGCATGCGCCACCATGCCCAGCTAATTTTGTATTTTTAGTAGAGACGGGGTTTCTCCATGTTGGCCAAGCTAGTCTCGAACTCCCGACCTTAGGTGATCCGCCCGCCTTGGCCTCCTAAATTGTTGGGATTACAGGCATGAGCCACCCTGCCCAGCTGGTGGTATATTTTAGTATCTGGTAGCTACCTAATTCGGATGTCATTTTTTGTTTATTTTGTTTATTATTTTTTTTTTTTTGAGACGGAGTCTCACTCTGTCGCCCACACTGGAGTGCAGTGGTGCCATCTCAGCTCACCGCAACCTCTGGCTCCCAGGTTCAAGTGATTCTCCTGCCTCAGCCTCCCAAGCAGCTGGGATTACAGGTGTGCACTACCATGCCTGGCTAATTGTTTTTGTATTTTTTTTAATAGAGACGGGGTTTCACCATGTTGGCCAGGCTGGTCTCTAACTCTTGACCTCAGGTGGTTCACCCGCTTGGGCCTCCCGAAGTGCTGGGTTCACAGGCATGAGCCACCATGCCCAGCCTGTTTATTTTGTTTTTGAAGTTGGCATCAAATAGGGCACGTTAAATGGCTATTGGAAAAGATCCAATAGGAATCATTTTGAAAAGATATGTGGGGATAGTGCATAATTTTTTCAACATTTTTCTATTTGGAGAAATTTAAGTTGTTACCAAGATTTTGCAATGGAAACAACACTGTGATGAACATTCTTGGGCAATATTTGTGCCATTGTCTGATTACTTAGGGTACATTTCTGAAAGTAGAACTATTGGGTCAAAGGAAATACACATTTTTAAAGCTGTTGATGTGTATTATTACTAAATTGATCTCCAGAAAGATTGCACCATTTTATACTTCTCTATTTGAGAATCCCTTTTTACATACTCATCAACATCGAGTATTATTTTTAATATTTGCTAATATTGTAGGTTAAAACGTGCTTTCCCTTGTGTTTGGAATTTTCATGTCTTTGATTACTAGTTGGTTGAACATATTTTTGTACATTTACTTGCTATTTATTTATTCTTTCCTTTGCCCATGTTTCAACTGTGACTGGAGAATAGTAGTCCCTAGAAGGTTCCAAGTCCCAGAATAACTCACTAATGTTGGCTCACCAGGATAATTTCCACTTGAAAGCACACAGTTTTGTTGGTATTTTTTATAGGTTCTTTCAGATATTTATTTTTGTTGTTGTTGTTGTTTTTGTTTTTGAGAGAGAGACGGTCTTGCTTGTGGCCCAGGCTTGAGTACAGTGGCATGATCATAGCTCCCTGCAGCCTCGAACTCCTGGGTTCAAGCAATCCTCCTGCCTCAGCCTCTGGAGTAGCTGGGATTACAGGTATGCGCTACCATGCCCAGCTAATTTTTTATTTTTTAAATTTTTTGTGAAGACAGGGTCTTGTTGTGTTGCCTAGGCTGGTCTTGATTTCCTGGCCTCAAGTAATCTTCCCACCTCAGCCTCCAAAGTGTTGGGATTACAGGTGTCAGTCACTGCCCCCAGACTGAGATATCTTTAAAGTCAGAAATTTCAGAATTGAATTACAATGATGTTCAGAAAGGAAGAGTAGGGAAAGTGCCCCATTCCTGCCTTCACCCATCCACTCCGTGTGTGGGCTCTGGGGACCATTCCAGCTGCTCTATCCAAGGAGGGGCTTGATTGTGGTGACCATCTTTTTCTTATTGATTTAAAAATAATAGACAGATAGAAGTAAATATATAAAACTAGATCTAAAGAGACAAGACGAAGGGAACTTAGAGTGCTCTCATTACAGCATGAATAAAAAGGTAGAAGCAGAGAAGCGTGGTATTTTCAGACCCAAGTAGTTCAGTGTAATTAGAACAACTGAAAGAAATTTGAAAAGAAATTTTGAAAAATGTGGGCAGCTGGCAGGGACAAATCATTGCAGATTGTTTTGGTAAAATATCTTAAGAACCATTTTTGTTTTGTTTTGTTTTTAAATATACACTTACTGAGCACATACTGTTTGCCAGGTGGTGGCATTGTTTCTGCCCTGGAGGGCCTTACAGTCTGTTGAGTGGAGAGAATAACCTGTAATTAGCTTCTTCGCTGGGGGCTACCCCAATTTTTTTCTTTCCCTACCTGCATAGCCCTGTTAAAAATGCTTATCCCATTTCTGAATGAGAAATAATTATAACAAAGTTGTTTATCCCCATCCTGGATTGATGGGTTTAGTTCTCAGTTTAATGAACAAGAACATTGAAGGACAGTTGTCTCTGGCATATGTAAAGGAAAGGGGAATGCTGTGGGAAATGTCATTGCATGATTACATCTTATAATTGTGATAATTGAAAGATTTTTAAAGCCTCCATTTGAAACCCTGGGGTTTTGTGTCTTTCTTTAGTAAGGAGTTGCCTTTTCTCTCAGGAGGCTGCAATGTTAATGTGACAGCAGGAAACCCACTTATTGACATGACACAGGGGAAAAGAATTCAGTTGAACTTATTGGAAATCAGAGGCTTTCAAACTTGTAAATTTTATAATTAAAACAACTGGCTAATTAAGCAGTTTAACCACTGGTAATTTGACCAAAACCTTTCATTTAAGGGGCAGAATGGTTCATTTAACAGTGGTTTGAACCAGCTTCTTAATTAAGCAGATGCTCTAATTATAGGAATTGCTCCAAACTGAATTTTAAAATGCCTCCTTGCCAAGGAATTCCAGTAGATAAGAGGCTGAGGCAAACATTTGCAGTACTTTCACCTACGATGTGTTATCATCGCAAAGATCCTTTTTGGTTCTGCTTTTTGAAATTACAGATAGATGATTGAGTTTCTATGTACTACTTAAAGATGGTGATTGACATATGAGTTTTCTTTTTTATTTACATAAAACGTTTTATTATATATTGGAGGCATGATAGAGCTATCACTATGAATTAAACTCTTGATGATCTTACCTAAGTGCTTACCTAAGAATTTCAAACTTTGGGCAACAGAAAACCATCAAAATTTTACCTTCTGTCTCATTCATTGTTGTCTTTACAGTGCCTGGTATAATGCCTGACAAATAGTAAATATCTATATTTTAAAACAATTGTCCAGCCTGGGCAACATGGCGAAACTGCATATCTACAAGAAATCCACAAATTAACCTGGTGTGGTGGCACGCACCTGGGACAAATTAAACTGGTGTGGTGGCACACCCTGTAGTCCCAGCTACTCGGGAGATTGAGATGGGAGGATCACTTGAGCCTAGGCACATCAAGGTTGCAGTGACCAAGATCATGCCACTGCCCCCCAGCCTGGGCAACAGAGCGGTTCCTGTCTCAAAACAAGCAAACAAACAATTGTGTGTGTGCAATAAATAAATGGTTAGATTAATGAAAGAGAATAACATGATTAGATTTTTATTTTAAAAGGATTAATCTGTCAGCTCTCAAGGACGGAATAGAGGAGAGGGATGTTGGAGGGTGTAGGTGCAGATCAACAACTTAGCGGGGGCTACCAATCTAATCTCCCTATTTCCTTCACATAAGAACCAAAATGATCTTTTAAAAATATATATCAGACATATACTTTCCCTGCTTATGGCTGTTCAGGATGAAATCCAAACCTTTAACAAGGCCCAGCACGGTTGATTCCGACCACTACTCACGCTGGTCTCTTTCTTTTTTGAGACAGAGTCTCGCTCTGTTGCCCAGGCTGAAGTGCAGTGGTTCAATCTCTGCTCACTGCAAACTCCGCCTCCCGGGTTCAAGTGATTCTCCTGCCTCAGCTTCCTGAGTAGCAGGGACTACAGGCATGTACCATCACACCCGGCTAATTTTTGTATTTTTAGTAGAGACAGGGTTTCACCATGTTGGCCAGGCTGGTCTCAAACTCATGACCTCAAGTGACCATCCGCCCCAGCCTCCCAAAATGCTGGGATTTCAGGTGTGAGCCACTTGCCCAGCCCACTCTCATCTCTTAGGTGCATTCTGTCCCTCTCACTTTGCTTCAGTCACACTGACAGCTTTTCTGTTCCTTGAATGTCCCAAGCTGTGTGCTACATTAGGGCCTTTACACATGCTGTTTCCTCTACCTGGAACACCCATCCTCCATTTTTTTCATCCAGTACACTTCTATTTGCCTTTCCAATATCTTATTTTATTTATTTGTTTTTGAGTGGATAATATATATATATACAAGGAACAGATTTTAAAAGGTGCAAAGGAATATAAGTAACTCTCTTGCCTTTCTAGCTACTTCCCCCCCACTATCCCCCCTGGGGGTAACCACTATTATAATTTTCTTCTGAATTCTGGTTTCAGTTAAAATCTCATTTTTTCACAGAGGCCTTCCCTGATGTTCTATTCCAAAAATAGGTCTATCTGTTGTATCACCATAGCCCTCCCTGTGCTTTTTGTTTTCATCACTTACCAGAATTTGTAATTACTTTTTTTAGGAGAGAGGGTCTCGCTCTGTTGCCCACACTGGAGTACAGCATCATGATAATAGTTCACTGCAGCCTTGAACTGGGCTCAAACAATCCTCCCACCACAGCCTCCTGAGTAGCTAGGGCTATAGGCACATGCCACCATGCCCAGCTAATTTTTTTTTTCCTTTTTATAGAGACAGGGTCTCTTCTATGTTGCCCAGCTGGTCTTAAACTCCTGGCCTCAAGTGATCCTCCTGCCTCAGCCTCCCAAAGTGCAGAGATTACAGGCATGAACTACCACACCTGGCCACAATTTGTAATCTTATATTTACTTTGTGACTATTAGTCTAATGATTCTGTCCTCCCACTAGACTATAATCTCCATAAGCAGAGTTTTGTTGGCCTTGTCCCCAACCCTTTGCACGGTGTCTGGGATATCATTAGTACTCAATAATTAAGCCCTTCCTAAGCCTTGCCTGTTTCTCTAAGCTCATCTCTTGCCACCCTGATCCTCTTGCTCTACTTTAAAATTATCTCTGGCTCTTTCTCTGCCTATACCGTGTTTTCTCCTAACTCCTACTTATCCTTCAAGTTTTACTTAAAAGCCACTCACTCTAAGAACCCTTTCCTGGCACTCAAGTTCATCTTAAGTGCCCCTCCCGTGTACAGTGCTTATCATAGACAGCCCTTATCACCTTGCATTGATATTAGTGTCTGTCTTCCTAGGTGGCAGGTTCTGTATTGCAGGGACTTAGTCTTTGTTCATTGTTGTAGCCCCAGCTTCTAGGGCAATGCGTGGTACCTATCAAGCCTGCCATGGATATTGGGTTGGTTGTACACTGCACAACTCTGGTGTGTGCCATTCATATGATTGTGCAGTATAATGGTTGCTGCCTACCCTAATAGGTAATAATAAATATTTGTTGAATGGATGATCATACTTTGGAGAGTTCAGTGCTTTTTAGGAGGTCTTATTTTGAGTCATAATAAAATCTTCGATGAGGTTGGTTTTCAAGGTCCTGGCCTGAGGATCACTGTGTACCCATCAAAGAGATTTGGATATCAGCTCCATGGGTGGGTCCTCAGGTTGGAGAGTCTAGAGCCCGAAGTTGCAAAAGGTCAAAGGTCTTAGATTCAGAGAGATGAAACTGGGGCAGCAGTCAGGAAGATACCTTGGTTATATTCTGTGCTCTTTGGGAACCTCTGGCCAAAAATACCTCCCTATTCCTTACACGGTAAACTCTTACTCTGCTTTCAAGAATGCAGCTGTTTCCTCATCTGAACCTATTCCCCTGCACCCTGCACCCCCACCCCAAAGGCAGAGTTAGTTTTTTCTTCCTCTGAGCACCTATGACATTGCTCACGTGTCCATTAAAGTACTTAGTACACCGTAAGGTGATTATCTGCTTTCCTATCTTCCTTTCATACTATACCTCGAGTATCTCAAGGGAAAGTAGCATATTTTATTTGTCTTTGTAACTGTCTCAGTGTCTATACAGTTATTGGCATGTAATTGTAAATGTGGATTAATGCATATCGTGGAAGGGATCCATGATATTTCTGGGTTGTCTTGATGAAATAGCGTGGATTGTAAATGTGGAGAAGTTCTCTGAAGCCAGTACTATCTCTGATAGGCCTCACACAGAGCAAACCTGCTTGGAAGCCCATTTTAGAAAACAGAGGCCTAAGAAAACTTTTACTTGATGTCACTTAGATCAGGAATCCCCAAACCCCAGGCCATGGACCAGTACGTGGTCTGTGACCTGTTAGGAACCAGGCCACACAGCAGGAAATGAGGGGCAGTTGAGCCAGGGAAGCTTCATCTGTATTTACAGCCCCTCCCAGCCACTCCCCATCACTCAAGCTATCACCTGAGCTCTGTCTCCTCTCAGATCAGCTGTGGCGTTAGATTCTCATAGGAGCATGAACTCTTTTGTGAACTGCACATATGAGGGATCCAGGTTGAGCACTACTCATTCTGAGAATCTAATGCCTGATGATCTGTCACTGTCTCCCATCACCCCCAGATGGGACTGTCTAGTTGCAGGAAAACAAGCTCAGGGCTTCCACTGATTCTACATTATGGTGAGTTGTACAATTATTTCATTATATATTACAATGTAATAATAATATAAATAACATGCACAATAAATGTAATATGCTTGAATCATCCCAAAACCACTTCCCCACTCCTCACATCTGTGGAAAAATTGTCTTCCATAAAATTGGTCCCTAGTGCCAAAAAGGTTGGGGACTGCTGACTTAGACTTCTTCACACCATCTTGTGTTTAATACCTCACAGAGTGGTGACCCTGAAGAAATGAGGGCAGGACCACAGCAGCTTGAAGATCCCTCTTCAAGGAAGGACTTGCTGCCCATATCTTGATGCCATATACACATACATATAGATACACACACATACACATGTTATCCTTTAACCCTCTTTATTATCCTCATTTATAAATAAAGAAGAAACAGTAGCTCAAAAAAATTTGGTGAAAGTAACCAGAAAGAAACAGGTGGGACTTCTATTTAAACTCAGGTCTATCTGACTGAACAGCCTGTGTCCATAACCACTAGGTTATAACACTTGATTTCTAGAATACAAAAATCTAGCTAGACCTGATCTGATTTCAGTTTCTTATCTCTACCCTATCTTTTCTTTTCTGTTTTTTTTTTTTTTTTTTTTTAATTTAGAGACAGGATCTTCTTATGTTGCCCGGGCTGAAGTGCAGCAGCTATTTGCACTACAACCTCAAACTCCTAGTCTCAAGCAATCCTCCTGCCTCAGCCTCCTGAGTAGCTGGGACTACAGACACATGCTACCACTATGGCTACCTGGGTCTACCACAATGTATATATATATAAAGACCCCCCTTTTTTTTTTTGAGACGGAGTCTGGGTCTGACACCCAGGCTGGAGTGCAGTGGCATGATCTTGGCTCACTGCAGCCTCCGCCTCCTGGGTTCAAGTGATTCTCCTGCCTTAGCCTCCTGAGTAACTGGGATTATATGCGTGCACCACCATGCCCAGCTAATTTTTGTATCTTTAGTAGAGATGGGGTTTCACCATGCTGGTCAGGCTGGTTTTGAACTCCTGACCTCGTGATCTACCTGCCTCGGCCTCCCAAAGTGCTGGGATTACAGCCATGAGCCACCGCACCTGGCCAAGACCCTATTTTTTTAATCCAGTAGTAGCATACCTACATACTGTTCTACACTTTTGGTTTTTGTTTTTGTTGTTGTTCACTTAACGATATTTGTTGGAGGCTGTTTTCAGATCAGCACAAATAAATCAAGTTAGATGTTTTGTAAAACTGTATGGCCGGGCGCGGTGGCTCACGCCTGCAATGCCAGTACTTTGGGTGGCCGAGGTGGGCGAATCATGAGGTCAGTTCGATACCAGCCTGACCAACATGGTGAAACCCCGACTCTACTGAAAATAGAAAAATTAGCCGGGTGTGGTGGCGCGTGCCTGTAATCCCAGCTACTCAGGAGGCTGAGGCAGGAGAATTGCTTGGACCTGGGAGGTGGAAGTTGCAGTGAGCTGAGATCGCACCACTGCACTCCAACCTGGGTTACAGAATGAGACTCTATCTCAAAAAAAAAAACAAAAAAACTTTATGGAATTCTATGCTCTTCCTCTTTGCTGGCTATTTTTGCTGCCTGTCTCTTTCTCTATATAGTCACAGTTAGAAAACTTCAAAAGGGAAGGCGAAAGGATTTTTTTTTCAAAAGAAAAAAAGAAAACCTCAAAAGGATTATTGCCTGTTGAGGAACAAGAAGAGATGAGAGCCCTCTGAGAATGTATTTTATCCCCTTACTGCCAGTGGCTTTATCAGGAGAGAATTTCTCAAAGAAAGATGAGTAGTGGGGATCGTGCATATTCTAGGAGCCAAAAGGAGAGAATAAGGGGACAAACTGAGAATCCGTCCAGGATCAAGAAATATCTATGGCTCCTTAAACCAACAAGAGGTCAGCTACCACCAAATCTTCCCAGTCCTGCAGTGGAGAATTTGTCCCCTCAAATCATCTGCTGTTCCCAGAGGAGCTTAGAAAGAGGTTTTAATATAGTTATTGTATGTTAAGGAAATTAGCATTTCTCTGTTACGTATGCTTTGTACTTTTTCTTGTCATCTAGTCCTTAACTTCATTTATTTATTTATTTTTTGTTGAACAGAAGTTTTAACTTTTTATATACTAAGTTTATTAATATTTGATTTCTAGATTTTGTTTCATGCTTAGAAAGATCTCCGAGATTACTTTTAAAAATCCTTACTGTTACCTTGTTTTTTATATATGTGTGTGTGTGTGTGTGTGTGTGTGTGTGTGTGTGTGTATACATATTTTTTTTTCTTTTTTAAATTTGTAGTCCAAGCTAGGTGTGGTGGCTCACACCTGTAATCCTGGCACCCTGGGAGGCTGAGGTGGGAGGAGCTGCAGACCAGCTTGGGCAACATAGCAAGACTCCAGCTCTACAAAAAATAAAAGACATTAGCTGGGCATGGTAGCACATGCCTGTAGTACTAGCTACTTGGGGTCGGCGGGGAGGGGGGTGTGGGCTGAGGCAGGAGACTGTCTTGTACCAGAAGTTCGAGGCTTCAATGAGCTATGAGATGGCATTACATCCCAGCTTGGGTGACAGAGCAAGACCCTGTCTCTTAAAAAACAACGATAATAGCAACAACAAAAAAACAGGTTTGTCTTATTTTCTCTCTTTTAGGTGGAATTCTACTAAGTATCAGTCGGCCCTACAAGACAAAGCCCACCCACGGCATTGGAAAGTACAAGCACTTAATTAAAGCAGAAGAGGTAACGGGCAGGGGGAGTCTTTTGGAAAAGGATAATGTGCAGCTTTTGCAAAAACCTGAAGATCAGATATGTATAGTTTTGATAATATTGGAGCTAGAAATGATAAAGTTGCCTCTCAATCCTTGCCAGTTATTAATTTGGAATTTCCAGACTGGAGATGTTTCTACCAACTTCCAATCTTATCCCTAGGCCAGGTTATAATAGTAAAAAGCAAATGGTTTTTATTTTTATTTTTTTTTGAGACAGGGTCTTGCTCTGTCACCTAGGCTGGAGTGCAGTGCATGATCACGGCTCACTGCAGCCTTGATCTCCTGGGCTCAAGTGATCCTCCCACCTGAGCCTCCCAAGTAGCTGGTACTACAGGTTCTTGCCACCATGCCCATCTAATTAAAAAAAATTTTTTTATAGAGACAGGGTCTTGCTGTATTGCCCAGGCTGGTCTCAAGCTCCTGGCCTCAAGTGATCCTCCTGCTTCAGCCTCCGGAAGCATAGGGATTACAGGCATGAGCCACCATGGCTGGCCTGATTTTATTATTTGTAATACTTAAAAAAAAATCTTCCTAGTAGTGTACTTATTTCAGTATGGACCTCATAATGGAAATGATAATTCAGTTTAGTTGAGTGAATGAGTTGTGGCAAGTAGAGGTAGACTGATATTTTCAGCCATATAACTGATACTTTTTTGTTTGTTAGTTTTTTTGAGATGGAGTCTCGCTCTGTTGCCCAGGCTGGAGTGCAGTGGCACGATCTCAGCTCACTGCAACCTTTGGCTCCCGGGTTCAAGCTGTTCTCATGCTTCAACCTCCCAAGTGGCAGGGATTATAGGCGTCCGCTGCCACACCTGGCTAATTTCTGTATTTCTAGTAGAGGTGGGGTTTTACCATGTTGACCAGCCCAGGTCTTGAACTCCTGACCCCAAGTGATCTGCCTGCCTTGACCTCTGAAAGTGCTGGGATAACTGATTCTTACTGTATTTTCTTTTTTTTTTTTTTTTTTTGAGATGGAGTTTCACTCTTATTGCTCAGGCTGGAGGGCAATGGTGCGATCTCGGCTCACTGCAACCTCCACCTCCTGGGTTCAAACGATTCTCCCGCCTCAGCCTCCCGAGTAGCTGGGATTACAGGCATGCGCCACCAAGCCTGGCTAATTTTGTATTTTTAGTAGAGACGGGATTTCTCCATGTTGGCCAGGCTGGTCTCAAACTCCCGACCTCAGGTGATCTGCCTGCCTCAGCCTCCCAAAGTGCTGGGATTACAGGCATGAGCCACCAAGCCTGGCCTCTTATTGTATTTTCAAATCTAAAATAGGCTGGGTGTGGTGGCTTACACCTGTAATCCCAGCAATTTGGGAAGCTGAGGCAGGCAGATCTCTTGAGGTTGAGTTCAAGACCAGCCTGACCAACATGGCAGGAACCCCGTCTCTACTAAAAATACAAAAATTAGCTGGGTATGGTGGCGCGTGCCTGTAATCCCAACTACTCGGAAGCCTGAGGCATGAGAATCACTTGATCCCAGGAGGTGGAGGTTGCAGTGAGCCGAGATCACGCCACTGTACTCTAGTCTGGGCAACAGAGTGAGACTCTGTCTCAAAAATAAATAGATAAATAAATTATGTGCTTCTTGAATCCTTTATCACAGGTAAGTGGATATTAGTTCTAAGCATTATGAAATTATTTAGCCCATTTCTTTGGCTCCAGTTAGATTTCTGTGTGTGTGCAGAGGATTTTCTTTTGGGGTGGATACAGCATGCAAGGTATAAGATCTGTCTTTCAATCTCAAGCCTGTCACTTCCTGCAAACAGTACAGTGGGGGGAGATTTTGGGGAGACTTCAATATCTCTTGGTTCTTTAGCTTATTTTAATGCTCCCACGCAACCACACATATTTCCTATTTACCTCTCTCTTCTTGGCAAGGTCCAATTCCACTGAATTTGGGCCTTAGAAACCACTAACCTTGCCGTGTTCTTCTGAGCTCATCCTTACAGTAAAGAATTTCAGGAGAAGAACATTACCACCTATCAGGCCTGTATTAGCCAGGCTCCCAGCAGGAAACAAATGCCCTACTAAAATTGTTCCTTTGTAGTGGGAAGTCTACTGAATTAGGAACAAGGAAACTTGTGTTCTAGGCTTGGTTCTGCCACTTTTCTGCCTTGTGACTTTGGGTAAGTCAACCTTCCCCGTCTAGGCATGGCGGGTCCTGAAATTATATGTAAAATGTTTGTTGTAGGTGAATTTTTCCGGGAAGAGAGTCCATAGTTTTTATCAGACTTTTCACAAAGGTAGAGAAATTCTGGATTAGAATATCTCTAAGACTAGAATTTCAACTTGTATGTCATGTAACTTCACGATGCTGTGCAATATTTATTGAATATCTATTATGTGCTAGGAACTCTTGATGCCTTGCCTATTCAAGAGTGAGTTGCAAAATAATTCTTTTTTTTTTTTTTTTTTAAATAGAATCTCTCTGCCGCACAGGCTGGAGTGCAGTGGTGCGATCTCGGCTCACTACAACCTCTGCCTCCTGGGCTCAAGAGAGCCTCCCATCTCAGCCTCCTGAGCAGCTGGGACTACAGGCATGCACCACCACACCCAGCTAGTTTTTGTATTTTTTTGTAAAGATGGTATTTTGCCATGTTGCCCAGACTGGTCTCAAACTCCTGAGCTCAAGTGATACACCTGCCTCAGCCTCCCAAAGTGCAAGGAATACAGAGATGAGCTACCATGCCTGGCAAGCAAAATAATTTTACAAAATGGATGAACAAGACATGGTTCATTCTCAGAGGGAGCTGTTAAACCAACAGAGATAAGACACAGACAATATACTTCCAGGCAGAAAGTGACAAGTGCTAAAAGGAAGATACAAAGCGCTATTAAAATTCGGAAGGAATGGTTTACTTTTTTGGAGTTGTGACACCTTAGAGTAAATTATTGAAGTTGTTTTATTTTGAGACATCCCCCTTCTTTTTTTTTTTTTTTAAATACTAAGCATCCTTTTATTTGCTGACACCATTACAAAAACATTACATTTGCAACAAAAAAGTGTTTTCTTCAGTTGAAGTCAGAGGCAGTTACTTCCCAAAATATTAAGTAAAACAGTGTACAACATCAGTGAGATATCCCCCTTCTAAAAGTCCCACATAAAATAGTGGGAAATAAAATTAGTTTTGTTTGAGGGGGACTTTTTTGGCTGTTTTAAAAAAATGTCTTAGAATCTTCTCTCTCAGATAATTTTCTGCATATGTCATGCTCTGACCCACTCCATTAACATGGTATAAAAGGAAGCTTAATGCCGTCTGTCCCCACCTTCCTCTCCAGCCTCTTCTCCACTCTCCCGGATACCACGCTTTAACTGTATTGGGCCTTTTGTTTTTCCTCCAAGTCATTATACTTTTTCAAGGCTCACAAGCTGTTCTGTCTACTTGGAAGACCTCCCCTTCTTCACCTGGCTAATTCCTCTTCAACCTTTAAATCTCAGTGAGAAAGCAGGGTGAGGAGGGACACAGACAAATTTCTCCTTCTAAGAAACCTTCCTGGATTCTCTGCACTAAGTTACTTTTCTTTCTTTCTTTTTTTTTTTCTTTTTTAAATTTGAGACATGGTCTCACTCTGCTGCCCAGGCTGGAATGCAGTGGTGTGATCCTGGCCCACTGCCCCTTGAATACCTAGGTTCAAGCGATCCTTCTGCCTCAGCTTCTCAGTAGCTGGGACTACTTGGTGGCACATGCCACCAAGCCTGGCTAATTTTTAGAAATGTTTATAGAGATGGGGTCTCACTATAGTGCCCATGCTAGTCTTCCGGTCCTGGGTTCAAGTGATCCTCCCACCTTGGCCTCCCAAGTGCTGGGATTACTGGTGGGAACCACCATGCCCAGCCCTGAGTTGCTTTTCTTACCATGAGCTGCCAGAGTTCTTGTGCTTCCTCTGTCCTAGGAAAACTGCTCTATGTTTTAATCATCTGAGTGTTTTTATTGTTTTTGTTTTTGTTTTTGAGACAGGTTCTCGCTCTGTCACCCAGGCTGGAATGCAGTGGTGCAATCTCAGCTCACTGCAACCTCTGCCTCTCAGGCTCAAATGATTCTCCCTCTTCAGCCTCCTGAGTAGCTAGGATTACAGGAGTATACCACTACACCCGGCTCATTATATTTTTGTAGAGATGGGGGTCTCGCCATGTTACCCAGGCTGGTCTCAAACTCCAGGACTTAAGTGATCCGTCTGCCTCAGCCTCCCAAAGTACTAGGATTACAGGAGTGAGCCACCGTACCTGGCCTTAACCATCTATTTTGATGACTATGTTCTATTTTAGATTATGAGGTCCCTAAGGGTAGAAGTCTCAGTTTTCTTCATATCCTCAGTGTCCGGCACAGGGCCTAGCATCAAGGAGAGGACAGTAAATATTGATTAAGCTGGACTGAAATGTGGTTATTGGAGCTGCCCTGTGGTTTTATAAATCAGATTTATCAAATATAACCCACTATCTGCAAACACCTGGCTCCAGATGACCTTGGTTGCTTGAATGGATTGGATGCTCCCTTTGTTTAGGGTTGTAGGCTTTTCTCTGATGTTATTCAGTGTCCCAGGGTGGCTAGTACAGTAGTGCTGGATACTGGAGTAAGTTGCTCCAGCCTCGTGGCTTCCTGCACAGGACAGCACAGTGAAAGCTTTCATTCACCACCTTACAGAGGCTCTGTCCTGAGTTCCTGTCTCTTATCCCTCTGGGGAACTGGACTAGTTAAACTAGATGGAATCTTTTGTGGCCTCCTTTCTTTCTCTCCCTAAGCCTAGAAAAAAAATAAGTTGGCCAGATTCCCATTTTTTCCTCTCTGGGTCTCAGTCTGGCCCCTCTACTCTTGTGAGCCCAACATCCCTAAGACGAGTAAATTCTCATGCTCATGCATAAAGTATCCAACCCTTGTCCCATTTCTGCTGGTATAATCCCTTCATTCCTCCTTCGAAAGGTCCCACACTCAGTCTTATGACTTACGCATCTTGGGAAGGAAGGGGGTATCTACTTCATCTCAGCTTTCCTTGTTAATACTGTTTTTATCTCTTTCTTTCTTTCTTTCTTTCTTTTTTTTTTGAGATGGAGTCTTCCTGGAGTTCAGTGGTGCCATCTCGGCTCACTGTAATGTCCGCCTTCCGGGTTCAAGCAATTGTCCTGCCTCAGCCTCCTGAGTAGCTGGGATTACAGGCATGCGCTACCATGCCCAGGTAATTTTTGTATTTTTAGTAGAGATGGGGTTTCATCATGTTGGCCAGGCTGGTCTCAAACTCCTGACCTCAGGTGATCCACCTACCTTGGCCTCCCTAAGAGCTGGGATTATAGACATGAGCCACCGTGCCCAGCCTGTTTTTATCTTTTTCTTACATGGCCCGGTTTATAACTCTGAATAGTTTCCCATCCCTCCATCCCGTGTCCTTGTCCTTGATGCTTTTTTGAGGGAGTAGATGAGAGATAAAAATGAGGCTTTTTCTCAGGTGGCAGCATGGGGCATGACAATAAATGTGGTATTTCAGCTCGCTTACAGTATGTACCTGACCTCCTTCTCAGTGATTTCCCTTTTTGCACCTTGTATTTCAGACATGTTTTCTCATACACCCATGCTCTTTCCTGCCTCTCTGCCTTTGCACATGCTCTTTCCTTTGTATGGGATGATACCCTCCCTTTTTTCTCTATGGTGCTCATCCTGTAAGACCCATCTTGACCTGTGGCAGTGAGTGATCATATTTTAGAGCGTATCTCCAGACCTAGCATCCTGTCTCAAAGTGTAGATCTCATTATTCCTTAAAGGCCCTGCATCATTCAGTTGAATTTAAAAAGGCTTCAGATATTTGGAGTGACTTATATTTCACAGAAGTAAAAATAAGGCCAGGCGTGGTGGCTCATGCCTATAATCCCAGCACTTTGGGAGGCCGAGGGGGGAGGATCACCTGAGGTCAGGAGTTCGAGACCAGCCTGACCACCATGGTGAAACTCCATCTCTACTAAAAATGCAAAATTAGCTGGGCATGGTGGCGCATGCCTGTAATCCCAGCTACTTGGGAGACTGAGGCGGGAGAATCGCTTGAGCCGGGGAGGTGGAGGTTGCAATGAGCCGAGATCATGCCATTGCACTCCAGCCTGGGCAACAAGAGTGAAACTCTGTCTCAAAAAAAAAAAAAAAAAAAAAAAGTAAAAATAATAATAGTCATCACATTTGTATAGCACTGGGTCATTTTTCCCAAGACCATTTAGTTACTTGACCTCAGCTGTTGTCCAGCTTCCAGTCTTGGGGTAATGGCAGCTTAATAATCTGAAAATTGCCAAGAGAAAGATGTGGAAGGATGAAATGGAGGCAACATGAATTTCTGTCACCTTGTCATATGTTCTCATTTCCAGGCCTTGGAGCAAGAGAGTTAGGTATATCTTCTGTAACTCAGACAATTTTCTTCCTCTTTGCAGAATGGCCCCTAGGAATCAAGGTAGCTTTTCTTTTGGAAACTTCATGCTGTTTTTAGTGTTGATAGAAAGGAGGTATCTGCCATTTCTGTCACCTATTTTATTTTGTTGTAGCACCCATAATAGATCAGCTGTCACAGCCACAAATCTCTGAGGAGACTGGAATCATTCCCAGATAAATCAGAAAGTCAGAATCACTTTATGGTTATAGTCCTGGCTTCTTGAGAGCTTGTCTGGAGGTTGTAGCAGGGGAGCACAGCTAGTCATATACCCTTGACTAAGGACCGGTCTTCCTCTATTGGGGATGGTTGTCCTCTTCTACTGAGCTTGCAGCTTTGGGAGGGATGCACATGGAGTGGTGAGGGAGGAAGGGGACACCCGCCTAGCCAGCCAGATCAGCTGAATCAACCCTGGCAATCAATGGGGTGACAGATGTTGCAGCCAGATCGCCCTCACATCCAGTCCTACCTTCTTGGTAACAAAACAATTGGTTTTGCTGGTCTAGAAACTGTAGGGCTAGACATGTATTATAGGACTGGCTTAGGGAGAGTTACTTTATATTAGCACTCATGTTTTCACTCATTTATTTCTTGTAGCTCATTAAAAGAAAAACCATAATTGAGCATCTACTATATGCCATGCATTGTGCTGAGTATCCATGATGCTCAGGTGAACGGGACATGGTCCTGTAAAAAGTGTAAAGTCTGCTGGGAAAGTTAGTGCTCAAAAGTGTAACTAAATACTTGAGGCAAGTGCTTTACTAGGGAATAAACTAAATATCAAGAGAACAAAGATAAGCAATTCCTTCACGATGTTTTACATGGTAAATCCATACAATTTTAAAAACAAAAAAGAAGCAATTCTCCCCAAAAGGGTCAGTGAAGGTGTTACGGAGTTCAGCTCAACAAACATTTATTAAATGCCACCTGTATTCTTGGCACTGGGTAGGTAAAGCTGAACTGGACACTCCTCTGGCAGTATCTAGTTGCTTGGGGTAGCTGTTGACACAGGGCTGTGAAGAACATAGAAAAGCTCCCCAGGGCTTTTCTAAGTACAGGGAGTGACTCACGTGAAGACCTGACTGCCTGTGCCATTAGAGCTCCTGGTCTGCAGCCCCTGGGAGTCTTGCCCTGTGTCACCAAATTACAATAGTGTCTGATTTTTAGAGGGATTCATGTTTGATATGAATAATAGTAATGACCCTTTTCCATTCTAAAAGTACTTTGGCATCCATTATCTCAGATCCTTGCAAGCCATATTCCCTTGGAACATTGGTGGTACTAGAGCCAAACCCCTCCTCAAGATGAATAATAATAGTCTTTCCCATTTTAGAAACATATTAAATGAATGGATAGAATTTTCTAAATTTCACACATTCCTCCTATCAGCTTTACTTGATAAAAACAAATATTGACAGAGAAACTCAGTTATGTTTTTGTTTTTTTAATTATTATTTTTTTCAGAGACAGGGTCTTGCTCTGTTGCCCAGGTTGGAGTGCAGTGGTGCAATCATAGCACACTGTACCCTCAACCTCTCAGGCTCAAGTGATCTTCTCACCCCAGCCTCCAGAGTAGCTGGAACTACAGGTGTGTACGACTACGCCTTGCTAATATTTTTATTTTTTAAATTGATTAATTAATTTTTTGAGATGGGCTCACTCTGTCATCTAGGCTGGAGTGCTGTGGCATGATTATGGCTCACTGCAGCCTTGACCTCTCTGGCTCAGGTAATCCTCCCACCTCAGCCTCCTAAGTAATTGGGATTATAGGTGCGCCCCACCACACCTGGCTAATTTTTTGTAAAGATGGGGTTTCACCATGTTGCTCAGGCTGGTCTCGAACTCCTGGACTCAAGTGATATGCCTGCCTTGGGCTCCTAAAGTGTTGGGATTACAGGTGTGAGCCACCACAGCTGGCCTAGAATTCATTTCAGTTCAACTCAACATTTAATAATTTGGGGCTCTAGGAATAGAAAGATTAATGAGACATAGTACCTTCCTACATGAATTGTGGTAGTAGTTTAGCTACCATAATAGAGAGACCTACAATACCAGGGGCTTAAGTAAAATAGAAATTTCTTTCTTTCTGACATAAAAGTATAAGTAGATATTCCAGCTTTTTGTTTTGCCATACTTATCATATTACTTCTATCTCATGGTTTGAGATGGCTGCTCCCTCTTTAGCCACTATGTTCACATTTCAGGCAGCAGGAAGCGGAAAGGGGAAGCAGTGGTCATCATGTTTCTTTTCTCTTTGTTTTTTGTTTTTGTTGTTCTTGTTTTATTTTGTTTTTGCTGGTTTTTTTTTTTGTTTTTTTTTTTGAGACGGAGTCTCGCTCTGTCACCCAGGCTGGAGTGCAGCGGCGCGATCTCGGCTCACTGCAACCTCCGCCTCCCGGGTTCAAGTGATTCTCCTGCCTCAGCCTCCCGAGTAGCTGGGACTACAGGCGTGTGCCACCATGCCCAGCTAATTTTTTGTATTTTTAGTAGAGACAGGGTTTCACCATGTTGGCCAGGTTGGTCTTAATCTCCTGACCTCAGGTGATCTGCCCGCCTCAGCCTACCAAAGTGCTGGGATTACAGGTGTGAGCCACCATGTCTGGCCTGTTTTTTTTTTTTTGAGACAGGATCTCATTCTGTCATCCAGCCTGGAGTGTAGTGGTGTGATTATAGCTCACTGCAACCTCAAACTCTTGAGTTTAAGCGATCCCCCAGCCTCAGCCTCCTGAGTAGCTGGGACCACAGGTACACGCCATCACACAGGGCTAATTTTTAAATTTTTTTGTGGAGATGGGGTCTTGCCATGTTGCCCAGGCTTGTCTCAAACTTCTGGGCTCAAGCAATCTACCCACCTTGGCTTCCCAAAGTGCTGGGATTACAGGTGTGAGCCACTGTGCCCAGCCATGTTGTCTTTTTTTTTTTTTTTTTTTTGAGACGAAGTCTCGCTCTGTCACCAGGCTGGAGTGCTGTGGTGTGATCTTGGCTCACTGCAACCTCCGACTCCCTGGTTCAAGCGATTCTCTTGCCTCAGCCTCCTGAGTAGCTGGGATTACAGGCACGTGCCACCATGCCCAGCAGATTTTTGTATTTTTAGTAGAGATGGAGTTTCACCATTTTGGCTAGGATAGTCTCGATCTCCTGACCTCGTGATCCGCCTGCCTCGGCCTCCCAAAGTGCTAGGATTACAGGCGTGAGCCACCGCGCCCACCCTGTCTTTCTTTAGAGTAATTGAACTAGCACTTTGCAAACTGCAGTTGCTTAATACATTCTTCATTTCGTAAAATTTACTAGTTGGAAATTGGGACCATGCTTATCTCCAATATATAGTAGTAACAGTAATGTCCTATCTATGTACACTACACAACCTCTTTTAAAAATGCCATTTATGGCAGAGCACAGTGACTCACACCTGTAATCCCAGCATTTTGGGAGGCGGAGGCTGGTGGATCACCTGAGTTCAGGAGTTTGAGACCAGCCTGGCCAACATGGTGAAACCCCATTTCTACTAAAAATACAAAATTACCCAGACATGGTGGCAGATGCCTGTAATCACAGCTACTCGGGAGGCTGAGGCACAAGAATTGCTTCAACTCTGGAGGTGAAGGTTGCAGTGAGTCGAGATCATGCCACTACACCCTAGCCTGAGTGACAGAGTGAGACTCTGTCTCAAAATAATAATAATTTTAAAATGCCATTTATTTATTTATTTTTAATTTATTTTTTTGAGACAGGGTCTCACTGTCGCCCAGGTTGGAGTGCAGTGGCGCGATCTTGGCTCACTGCAACCTTTTCCTCCTGGGTTCAAGCAATTCTTGTGCCTCGGTTTCCTGAGTAGCCAGGATTACAGGTGTGCACCTCCATGCCCAGCTAATTTTTGTAGTTTTATTTTTATTTATTTACTTTTTTTGAGACAGGGTCTCACTCTGTCACCCAGGATGGAGTGCAGTGGCACCATCTCGGCTCACTGCAACCTCTAGCTCCCAGGTTCAAGCAATTCTGGTGCCTCAGCCTCCTGAGTAGCTGGGACTACAGGCGCCTGGCTGCAACCTCCACCTCCTGGGTTCAAGCGATTCTCCCTGCCTCAGCTTCCCAAGTAGATGGGATTACAGTCACTCACCACCACATGCCCAGCTAATTTTTTGTATTTTTAGTAGAGACGGGTTTTCACCATGTTGGCCAGTCTGGTCTCGAACTTCTGACCTCAGGTGATCCTCCCACCTCACCCTTCTAAAGTGCCAGGATTACAGGCATGAGCCACCGTGCCCTTCCAAAAATGCCACTTATTATTATATACCAGGTGCTGTAAGTACTATGTGCCAGGCTTTAAAGACATTATTTCATTTTATAGCCTTATAAACATATATATTATTTAAGCCTTAGAGTATCATATGGTTATTCAAGACCCTGTTTGAGGAATCCAAGACTCAGAGAAAGATTAAATGATGTGCCCACGTGGCTAGAAGTTTTCAGAGCCGATATTTGGAATGAGGATGGCCAGAATTCATCTAACATCTCTAGTATTTCCATTTCATATAAATTCACTCTATTAAGCTTCACAATAACTTTAGCTGTTACAGATGAGGAAACTGAGGCCTAGAAAGGTCACACAGTGTCATGTAGTGACTAAGCAGATAGTTAGGATTTGAGGTCAGATTTTCTGTGGCTTCCATCTAAGTCTAGTGCACTTTATATAGCATCAGGCCATGCCTCCTTGCTACCCCAGTCAGAGCCAGGCCTTTTGTCCATATGTCTCTCAAGTGTATAACACCAGGTTATAAACATACTCAATCGCTGCATACCTCACAGCTCATTATGGACTGTTGATAGTACTTAACCCCAAATCATTCAAATCCTCGGGTGTAAATTTTGTTATTTTCATCACTAGAATTTCTGGAAGCTGAATATGCTGCAGGCATATCAGCCTTTTTGTTTGAGGATTCAGATAATGGATTAATTCTTATCCAACTTTCTCACCCTGGAGAATGTCACTTATAGCGATGGGTAGATACTATCACTTTAAAGGAGAGAGCCTGGGCTTGGGGCTGCAGACTCAGCTTCCAGTTCTGGATAGACATAAAGTTGTTACCTTTGCCCTTGTCTTGCTGTTAAACCTTACACAAGCCATTTTCCTTTTCTGGGTCTCAACTTCCCCCTTGTGTAGAATTAGGGGGAAGGAGAGATTAAATTATCTCTAAGATCCTTTCTGGCTGTAACAGGCTATGATTCTAATTTGATTCCTTTCTTTATCTGCTCTTTCCAGCAAAGTTTCTCAGTAACCTTGGGCAAATAACTTACCTTCAGAGGACCTCAGTTTTCTGTCTGTGAAATAGGGGTAATAATGTGAACATTTGTGTACAAAACTTGTTTCATAATTTACCCTATAGTCTATTTGGGGGACCAGAGTGCAGTCCTACAAGGACCTAAGAATGACAATCCTGGGCCATCCCTTAGTGAATCTAGGCCATAGGAGTGCCAACGTTTGATGATGGACAGTAGTCCATCCTCCCTACTACGTTTCTCCTAACTTCCTTTCCTTTCCTGCCTGGCTGGCCTTCATGTGCAGTCAGGTTGGGCTTCCCAAAACACAGCTTTATTCATGTATATCCTTTGCACAGATTTATTTATTTATTTATTTAGAGACAGAGTCTCGCACTGTTGCCCGGGCTGGAGTGCAGTCAGTGGCATGATCTTGGCTCACTGCAACCTCTGCTTCACGGGTTCAAGCGATTCTCCTGCCTCAGCCTCCTGAGTATCTGGGACTACAGGCACCCGCCACCACGCCTGGCTAATTTTTTTGTATTTTTGGTAGAGATGGGGTTTCACCATGTTGGTCAGGCTGGTCTTGAACTCCTGACCTCATGGTCCGCCTGCCTCGGCCTCCCAAAGTGCTGGGATTACAGGCATGAGCCTCCACTCCTGGCCCACAGATATATCTTTAATAGTTCCTCATGGCATTCATGAAGTCCTGAACTCAATCAGTAGGCATTGAGAGAATGGGATGGATGTGAGAAAAATTGTGTAGATAAAATGACAGAAACTGGCATCTGGTATTATATGCAGTTAAGCTCTTGCTGGCTATGCTGTGCCCTGGCTCAGAACTGAAATATGTATTGTAATATCACAGTGGGATCTTGATAATGTGAATTGGTTCAGGTAGATCTAGGCCAACATGGGAAAGCAAATGAGATGCCAAGATGGACACTGGGATCAGCTTTCTTTTCTTTGTTCCCCTAAAGCAATACCTTTGGAGAGTCCTGGCATTTTCTGTGGTTAAGAAAAGCCTCCTACAGGCTTCAGAGAAGCTCCTCCCCTCTCTGCTGGAAAATTTCAGCCACTCTCCATTGCATTCTGACTTCAGCATTCTAGACAGCTCTTACTGCAGTGCTGCCTGTCACGATGAGAAGTCCTGATTGCTGCATTTGGCCATGAATGTGTTGGGCTCTGAAGAGGAGAGAGCCAAATGCCTGCATGTTGGTGGTTGGTTTCTAGAGGTTGGCTTCCCACTCACCGCAAGGTCTAGCACCCTGGGGTGGCCACCACTGTTAAGAACTTTAGTAATGCAGAGGAAAAATTCCTGCACTAGGATCAGGAGGTCTGGATTTTAGTTCCTGGGGTCTGTCTTGTCTGGCTTCGTGATTCTGGGGAACACATTTATCTGTTTGGGCTTCATATTCTTCCCTTGCAAAGATGAAGAACCAGGACAAAAGCATCTCTAAATTCCTTCCTATTCTAAAATTTTAAAATAATGACTCATTGTATGTTTTCTCTTTGCTGGGCCCTGTGCTAGATAGGAGGAATATAAAGTGAAAATAATAATAAAAGTTAATGTTTAGTGTTTATGTGCCACAGATTGTATTAACCATTTTACATATAGTATTTTGTTCAGTTCTCAAAACATTCCTGTGAGATCAGGTCTATCATCAGTATTACTGGCCTTGTAAAAGGACCATTTCTTTGTCTTCTCTGTGCTTCCTCAAATTGGCTTCCTGCTCTTGACAGGTTGACCTTCAGAGCAGCAGTGTAAGGGAACCATTCCAGGTGCTCTGTTAGGAACAATGCTGCTGTGGAAGCCCCTAGACTGTTGGCTATTAGATGGGGTGACTTAAGACATATCAGTAGGGATAGTTTTTTTTTCTTTTTTTCTTAAAAAAATAATTCAGCCCCATAGCAAGACTTACTATAAATCTCCAATTATTAGGACATGGTGGTATTATCTCATGGATAGACAAATAGCCCAATGGAACAGAAGAGTAGAGAAACAAATGCACATATCTCTGGGTGCTTGTTATATGACATAGGTGGCACTGTAAAGTAGTGTGGCTGGGTCATTTCGGCTGGATGATCATGTGAAAACAAAAAATGACTCTTGACCCTATTTCACGCCACACACAGAAATGACTTAAAGATGGATTGTAGATCTAAATGTAAATATTAAAATAATAAAACTGCTAGAAGGTAAAATACAAGGATGTCTCCATGATCTTAAGGTAGGCAAAGATTTCTTAAACAGGACACAAAAATCCCTATAACCATAAAAAATGAATACATTGGACTACATTAAAAATAAGAACTTAATTTCAACTTCAGGCCTGGTGTGGTAACTCACTTCTATAATCCCAGCACTTCGGGAGGCTGAGGTGGAAGGATCGCTTGAGGTCAGGAGTTTGAGACCTGCCTGGGCAACAGAGTGAGACTCCATCTCTATGAAAAATTTTAAAAATGAGCCAGGCATGATAATGTGCACTGTAGTCCCAGATACTTGGGAGGCTGAGGCGGGAGGATCACTTGAGACCCGGAGTTCCAGGCTGCAGTGAGCTACCGTTGTGTCACTGCACTCCAACCTGGGCAATATAGTGAGACCCTGTCCTTAAAAAAAAAAAAAAACTCAGTTTTGTCAGTGACAAGTTAAATGAAAAAGAGAAAATAAATAAAAATAAAAAATAGCTTCTCATCAAAATATACCATTATAAAGTTAAAAGGGGGCTGGAAGCTGTGGCTTATGCCTATAATCCTAATACTTTGGGAGGCCAAGGCTGGCGGATCACTTGAACCCAGGAGTTTGAGACCAGCCTGTGCAACGTGGAAAAACCTTGTCTCTATAAAAAAATGCAAAAATTAGCTGGGCATAATGGCACATGCCTGTAATCCTAGCTGCTCAGGAGGTTGAGGTGTGACGATCACTTGAGCCTAGGAGGTCGAGGCTGCAGTAAGCTGTGATTGTGCCACTGAACTCCAGCCTGGGCAACAGAGTAAGACCCTGTTGTTGTTTTTTGTTTTTTGTTTTTTTATAGACGGAGTCTCGCTCTGTCACCCAGGCTAGAGTGCAGTGGTGTGATCTCAGCTCATTGCAACCTCTGCCTCCCAGGTTGAAGCGATTCTCCTGCCTCAGCCTCTGGAGTAGCTGGGACTACAGGCACCCGCCACCACGCCCAGCTAATTTTTGTATTTTTAGTAGAGGCGCGGTTTCACCATATTGGCCAGGCTGGTCTTGAACTCCTGACCTCAGGTGATGCACCCACCTCGGCCTCCCAAAGTGTTGGGATTACAGGCATGAGCCACCACACCCGGCCAACCCTGTCTCACAAAAAAATAAAATAAAATAAAAATAAAGTAAAAAGGGAAGGTACAGAGAGGGAGAAGATATTTGCAGCATGTACAAAGGATCATGTTTAGAATATATAAAGAGCCTCTACAAATCAATAAGAGAAAGGCAGACAACCCAGTTTTTAAAATGAGCAAAATACTTGAATAGGCAGATTACAAAAGATAGTATCCAAATAGCCAGTAATCATATGGGAAGGTGCTCAGGCTCAATAGATATAAAGAAAATGCTAGTTAAAATCTCATTGCATTACCACTACCAAAATGGCTAAAATAAAGAAACCCACAAGAAAACCTGACTATACTGTTTTCTAAGTGTTAGGAAGAATGTAGAGCAATTAGAACTCTCATACACTGCTGGTGGAAGTCTAAATTGGAAACTACTCTACAAAACTGTTTGAGAGTGTCTATTAAAGGTGAACCTGTTCATACTGTGTAACTCAGTAGTTCAGCTCCCAGGTACACCCCCAACAGAAATGCATACATATGTTCACTAAAAGATACATACTAGAACATTGGTTGCACTACTATTCATAACGGCCCCATACTGGAAATAACTCAAATTTCCACCAACAGTAGAAAGGATAAATAAATTGTGGCATATTCATACAGTGGACTAGTAGCACATGAGAAGGAAAGAATTGCCATTCCACATAATGCCTGGTTGAATCTTATGAACCTAATGAATGAAAGAAGACGGACACAAAAGAGAATGTATCTATCATTCCATTTTCATGAATTTCAAAAACATGCAAAATAACTCTATGGTTTCATAAGTCAGGATAGTGGTTACTAATTTGGGGAAAGGAGATCTTTTTAGGGTACTGGTAATGTTCTGTTTCTTGTCTAGGGTACTGATTACAGAGGTACTTTCACTTTGTGAAAATTCATTGAGGTGTAACTTATTTATGTATTTTTGCATATTAATGCAATAAAAATTTACTAAAATTCAAACATAATAGATTTTAAAATTCTAATTTTAGATTAATAAGATATTTACACTATTAGAAAATTTTAAAAACAGAAGAAAATAGTTTAAAATTCTCATTCCTACCCCCAGACCCCAGCCACCTAGTTCCCTCACAAACAGCCAATGATACTAGTTTTTGGGGGGGGGTTTGTTTTTATTTTTGTTTTTGAGACATGGTCTCACTCTGTCGCCTAGGCTGGAGTGCAATGGCTCAATCACCACTCACTGCAACCTCTGCCTCCCAGGCTCAAGCGGTCTTCCTGTCTCAGCCTCCCAAGTTGCTGGGACTACAGGTGTGCACCACCACGGCTGGCTAATTTTTATGTTTTTTGCAGAGCTGGGATTTTGCCATGTTATCCAGGCTGGTCCTGAACTCCTAGGCTCAAGCAGTCTGCCTGCCTCAGCCTCCCAAAGTGCAGGAATTATAGGCGTGAGCCACTGTGCCTAGCTGATACTATTTTTGTACATGCTTCCAGAGATATTTTTTAAATATGCAAGCAAATAAGCATGTATGTAATTACACACATGCACACACACACATATCTATTCTCTTCCAGCTCCCCCATTTTATATGTGTGGCAACATTTTGAACACATTATTCTACAGTTTGCTTTTATCATTTGTTTTATCTTAAAGACCTTTCCAGTATCTGTACATAAAGAAGTGGTTATTTATTTATTTATTTATTTAGAGATGGAGTCTCGTTCTGTCGCTCAGGTTCGAGTGCAGTGGCGGGATCTCAGCTCATTGCAACCTCCGCCTCCCGGGTTCAAGCAATTCTCCTGCCTCAGCCTCCCAAGCAGCTGGGACTACAGGCGCACACCACCGTGCCCAGCTAATTTTCATATTTTTAGTAGAGACGGGGTTTCACCATATTGGCTAGGCTGGTCTCGAACTCCTGACCTCATCATCCACCTGCCTCGGCCTCCCAAAGTGCTGGGATTACAGACGTGAGCCACCGCGCCCGGCCCCTTATTTCTTTTTACAGCTGCATAATTTACTTAATAAGTCTCCCTCCTTTTCTGTTTTGAAACAGGATCTCACTCTGTTGCCCAAGCTAGAGTGCAGTTGCGTGACCACGGCTCACTGCAGCCTCAACCCCTCAGACTCAAGCCATCATCTCACCTGAGCCTCCTGAGTAGCTGGGATTACAGGCACTTGCCACAATGCCCAGCTAATTAAGAAAATTTTTTTTGTAGAGTCGGGATCTAGCTATGTTGTCAGGGCTGCTCTTGAACCCTTTGGCTCAAGTTATCCTCCTATCTTGGCCTCAAAGTTCTGGGATTACAGGTGTCAGCCACTGTACCCAGCTATAAGTCCCTCTCTTTATGGGCATTTAGGTTAGATTATTTTCGGTTGAGGTGCTTTCTTCTTTCTGAAGTATGTTGTGTTAAATATTTTTTCCCAGGCTTTGTTTTAACTTTTTTTTTTTTTTTTTCCCTTGAGATGGAGTCTCGCCCTGTCACCCAGGCTGGAGTGCAATGGCGTGATCTCGGCGCACTTCAACCTCGCCTCCCAGGTTCAAGTGATTCTCCTGCCTCAGTCTCCTGAGTAGCTGGGATTACAGGTATGTGCCACCATGCCTGGCTAATTTTTTGTATCTTTAGTTGAGATGGGGTTTCACCATGTTGGCCAGGCTGGTCTTGAACTCCTGACCTCGTGATCCATCCAACTCAGCCTCCCAAAGTGCTGGGATTACAGGCATGAGCCATCACGCCCGGCCTTCATTTTAACTTTTTACAGCAGCCTACACAAGTTGATATGTAGTGAAGCAATATTTTGTATGACAGAAAAGGAAGAAATCAAATAATTATTCTACCTTTCAGTTCTCAAAAGGAATGCTGTGTAGACAATTGTAGAATTTCGAGCTAGGAGTAGAAGAGAACTAATGCTGAGATTCCTTTCTGTTAATTTTTTTTCATGATTCTGATAAAACTCAGGATTCTCTCCTCAGAAACATGTACACGTAAAATTTTGCATATAAATTTTGGGGCTTGGCCAGGAGCAGTGGCTCATGCCTGTAATCCCGGCACTTGGGGAGGCCTAGGTGGGTGAATCACCTGAGGTCAGGAGTTCGAGACCAGTCTGGCCAACCTTGGTAAACCTCATCTCTACTAAAATTACAAAAGTTAGCCAGGTGTGGTAGCAGGCACCTGTAATCCCAGCTACTTGGGAGGCTGCGGCAGGAGAATCGCTTGAACCCGGGAGGTAGAGATTGCAGTGAGCTGAGACTGCGCCATTGCATTCCAGCCTGGGCGACAAGAGTGAAACTCCATCTCAAAAAAAAAAAATATTGGGGGGCTCATAGACCCCTTAATTCATATATGGGTTAGGAATATTTTAATCTAGGCTAGGTGTGGTGCTCACACCTGTAATCCTAGCACTTTGGGAGGCCGAGGCGGGTGGATTGCCTGAGCTCAGGAGTTTGAGACTGCCCTGGGCAGCATGGTGAAACCCCATCTCTACGAAAAATACGAAAAATTAGCCAGGTGTGGTGGGGTGCGCCTGTCGTCCCAGCTACTTAGGAGGCTGAGGCATGAGAATTACTTGAACTGGGGAGGAAGAGGTTGCAGTGAGCCGAGATTGCGCCACTGCCACTCCAGCCTGGGTGACAGGGTGAGACTGTCTCCAAAAAAAAGAAAAATATTTCAATCTGACATAATCCCATTGGTTTACAAATTGAGTAATAGAAGGCCAGAAATGGGAGGTGAATCTCAAAACAAGGTAATAGTATAAGACAGTCACATGTATTCATGTTCAAGTAATTCATGTATTCAAGTAATGACAGCAATATTCTCTCCTTGCATTGGCTGATGTCACAGCCTAGAATGGCAAGGGAAGCTGCTCTTTCCTTCCCAGGAGAACTTCAGTTTGTAGGTGGGGTAACCTGAGAGCAAAATGTGAACAAATTTATTAGAAAGATTGACTTTTTAAAATATCAAGATAGTATTATTAGAATTTCTTGTATAATACTTTATTTTCTTTCTCTCTTTGTTTTCTCTTCAGCCCAAGAAGAAGAAGGGAAAAGTGGAAGTGAGAGCCATTAATTTGGGGACAGATTATGAATATGGGGTTTTAAATATTCATCTGACTGCATATGATATGACCCTGGCAGAGAGTTATGCCCAGTATGTTCACAACCTCTGCAACTCTCTCTCCATTAAAGTCGAGGAAAGGTATGAAGGATGCTTTTGTATGGGATGTTCTTGGTGTGGGTAGAATGCTCTGTTTTTTTGTTAAACTAGGCTTTTGAGATACAGTTTACATGTAGTAAAATTAACTCTTTTTAGTTATATAATGTACTACAATAAAAATATAGACTAGTTCTATTAACCTGAAAAGTTCTTTGGTGCCCTGGTGTAGTCAGTCTTCTCCCTCTTCCCCACTCAAGTCCCTGGCAACCACAGACCAATTTTCTGGCCCTATTGTTTTAACTTCTCCAGAATATCATATAAATGAAATCACACAGTATGTAGCTGTTTGTGGCTGGCCTCTTTCACTTAGTATAATGTGTCTGACATTCTTTCATGTTTTTGCAAGTTTTCTTTTTAGTGGTAAAATACACATAAGTTACCAGCTTAACTATTTTTAACTGTACAGTTTAGTGATATCAAATGCATTCATAATGTTATACAAGCATCACCACCATCCATCTCCATCATGCTTTTCATCTTATAAAAATGAAACTCTAGCTGGGCGCAGTGGCTCACACCTGTAATCCCAGCACTTTGGGAGGCTAAGGTGGGAGGATCACTTGATCCCAGGAGTTTGAGACCTGCCTGGGCAACATAGCGAGACCTCGTCTCTACAAATAACAAAATTAGCTGGGCATGATGGCATGTGCCTGTAGTCCCACCTACTCGGGAGGGTGAGGCGGGAGGATAGCTTGAGTCCAGGAGGTGGAGACTGCAGTGAGCTGTGTTCTTGCCACTGCACTTCAGCCTGAGTGACGGAGTGAGACGCTGTCTCAAAATTTAAAAAAACAAGCCAGGCGCGGTAGCTCATGCCTGTAATCCCAGCACTTTGGCAGGCTAAGGCGGGTGGATCACCAGAGGTCAGGAGTTCGAGACTAGTTTGGCTAACATGGCAAAACCCTGTCTCCACTAAAAATACAAAAATTAGCTGGGTGCAGTGGTGCACGCCTGTAGTCCCAGCTACTTGCGAGGCTGAGGCAGGAGAATCGCTTGAATCCAGGAAGTGGAGGTTGCAGTGAGCTGAGACTGTGCCACTGCACTCCAGCGTGGGCAACAGAGCAAGACCCTGTCTCAAAAAAAAAAAAAAAAAAAAAAAGATTAAAAAAAGCAAACACTGAAACTGTACCCATTAAATAACTGCCCATTCCTTCCTCCCCTAAGCTCCTGGTAACTACCCTTCTACTTTCTGTCTCTGACTTTGACTATTCTACCTCATGTAAGTGGAATCATATAGTATTTGTCTTTTTGTGACTGGCTTCTTTCACTTATCATAATATCCTCAAAGGTCATCCATGTGGTAGCATATGTCAGAATTTCCTTTCTTTTTCTTTTTTTGTTTTTTGAGACAGAGTCTCACTCTGTCACCCATGCTGGAGTGCAGTGGTGCAATCTTAGCTCCCTGCAACCTCCACCTCATGGGTTTCACCATGTTGGCCAGGCTGGTCTCTAACTCCTGCCTCAAGTGATTCTTCTGCCTCAGCCTCCCAAGTAGCTGGGATTACAGGTGCGCACTACTGCACCTGGCTAATTTTTGTATTTTTAATAGAGATGGGGTTTCACCAACCACGTTGGCCAGGCTGGTCTCGAACTCCTGACCTCAAGTGATCACCTGCCTCAGCCTCCCAAAGTGCTGGGATTACAGGAGTGAACCACTGTGCCCACCTCCTTTCTTTTTTTTTTTTTTCTTTTAGAGACATGGTCTCTCTCTCCCACCCAGCCTGGTATGCAGTCATGGTCTCTCTCTCCCACCCAGGCTGGTATGCAGTGGTGCGATCATTGCTTATTGCAGCCTCAACCTCCTAGGCTCAAGCGATCCTCCTCTCTCTCCCAAATAGCTGGGACTACAGGCAAACACCAACTCGCCAAGCTGATTTTTTATTTTCCTGATATGACCTAGTCCTCTGAATGCCTGGCTAATTTTAAAATTTTTTGTAGAGATGGGGCCTCACTTTGTTGCCCAGGCTTCCTTTCTTTTTTTCTTTTTTTTTTTTTGTCTCACTCTGTTGCCCAGGCTGGAGTGCAGTGGCACAGTCTTGGCTAACTGCAACCTCTGCCTCCCTCCAACCTCCAATCTCGCCTCCAATTTCTGGATTGTATAGTAAGTTTATGTTTAACTTTATAAGAAATTGCCAAATTGTTTTCCAAAATGGCTGCACCATTTTTTATTCCCACCAGCAATGTATGAGACTTCCGGCAACTCTTCATCCTGGTCAGCAGTTGGTATCATCAATTTTTAAAAAGCTATTAATAGGTTTATAGTGGTATCTCATAGTGGTGTTAATTTGCACTTCACTAATAAATAATGATATTGAGCATCTTTTCATGTGCTTATTTGTCATCTGTGTATCTTCCCTGATGATATGTCTGTTTAAATCTTTTGTCCATTTAAAAAAATGGCTTGTTTTCTTATTGGGTCTTCAAAATTGTTCATCTATTTTTAGATAGCAGTTCCTTTTTTTTTTTTGAGACGGAGTCTTGCTCTGTCACCCAGGCTGGAGTGCAGTGGCACAATCTCAGCTCACTGCAAACTCTGCCTCTCGGGTTCACGCCATTCTCCTTCTTCAGCCTCCCGAGTAGCTGGGACTACAGGCGCCTGCCACCATGCCCAGCTAATTTTGTTTTTGTATTTTTAGTAGAGACGGGGTTTCACCGTGTTAGCCAGGATGGTCTCAATCTCCTGACCTCGTGATCTGCCCGCTTCGGCCTCCCAAAGTGCTGGGATTACAGGTGTGAGCCACCGGGCCTGGCCTAATTTTTGTATTTTTAATAGAGATGGGATTTCACCATGTTGGTCAGGCCAGTCTCGAACTCCTGACCACAAATGATCCACCCACCGTGACCTCCCAAAGTGCTGGGATTACAGTTGTGAGTCACTGCACCTGGCCACCAGTTCCTTTGCAGATACGTGTTTTGCAAATATTTTCTTCCTGTCTATGACTTATCTTGTTGTCCTCTTAACAGTATGTCTTTTGAAGAGCAGAAGTTAAGCTTAATGAAGTTCAGTTTATCAATCTTTTTCTCTTATGGTTTCTGCTTTTTCTTTTATATCTAAGAAATCTTTGCCTGACCCAGTTGCAAAAAAACATTTTCCTATGTTTTCTCCTAGAAGTTCTATAGTTTTAAGTATTATATTTAGGTCTGTGATCCATTTTGAATTAGTTTTGTATATAATGGGTCAAAGTTTTTTTTTTTGGCATATGAATATTCAGTTGTTTCCAGCACCATTTGTTGGAAAGATTTTCTTTCTCCACTGAATTATCTTAGCACCTTTTTTGACAGCCAGTTGACCATGTATATGTGGGTCTATTTCTCTGCTCTATTCTGTTACATATATGCTTACACCTGTACCCACTGTCTTGATTAGTGTAGTTTGATTACCAACTCTAACTTTGTTCTTCTTTTTCAAAATTATTTTGGCTATTCTAGGTCCTTTGGTTTTCCATAAAAATTTTTAGAATTAGCTTGTTGATTCTACAGAAAAGAGTCCGATGGGATTTTTTTTTTTTTTTAGGATTGTGTTGAATCTGTAGATCAATTTGGGAATAATTGAAATCTTAATTGTTTATATTGAGTCTTCTGATTCATTAACACAATTTCTCTCTCCATTTACAGTATTTAGATATTCTTTATCTGCTCTGCTTTTATGCATTTTTTGGATTTGTTGGAAAACTGTAGGAGAGGGAAGTAACATTTACTCCCTACCTACCTGCTCCAGTCTGGGCTCTTTACATATCTTATCTCAGTATTTCACACAGTATAGGATGCCCTCTGGTTTTCCTTAAATAACATTAAATCCCATGGGTAGAAATTTCTTCCCTTTGTAATTTTTTTTTTTTAATTTTGGAGACAGAGTCTTGCTCTGTCACCCAGGCTGGAGTGAAGTGGCGTGATCTCGGCTCACTGCTACCTCCATCTCCTGGGTTCAAGTGATTCTCCTGCCTCAGCTTCCCTGGAATAGCTGGGACTACAGGTGTGTGCCACCATGCCTGGCTAATTTTTTGTATTTTTAGTAGAGTTGGGGTTTGCCATGTTGCCCAGGCTGGTCTCGGACTCCTGAAGTCAGGCAATCTGCCTGCCTCGGCCTTTCCAAGTGCTAGGATTACAGGCATGAGCCACTGCACCCAGCCCCTTTTTAATTCTTTTTGTTTTTTGTTTTTGTTGAGACGGAGTCTTGCTCTGTCTCCTGAGCTGGAGTGCAGTGGCGCAATCTCGGCTGACTGCAACCTCTGCCTCCCAGGTTCAAGCGATTCTCCTGCTTCAGCCTCCCAAGTAGCTGAGATTACAGATGTTCCCCACCACACCCGGCTTATGTTTGTATTTTTAGCAGACATGGGGTTTTGCCATGTTGGTCAGGCTGGTCTCAGACTCCTGATCTCAGGTGATCTGCCTGCCTTGGCCTCCCAAAGTGCTGGGATTACGGGTGTGAGCCACTGCGCCCCGTGGCAACTTTTTATCTATGTTCTGTCCTTATAGTTTTGCCTTTTTCAGAATTCCATACAAATAAAATCATATAGTATTTTTCTTTTTGATTCTTCTTTTGCTTAGCATACTGTATTTGAGATTCATCTATGTTGTTGCCTGCAAGTAGTTTGGTTTTTTGTTGTTGTTGCTGAGTAGCGTTTCATTGAAAGGATGTACCACAGTTTATTCCTTTTCTGATTGAAGGACATTTCTGTTGTTTCCAGTTTTTGGCAATTATGAATAAAACCACTATAAATATGTACAGGTTTTTGTGAGAACACACGTCTTCATTTCTCTAGGAGTATGATTGTTGAGTCAAATAGTAAGTGAAGTATATGTTTGATTTTATAAGAAATCAAGGCTTGGGCACAGTGGCTTACACCTGTAATCCCAGTACTTTGGGAGGCTGAGGAGCATGGACTGCTTGAACTCAGGAGTTTGAGACCAGCCTGGGCAACGTGGTGAAATCCTGTCTCTACATAAAAAATACAAAAACTAGCCTGGCTTGGTGGCGTGCGCCTGTAGTCCCTGCCACTTGGGAGGCTGAGGCAGGAATATTGTTTAAGCCCGGGAGGCAGAGGTTGCAGTGAACTGAGATCGTGCCACTGCACTCCAGCCTGGGCAACAAAGTAGAGAGCCTGTCTTAAAAACAGCAACAACAAAAATGTAGCTTAGGTAATCTGTCACTGTGGCAAGGTAGTACATGATATAGTATGTGGATATGGCAAAAATTACACTTGCTTTTTTTTTTTTTACACTGAGTCAGAAAATTATTTTAATAACAAAAATTTTTTTTTTACAGAATCAATATAAAATAGCAGTTGATTACTCCATAATTATCAGAATTATTTATACTTGAGGTCTTGGCTAAGTGGGCTGAAATCAACAAAAGGTCTTGGACTGTTGTTGGCTCACAGATCATCCTAGGAAGCCTGCCCTCTTGATATCTGTCATACTTACCTCTTATGAGATGACCCAGTCCTTTAAAAAAAAAATCTCTCTTTCTTTATTCATTCTTTGGAGGCTTGAAGTGAATTTGACACCGTTTATTAAACACCTTCCAGCCTTTGTCTTTTACTATTTCTTCAACATTCAGTTCTGACTGCATCCATTTCAACTTTGTCTGTTCTTTTCTAAGTTGCTTTAATAACATTAAGTTGTCCAAATTATTTTCTCTCTCTTCTTGGAGGTTTTTTACTACTTCTGAGGTCTGGGCTATACAATTTTTTTTTTTTTTTTGAAACGGAGTCTCGCTCTGTCGCCCAGGCTGGAATGCAGCGGCGCGATCTCGACTCACTGCAACCTCTGCCTCCCAGGTTCACTCCATTCTCCTGCCTCAGCTTCCTGAGTAGCTGGGACTACAGGCACCTGCCACAACGCCTGGCTAATTTTTTGTATTTTTGGTAGAGACGGGGTTTCACCATGTTAGCCAGGATGGTCTCGATCTCCTGACCTCGTGATCCGCCCTCCTTGGCCTCCCAAAGTGCTGGGATTACAGGCGTGAGCCACCGCGCCCGGCCTGGGCTATACAATTTTTTATGACTCTGTTCCTACTGGCAAGAGCTGCCATCAAAGACCCATAAATTTGTTTACAGGTTTGGCTGGCATCAATTTTCCCTACAAAGGAAGCTGTTAGAACCTTAGTGTTTAATTTATATACTATTTTCTGTCATCACTTGTCCTTATCACTTTGAGTAATTCCTGGAACTGGGCAAACTCCTCCCAGTTCACACCGCCACTGGGTGCCGCCATATTGGACAAACAAAAATTATACTTTCTTACTCATTAGATATTAGTATATTCCCATTTAACAGATGTGGAAATCAAGGCTTAGAAAGGCTGAAAGCACAGAACCAGTAACTTGCCTGGATTTAAACCCAGTTCTGCCTGACAAGTATTTTCAGTTACATAGGGTCTTATTTTAAGTCCTTCAGCCAAATTTGAACTTTTAAACCTTTATACATTAGAGTGCAACTGTGCTAAAAGATGTTCTTTAGGAGATTTGATAATAAGCTGTGACTTTAGCTCTCATAGCTGACAGTACTTCAGTTCTAAAAATGTGCTTTATCTCTTTCTGATGCCCCAGAGAGTTGGTTCCTCTTTCAGCACTTGACACATACCTCATGTCACTTAGTGCTCTGGGCTCGAATGATCTATTCATGTGGCAGTTCCTTTTCCCTCTGACAGTGCATTCCTTCTGGATGGGGACTGTGTTCTTTGTTTCTTTAGCACCCACTACAAGGCCTGCCATATGGGAGACATTCAGTCATGATTGAAAGAATGACAGGTTCTTAAATATCACTATACAATCCAGTTGTGTGGTATACAGTTGCTAAATTAATGAAAGTCCTTTTAATGAATTAATTCAAAAACTATTGATTGAGCCTCTTCTTGCTATGTGGTGAGCACTGCATTAGACATTCTGGGAGATATTAAGGGGAACCTCCTAGTTTCAGGGAACGTACACACACACACACACACACACACAGTGAATGCACACATACATGCATGTACATACATACCGAGAGACATAATTATAACATAATGTGAAAGATAAACTGCAATTACAGCTCAAAGAGGCAGAGTAACATAGTAATTTAGAGTAGTGCTTCTCAAAGTACCATTCCGAGAAGATGTCAGGAACTTATGCCAAAATGTACATTAATACTTGGTTTCCTTCATTAGGAGAGTCTTGATATTAAGAAAAACTTGGCTGAATCAAGCGGTTTGTTTAGTGACTGGTTGCACATTTCTTGTCTGTCATGGACCAGTGACAATTAGGCTGTTCACTGGCAGCTTGTCTATGGACTACACTTGAAATAATATGTGGTTAAGAGTACAAGCTCTGCCCACAGAATGGGAGAAAATATTTGCAAGCTATCTAGCTGACAAGGGATTAATAACCAGAATATATAAGGAGCTCAAACAACTCTATAGCAAAAAAAAAAAAAAAAAAAAAAAATCTAATAATCTAATTTAAAAATCGACAAAAGATCTGAATAGACGTTTCTTAAAAGATGTACAGATGGCAAACAGGCCTATGAAAAAGTGCTCAACATCACTGATCGTCAGAGAAATGCAAATCAAAACTACAGTGAGATATCATCTCATCATGGCTTTTATCCAAAAGACAGGCAATAACAAATGTTGACGAGGATGTGGAGAAAAAGGAACCTTTATACACTGTTGATGGGATTGAAAATTAGTACAACCATTATGGAGAACAGTTTGGAAGTTCCTCAAAAAACTAAAAATTGAGCTACCATATGATCTAGCAATCTCACTGCTAGGTATAAACTCCAAAGAAAGAAAATCAGTATATCGAAAAGTTATCTGCACTCCCGTATTTATTGCAGCACTATTCACAATAGCCAAGATTTGGAAGCAACCGGAGTGTCTGTCAACAGGTGAATGGATAAAGAAAATGTACATGTATACAATAGAGTAGTATTCACCCATAAAAATGAATGACATCCTGTCATTTGCAACAACATAGATGGAACTGGAGGTTATTATGTTAAGTGAAATAAGCCAGGCACAAAAAAGACAAACATTGCATGTTGTCATTTATTTGTGGGTGCTAAAATTAAAATCAATTGAACTCAGAGATAGAGAGTAGTCTGATGGTTACCAGAGGCTGGGAAGGGCAGTGGGGGCTGGGGGAGAAGTGGGGATGGTTAATGGGTATCAAAAATAGAAAGATTGAATAAGATCTAATATTTGATAGCACAACAGGGTGACTATAGTTGATAATTTAATTGTACATTTACAAATAACTAAAAGAGTATAGTTGGATTGTTTGTAGCACAAAGGATAAATGCTTGAGATGATGGATATCCCATTTACCCTGATGAGATTCTTATGCATTGTATGCCTGTATCAAAATATCCCATATACCCTATAAATATATATACCTGCTATGGACCCACAAAAATTAAACATTAAAAAAAAGAGTACAAGCTCTGGAATCAAATTGTTGGCATTCATATTCTAGTTCTATCAGTTATTAGCAATATGACCTTGGGAAATTCTGAGCCTCAGTTTCCTCATCTATATAATGAGGATGATAATTTTTTCTGTTTCTTTGAGCTCTGAAAATGAAACAAGATGGTACATGACAGCACTTAGCACAGACACTGGCACATTGTAAACATTCTGTTACTAATGTTACTGTTGTAATAATTAAGAACTTTTTTTTCAGCTGGCGGGAATTAGAGATAGCTTCTTTTTTTTTTTTTTTTTTTTTTTTTTTTGAGATGGAGTCTCGCTCTGTTGCCCAGGCTAGAGTGCAGTGGCGCGATCTCGGCTCACTGCAAGCTCCGCCTCCCGGGTTGACGCCATTCTCCTGCCTCAGCCTCCCGAGTAGCTGGGACTACAGGTCCCTGCCACCACGCCTGGCTAATTTTTTGTACTTTTAGTAGGGAGGGGGTTTCACCGTGTTAGCCAGGATGGTCTTGATCTCCTGACCTCGTGATCCGCCCACCTCGGCCTCCCAAAGTGCTGGGATTACAGGCGTGAGCCACCGCGCTCGGCTGAGATAGCTTCTTAAAGGTTGATGGCAAAGAACATTAAATGTCAATCACAGAATGTTACTATCATACCTACAGTGGGTCAGTCAGTTCCTTGGAATAGTGTTTGAAATTTTTAGGACTCTTTACAGATGCTGCTTTTATAGTGAAGGGCACTGAATTTCCTGCTTTTCATCAACTAACCACGGAATTGCTGTTTTCCCTTTGGCTTTTACTTTTTGCCACATAGCTAAGTTTCTGGTTCCCCCACAGTTGGTGTGTTCACATAAGATTAGGGTCATTTTAGAAGGAATAGTTTCAATGTTTTGTTTGTTTGTTTGAGTCAGTCTTGCTCTGTCGCCCAGGCTGGAGTGCCGTGGCACGATCTCGGCTCACTGCAACCTCTGACTCCTGGATTCAAGGGATTCTCAAGCCTCAGCTTCCTGAGTAGCTGGGACTACAGGCACCCGCCACCACCACACCTGGCTAATTTTTGTATTTTTAGTACAGATGGGGTTTCACTATGTTGGCCAGACTGGTCTCAAGCTCCTGACCTCAAGTGATCCGCCCGCCTTGGCCTCCCAAAGTGCTAGGATTACAGGTATGAGCCACCGTGCCTGGCCTAGTTGCAATGTTTATAGGGTAGTTGTGGTAAGAAGCTAGTTTATTTTACATCTGGCTAAGTGGTCAGTGCTGCATGGTTGTATACTCCTGGATTATAGATTAAAAGACTATCTAGTCCAAAAACAAACAACCAACCAAAACACTTTCTTTAAAAAACTCAGCTGTAATGCCCTGGCTGCATTTGAGTGAAAGCAGGAAGGCAGTTACATTTGTTGAGCACCTACTATCAGTGAGGCACTCTGAACAAGCTAAGTACATTTTTTTGTGTATTAGTAGATCAACGTATCAAAGCTGGAGCCAAACTGCCTGAGTTTTCTTGCTCCACTGCATTCTTACTGTATGACATTGGGGCAGTTTGCTCAACCTCTTTGTGTCTTGGTTTCCTCAACTGTAAAATGGGGTTACTAAAAGCACCTACCTTAAAAGGCTACAGTGAAAATTAAGGGAGCTATTATATATAATGTACATAGAACTATGTCCAGCAACTGTTGGCTGCTATTATTATTACTATTACTATTATTATTATTATAGAAGCTTGCCCTATTCCTACACCTAATAAGTGGCAAGTTCTGGAGTTAAACCTACTTTTTTTCCTAATTCTCTATTCTTCTAACCGGTTCTCCACACAGCATTTATGGTGATCTTTCTAGATGGAAATATGATTATGTCACTCTTCTGCTTGAAATGCTTTGATGGCTTCCCACTCCCGTAGGATCACAATAAAAGTTTCTCATGTAGCTTCCTAGGTGCTCCAGGGCCTGCCTTGCCTCTCTTCACACTTCCCTCCCCACCTCCCTCTACCTCTAGTTACACTGGCTTTGTTTTTGTCCCTTTCCACCTCAGGACCTTTGCATATGCTCTTCCTCTCTTCATCTAACTAGCTTCTACTTTTTTCTTAGATGCCATCTTTTTTATTTTGAGATGGAGTCTCACTCCGTTGCCCAGGCTGGAGTGCAGTGGTGCGATCTCGGCTCACTGCAACCTCTGCTGCCCAGATTCAAGCAATTCTCCTGCCTCAGCCTCCCGAGTAGCTGGGATTACAGGTGCCTGCCACCACGCCCAGCTAATTTTTGTATTTTTAGTGGAGACGGGGTTTCGCCATCTTGGCCAGGTTGGTCTTGAGCTCCTGACCTCGTGATCCACCTGCCTCGGCCTCCCAAAGTGCTGGGATTACAGGCGTGAGCCACCGTGCCTGGCCTCTTTATTTATTTATTTATTTTTGTTTTCTTACATGTCATCTTGAATGTTACTTCTTCAGGAAACCTCATTAAGTTAGATCTTTATGTTATATATTTAGAAGAAGTAAAAGGTATTTAACTGCTCTTTCATAACATGCACTTCTTGCTCTTGTAATTACTTGACTATTATTGGTCTTTTCTATTAGACTCTAAGCTTTGTAAGGCAAGGACTATTTCTGTCTTCATTAGTGGCCTAACCCTAAGATCTTGCCAAGTACCTGACACACAGTAGGCACTGAATACAGACTTGTTGATTTGGATTGAATTCTAACAGGCATGGCGGACATGATTCCTAGAACAGCAGGATGAATGATATGCTGCTTTTTGCCTCTTTGCTGGCTCTTTGCTCCAAACAGCTCAGAGCATAAAGAGCTGTTTGTTTTTAGCAACTCAATTCTCTGCATTGATTGAGGTTTTCAGACTGTGGTATTGTTAGGCAATCTCACTACCCAGCCTTTCAGAGATGAAATTATTTTCTTCTGATTTTCATTTCATCTTAATCCATTTTTCCTTGGGGGAGGGTGGGTAGGGATGATTGCCATGACCTTGAGATGGAATTGGGCTAGACAGCAGGATGCCAGCTTTTGTTCTCTAAGTGGTTTGCACTGCTGCAGCTACAACTCACCCAGAAGGAGAGGCAAAGAAGAGGCCTCTCATGTGGGTCCCTTAATTTGCCTGCATCCTTTGCTGAGCAGCTGCCTGAGGAGATGGAAATCTCACTCATCTGGGAGCAGCTTCCAAGCCTGAAGTTGAACCAGCCCCTGTGCTCTGCTAAGAGTAAAAGCATCACTCAGCATCACTCACTATGAGGCTGCTCTTCTGTTTTTAAAAAATCTACTTACATTTTTAAAAATTGAGATATAACTTGTATAAAGTGAAGCTCCCCAGCACCCTAGCAGACTTCCTTTTGTCCCTTTCTTGGCAATACTTCCCCTAAATAGCATTATTTTGTCATGTTAGATTGACTCGTGAAATTAAATTCCTTCATTTATTTCCTTCCATTTTACTGTCTGATCATCAAAGCAATGTTTATTGCAGAAAATTTGGAAGGTACAAAATAGTGTAGACAAAAAATAAAAAATAAAAAAATAAAAAAACCCATACGTACTTTTACATACTTAAAGGCCTGTTCTACATCTTGATAAATCACTACCTCCTGTGAGGCTTTCCCTGAGCCCCCCTTTCCGCCCCTTCTTGTCCCTATAGTATTCGGCACATACCTATTATTGCCTTTGTCTTACTGTAGTACAATGTTTATATACTTACTTATCTCTTTAAAACACTCACAGTGAGCTCCTTGAAAGCATAGACCTTTTTTTTTTTGAGACTGAGCCTTGCTCTGTCGCCCAAGCTGGAGTGAGGTAGCATGATCTTGGCTCATTGCAACCTCCACCTCCTAGGTTCAAGTGATTCTTCTGCCTCAGCCTCCCGAGTAGTAGGGACTACAGGCGCTCACCACCACGCCCAGCTAATTTTTTGTATTTTTAGTAGAGACAGGTTTTCACCATGTTAGCCAGGCTGGTCTCGAACTCCTGACCTCAGGTGATCCAGCTGCCTTGGCCTCCCAAAGTGCTGGGATTACAGGCGTGAGCCACTGCGCCCGACCGACTTTTTTCTTCCTTTTTTTTTTTCTAAATAGAGACAGGGTCTCAGTAGGTTGCCCAGGCTAGTCTTGAACTCCTGGGCTTAAGCAATCCTCCTGTCTTGGCCTCCCAAAGTGCTCACATTATAGGTGGGAGCCACCACGCCTGGCCGCATAGACTTTTTTTTTTTTTTTTTTTTTTTTTGAGACAGAGTCTTGCTCTGTCGCCCAGGCTGGAGTACAGTGGCATGATCTCGGCTCACTGCAACCTCCACCTCCCAGGTTCAAGTGGTTCTCCTGCCTCAGCCTCCTGCGTAGCTGGGATTACAGGCAGCTGCCACCACACCCAGCTAATTTTTGTATTTTTAGTAGAGACAGTTTCACCGTGTTGGTCAGGCTGGTCTTGAACTCCTGACCTCAGGTGATCCACCTGCCTCAACCTCCCAAAGGGCTGGGATTACAGGCTTGAGCCACCGCATGCATAGACTTCTTTGCCCATCAGGGTGCCTAGAACAGAGCAGGCTGTTAGTAAATATTTGTTGAGTGAATGAGTAAACAAATCAATGAAATCTTGCTGAAGTAAGTGTTAAAGAATAAAACCCATTATTAGTGGCAGGAATGGACAATTCCCACTTTAGTCAGTCCTATCTGCAGAATGCCAAAAAAGAAAAATAGTATTTTAGGGTGTTTTTATTTTTCTGAAACACAATTATTTCACTTGAACATCCATAAGAAGTCTATGATTGTATCCCCATTTTTTTATGTTGGAAAGTTATTACTGTATTTGAATCAGAAGAAGAGGAGATCAGAGATAATGCTGAAAAGCAGGAGGGATGTTATTTAGAAAGACTACCTGAAAGAATTTGCAATATCTTGCATTTACTGACCTTATGCCAGGCAATTACTTATGTAATCTCATTTAATCATTACAACAACTCTGTGAATTAGGTATTATTATTTTCAATTTATAGCAGAAAAATGGAGACTCAGAAACCTGAATTCCCAAATTCAAATAGGTAATAATTGGCAGAGCCAATATTTAACTCCAGGACTGACTGTCATGTCTCTAGTCCATTTTCCATTACTTCTAAACTCCTGATCTTGTGATCCACCCGCATCGGCCTCCCAAAGTGCTGAGATTACAGGCGTGAGCCACCGCGCCTGGCCTATTACACTAAACTTCTTTTGTAGAGGTCCACCTATAGAGGGCCATGCCCCTTGCTATTAAGTGATGATTTTGTGACACATGAAAATTTAGGAATCTTATTTCATTTATCTTCAGTTTGATGAACTTTTTGATAAGATGAACACAACACTACTACCATATTTCCATGTAGCCATTAGTCCAGTCTTATCTCATTAATACACCAGTCTTCACAATTCTCTGTTGATAATAGGCCTAGATGGTTATCTTGTTTATACATGAAGAAACTGAGGCCCAGAGGGGGAATGACTTACCTAAGTAAATATTGCTAATAAGTAGCAGGACCAACACTTGACTCCATGTTCCGTGTTATTTTCACTGCAACACGTAGACTTGCTGAAGCTGATTTTAGTAAGCATAAACTCTATAATCTGGGAGAAGTTGCCCCTCAGGGGGAAATTAACAATGTTTGGAGGTAGTTTTGACTGTGACCACTTGGGGTATACTACAGATACCCAGTGGGTAGAGGGATGTATATGGATGTGTAGGTCAGCCCCTACAACAAAGAATTATCTGGTCTAAAATGTCAGTAGCACTGAGGTTGAGAAATCCTGTTCTAGAACAGTTAATTTTCATGCCTTATTTCTCCAGAACAGATTAAATACCCAAGGTTAGCCTCCAAAGCATACCTAGTGATGAGCTTGATTCTTTTTTCTTTTTCTTTTCTTTTCTTTCTTTTTTTTTTTTTGAGACAAGGTCTTCCTCTGTTGCCCATGCTGGAGTGCAGTGGCGCAATCTTGGCTCACTGCATCCTTGACCTCCTGTGTTCAAACAATCTGCCCACCTCAGCCTCCTGAGTAGCTGGGACTACAGGTGTGTGCCACCACACCTAGCTAATTTTTGTATATTTGTAGAGACAGGGTCTTACTGTGTTGCCCAGGCTGGTCTTGAATTCCTGAGCTCAAGCCATCCAGCTGCCCTGGCCTCCCAAATTGCTGGGATTACAGGTGTGCGCCACCACATCTGGTCACTTGATTCTTTTAGAATGGGCCATTCTTCAGTAGCAACAAATTATTTATTATTAATCACCAGGTTTTATTCGGAGTATTGTATTTTTTTTTTGGAGTATTAAGTATGATTAGAGATGCAGAACTGCATTAAACATGGTGTATTTGCTTAGGGAGTTTTGAAGCAGGTAAGAGGGATCTAGTTACTTTGCTCCTGGTTGCAGATAAGCATCCCCTACATTCCGGGAACTATTGCATGCCATAGTGGCTATACTCATGGACTACTATGATTGAAGTGGCTGCTGGCTTCAGTGAACACTCACTATAGCTGACTCTTCCTTCCCACAGTTATGCAATGCCAACCAAAACCATAGAAGTGTTGCAGTTGCAGGACCAAGGCAGCAAAATGCTCCTGGACTCAGTGCTTACCACCCATGAGCGAGTGGTTCAGGTAGGCACTCCAGGAGAATAAAAAATGTATTTGCTTCTCCTGGTTCTTTTCTCTGTCCACTTTTTCACTTTCTATTATGCTCTTTTCTTTTCTTTCTTGAATAATAGTGTTCTCCAGGTTCAGTTCTTGATGCCTCCATCTCTCCTTTTATAATACCTTCCCCCTATGCAGTCTCATTCATTCCTTAGGCCTCAGTGATCATCATTTAATACTGATAACCCCCAGATGTATATATCTCCAGTCCTGATCTGTTGGCTGAGGCTTGAAACTTGATACCCAGTTGTCTACTGGCCTTCTCGACTTGGATGTTCCACAGGAGTCCTCCCTGCACTCTGTCTATGCAAAATTAGTTGTAGAGGGACTGATTTTCCTCTTTTTCTGTAATCCTCCCCACCTTTGAGCCTAATGTGTCACCCTTCTTTGTCCTCTGATATCCATTCATTCACCAAATTCTATAGCTTCTACCTCCTAAAAATCTTTCAGATTCATCCACTTCACTTTACCCCCATAACAAGTGATCATGTCATTTTCCCGCTTGAAACCCCTCAGTGGCTGCCTTCCTTTGATCTCTAGCAGTTGTCCTCTTTTCTTCCTGCAGATAATGATGGGTGCCAACCACACCACCATGAGAGTACCCAGAGGTATAAAAAATTCACAGCTTCCCAGCTTTAACATCATCCCCCTTTGAATAAGAGCATTAATTGATATATAATGGACATATCATACAATTTACCAATTTGAAGTATACAATAAAAACGGTTTTTAGTATAGCCAAAGAGTTATGCAACCATCCCCACAATCAATTTTAGAACATTTTCCTCACCCTAAAAGAAACCGTGTACTCATTAGCAGTCACTCCTCTTTCTTGGTCGCCCTAACCCCTTGCAGCCACTAATCTACTTTCTATCTCTATGGATTTATCTCTTCATTTAAATGGAATTGTACATTAAATGGCCTTTTGTGTCAGACTTCTTTCATTTAGCGTAATGTTTTCAAGGTTCATCTCTGTTGTATTGGTACTTCATTCCTTTTTATTGCCAAATAATATTCCATGGTATAGGCATCACCCTTTTTTGATCCACTGAAGGAACATATCAGCAAGGTAATAAAATGAATATTAAATTTAAGTCTAAATATGCTAATTTAAAAAATAACTAAGTACAATCTTTGGCTTTTTAAATATTATCAGGATTAAATTATTTATAATATATCCTGTGACAGATCTGACATGCCAGAAGCCCATAGAATAGTTTGAATGCTTTAGGTTGGTACTCAGGTGCCTTCATGATTCTCCTCCTGCTTTTCCTCTTCACAGCCCATTTACTCCAGCCACACGTGGAGCTAGTTTGTTTTTTTTTGTTTGTTTGTTTGTTTTTGGAGACAGAGTTTCACCCTTGCTGCCCAGGCTGGAAGGCAATGGTGCGATCTCGGCTCACCGCAACCTTCGCCTCCTGTGTTCAAGCGGGTCTCCTGCCTCAGCCTCCTGAGTAGCTGGGATTACAGGCATGCGCCACCATGCCCAGCTAATTTTGTATTTTTAGTAGAGATGGGGTTTCTCCATGTTGGTTAGGCTGGTCTCAACCTACTGACCTCAGGTGATCCGCCCACCTCAGCCTCCCAAAGTGCTGGGATTACAGGCATGAACCACTGTGCCCGGCCAATGGAGCTAGTTTTAATTTCCTAACACTGTTATGCCCCTATATTTTACTGAATGCTGTTTTCTCTGCCTTCAAAATCCTCCACATTACTGTTGAATTCTCCTAGTTTAGTCTTGTTTTTCTTCAATATTTCACCCAGATACTACCTCTCCTGGAAGGTTTTTTTGATCTTCCTTGGTTGAGTTGGGTAGGAATTTCTCTTGTGGTTCCTTGCAGCCCCCTGCCTGCCCTTTTACCATACATCTGATTCACCTTGGTGTTCTTAGCACAGCGTTTGACACCAGTCAGGTCCTGGTATGCCTGGATATGGGCAAAGCTGAGTTGAATCAAAAGGCAGTGCCCGGGCACGGTGGTTCACACCTGTAATCCCAGCACTTTGGGAGAACAAGGCGGGCGGATCACTTAAGGTGAGGAGTTTGAGACCAGCCTGGCCAACATGGTGAAACCCTGGCTCTACTAAAAATACAAAAATTAGCTGGGCACGGTGGCTGACGCCTGTAATCCCAACATTTTGGGAGGCCGAGGTGGGCGGATCACCTGAGGTTGGGAGTTTGAGACCAGCCTCACCAACATGAAGAAACCCCATCTCTACTAAAAATACAAAATTAGCCAGGCGTGGTGGCGCATGCCTGTAATCCCAGCTACTCAGGAGGCTGAGGCAGGAGAATCGCTTGAACCCGGGAGGTAGAGGTTGCAGTGAGCCAAGATTGCACCATTGCACTCCAGCCTGGGCAACAAGAGCGAAACTCCATCTCAAAAACAAAACAAAACAAAAATAAAAATTAGCCAGGCATGGTGGCAGGCACCTGTTATCTCAGCTGCTTGGGAGGCTGAGGCAGGAGAATTGCTTGAACCTGGGAGGCGGAGGTTGCAGTGAACTGAGATAGCGCCACTTCACTCCAGCCTGGGGCCAACAGAGCAAGACTCCGTCTCAAAAATAAATAAATAAATAAGAAAGTCAGCCTGAGTTGGGTGCCATGGTTCATGCCTGTAAACCTAGCACTTTTGGAGGCCAAAGTGGAAGGATTCCTTGAGGCCAGGAATTTGACCAGTCTGGGCAACATAGCAAGACCCTGTTTCTACCAAAAAATAAAAATAAAAAATTAGCCGGGACTGGTGGCACGTGCCTGTAGTCCCAACTACTCGGAGGCTGAGGTGGGAGGACCACTTGAACCCAGGAGTTCAAGGTTGCGGTGAGCTATGATTGTTCTACTGCGCTCCAGCCTGGGCAACAGAAAGAAACCCTGGACTTTAAAACCTCTTGGTCCAGTAATGACATCTAATGCCCACAGGAGCAGATATTGGCAGTGAACATCTCAGCACCTTGGCAGATGGCAGGAGAAATCCTGTAGAGGCCAGCTCAGAAACCAGTTTTGGTGTTAATCTTCCACGCTTGGGCTCTCCAGACTCTACTGGAGCTGGCATTTGAACCCATACCATGTCTGCCCAGTTACCTCGTTTTCAGCTCCTCCCACCTCTTAGAGCACCTTCTTTCATTTTGCAGATCAGCGGTTTGAGTGCTACGTTTGCAGAAATTTTCTTGGAAATAATCCAAAGCAGTCTTCCTGAAGGAGTCAGACTGTCAGTGAAGGAGGTAGGTGCTGGTTTGAGAAGAGGCCCCTGCTGGCCTGCATATGCTCAAAATAAGGATAAGAACATCTGGACTTCCTGGCTTTAGAAAGAACAGAGAAATGTGGATAATGTGACCTAAATAATAATCAGAAAAGTTGTACACTCTGATGACACTGTGATCATTAGTCCAGCTTCTGAGGCATCAGGGATGATGCTTTGTGGCCTATGAGTGCTGACTTTGAGCACAGCATCCTGATGTTGGTGGTGAGCCTATGAGGCCCCAGAATTCTCTCCTGTCAGGCAGTTGCGTGGAAGAAAGAACATGGGTTAAGATAGTATATGGTGTAATAAATCAGAACACAAATAGGAAAATATATGTTAGAGAAAAGGTTCCTGGATCTTCAAGGCTTGACTGTAGCTTGACTGAATATATTTCATAAAGAATGCTAGTCAATAGAATGTTTGGTCAGGCATGGAAAACTTGGAGAACATTAGGAGTCTTAGCCTAAATACTGAGTATTTGGGTCCAGTTGCCAAGATGATCCTTCTTATGACACAGATGTATGAGGTCATCTTAGATTGGTACCATTTGCTCCATCCAGCTCTGCTTGTTCTGAGTCCATCCTTGTCAAGCTTCTTCTGGTTGGTATTTGGGTTTCATACAGATCTGGGGACAGAGACAGCATGTGCTGGTCATGCTGCCTTAAAACAGTCCAATCCCTGTTTGTTTTATTTCCTATGTAAATAATTTTGGTATTCTCTCTCTCTCTCTCAAATGCTTCTATTGTGATAGTTATAGCATTTTGACATTAAATCTTCATATATCTGTCTTTTCTAACCAGACTATAAGTTCACTGAAAGCAAGGAGGAAGTCTGATTCAAGTTTGAATCCCCAGTATCTAATATAAGTCTGCTACATAGTAGATAATAAAAGTTACTTGAATCTGAATGATTCTCTACAGAGCTGGTTCAAGGGCCCTTTTTGGATGCTGTGCATATCTGGGTAACTAAAAGCTCTGCAGTAATTACCGCTTATTTTCTTTTTCTTCTCCTTAGCACACTGAAGAAGACTTCAAGGGACGATTCAAAGCTCGACCAGAACTGGAAGAACTGTTGGCCAAGTTGAAGTAGCTACTGTAGACCCTTTCATGCCAGCAGTGGTCATATTGAGTGCCAAAGAGAAGAGCTTACTGGGTAGTTAGAGTTCATCAGGAGACCCAACCCTTAGATTTCATAAGTACCCATTCCCATAGCCAGTAATGTCCTCACTCCTCTGTGGCTTGGCTGTACTTGCCATTTCTTACCACTTACCTATGAGGTAATGCTTGTTATCTTCCATCTAATAAAAATCTGCTGCAGATGTGTATATGTATGTGTGTGTGAGAGAGAGAAATTGGCCCATCCTGTGGAGTATCTTTAAGAGATTCTATATTCTGGCCAGGCACCGTGGTGCATCCCTGTAATCCCAGCACTTTGCGAGGCCGAGGCAGGAGGACTGCTCGAGGCCAGGAGCTTGAGACCAGCCTGGCAACATTCTGTCTTTACCAAAAACATTCTTTTTTTTTTTTCCGAAACGGAGTCTCGCTCTGTTGCCCAGGCTGGAGTGCAGTGGCACGATCTAGACTCACTGCAAGCTCTGCCTCCCGGGTTCACACCATTCTCCTGCCTCAGCCTCCCAAGTAGCTGGGACTGCAGGCGCCCGCCACCACACCTGGCTAATTTTTTGTATTTTTAGTAGAGACGGGGTTTTACCATGTTAGCCAAGATGGTCTCGATCTCCTGACCTCGTGATCCGCCAGCCTTGGCCTCCCAAAGTGCTGGGATTACAGGTGTGAGCCACTGCACCCAGCCAAACTTTTTATTTTAATTAGCTGGACGTGGTGGTATGCACTTGTAGTCCCACTACTCAGGAGGCTGAGGCAGGAGGATTGCTTGAGCCCAGGAGTTCAAGACTGCAGGAGCTATGATTGTGCCATTGCACTCCAGCCTGGCTGACAGAGTATGACCCTTTCTCTTAAAAAAAAAAGATTCTATTTTCTCTTTGCCTGATGCTTTAGCACAGAAGCATGTTCCCCTTCCGTATTTCTCCAACTAGAGTGAACTCATCCTTTAAAGCAATCTGGCATGGTGTCCTGTAGTGAAGCAGAGGATCATAACATAAGTAAACTCTCTATGGGTGGAAGTTGGAGAGAAGGACATTTTGGCTTTGTACATGAAAAGACTCTCCAGATAGAAACAGATTCTGCCCATAAGTGAAATAAAATGCTTTGTGGGGGTAATGAGTGACTTATAGTATTCAGGCAGATGTTACATAACTGCTAATTAAGTTTCCCTGGATTGAGTTTAAGCAAAGAATTGAAAGTTGATTTTGGTCAGGTGTCAGCAAACTACTGCCTATAAACCATATCCTACCCACTGCCTGTTTGTGTTTTTTTAAATAGTATATTGAGGTGAAATTCATACATACAAAATTACACTTTTTTTTTTTTTTGAAACAGAGTCTCACTGTGTCACCCAGGCTGGAGTGCAGTGGTGCGATCTTGGCTCACTGCAACCTCTGCCTCCTGGGTTCAAGCAATTCTCCTGCCTCAGCCTCCCGAGTAGCTGGGACTACAGGCGCCCGCCACCACGCCTGGCTTTTTTTTTTTTTTTTTTTGAGATGAAGTTTCGCTCTTATTGCTCAGGCTGGAGTGCAGTGGCGCGATCTCAGCTCACTGCAACCTCTGCCTCCTGTGTTCAAGCAATTCTTCTGCCTCAGCCTCCTGAGTAGCTGGGATTACAGGTGCCTGCCACCAAGCCCGGCTAATTTTTGTATTTTTAGTAGAGACGGGGTTTCACCATGTTGGCCAGGGTGGCCTTGAACTCCTGATCTCAGGCGATCCGCCCGCCTTGGGCTCCCAAAATGCTGGGATTAGAGGCGTGAGCCACCGCCCCTGGCCTTAAACATTTTTAAATGAGTAATTCAGTAGCATTTATTTAGTACATTCATAATGTTCTGCAGTCACCAGCTCTATCTAGTTCCAAAACCCCTCCCTGCCATTGGATCAGAGCCATGCTTATTCACTTACATACTGTCTCTGGTTGCTTTAATGTTACAGTGGCAGAGTTGGGTAGCTGTATGTGTATTGCCTCTATATCATATGGGCAATGGGCAGTGTCACATGTTTTCCATTTGGAAACCTGGAAAAAACAGTCTTTTCCAGTTGCTCAGCTGTTATCAATATGTGGAAGCAGGAATCAGGATTTCATAAACTGACAAGATAGTGGAGCTTAAGGACTTTAGGATGCAGCCAACCTAATTGTCTCTTTTAGCTAGTACAGGTTAGGGGCCCATAGAGGGCAATCCTTTGCCCAAGGTCATGGGATATGTCACTGGAAAAGGGCAGCAGGATTTAAATCTCTTGATTCCTAGTCCATCTTTTTCTATCACATCACTCAGGGATGAGTCAGGCTTCTTACACAGGAGGCAGCTGGATTCTGTCACCTTGGAGCTCTTGTGTCACTGACCTAGCTGATGATTTATCCTCTCGCCAGAGTCAGAGAACTTTTGTTGCTCATGATTAGTTTGCCCTGAGACAAAGGGAAATTACTCTTAATGCCTTATCCTGGTAAGAGGGACTGGAGATACTCTGATTGCCAGAACCTCAGGGTTACAAAACAACTGTGAGCTTTGACTCTTCTGGAGGGAGGTCCAGAAGGAAATGGATGTTCTTAGGATCACATGGCAGTGAAACCAAACGGAACACAAGTCTTCTGGCTCCAGGCTGAAAATACCTTCCCTTCCCTCCCTGAGACAACCTGCTAAAGGAAAAGAGGCAAACAAACCTGGGTTGTGCTGGCTTCCACATTTATTCATTTTGAAGCTGAGTTATTCTGGCCTCATTGAACCTCAGATTTCTGATCTGAAGAGTGAGGATAATCCCTTTTTAGGGATTTGAGATGGAGATAATATAAATATAATGAGCTAGTAATGCTCAGTAAATGTTGTATTTCCTTCCCTTCTAAAACTTCTTTGGCATACTCTTAAAAGATTTTTTTCATTGAGGTATAATTTATATATAGTGACACATAGATCTTCAGTGTACATTTGATCAATTCTGAAAATACATCTACCTACCCATGAAACCCATACTTGTATCAAGATAAAGAACATGTCCATCACCCCAAAAAGTTCCCTCATAATCATCTTTTTCTTCCCCCCGCCTCCCCTGCCCCGAGACGAAGTCTTGCTCTGTCGCCCAGGCTGGAGTGCAGTGGCACAATCTTGGTTCACTGCAACCTCTGCCTCCCGGGTTCAAGCAATTCTCCTGCCTCAGCCTCCCAAGTAGCTGGGATTACAGGCATACGCCACCATGCCCGGCTAATTTTTGTATTTTTAGTAAATACTAATTAATTTTTTATTTTTAGTTTCACCATGTTGGCCAGGCTGCTCTCAAACTGGCTGGTCTCGAACTCCTGACCTTGTGATCTGCCGGCCTCGGCCTCCCAAAGTGTTGGGATTACAGGCATGAGCCACCGCACCCGGCCATCTTTCACATTTTCCCCAAGAAGTCACGACTAACGTCGTTTCTACCGCCATAGATTAGTTTTGCCTATCTAGTACTACATATAAATGAAATATCATACAGTATGTATTCTCTTGTGCCTGACTTCATCCATTTAGCATAATGTTTTATCCCTTGTGTTCCATTATCAGTAGTTCATTCCTTCAGCATGCTTTTAGTTTTGAATATCCTAGTTGGGGTTAAATTATGCCTAGTAGTGCCATGAAATCACAAGGGATAGGTAGGAGAGAAGAAGGAATGTCAGTGGATTGGGAATCAGAATAAATGGGTTCTAATCCTGGCTCTATCAATACATAACCTTGGGGATAAACTATTTTGGTCTTCATTTTACAAATGTGTTAACTGGCCCAGGGAGAGAAAGAGACTTGTCTAAGGTCACCTAGTTAGCCAGTGGCAGAGCCAAGGATGGTTTAAGGTCACACAATTCCTGGTTGAGTGCATATTACTGAGATTTTTAAAAAATGATTTTTATGTAGATCACTATTTTTTTTTTTTTTTTTGAGATGGAGTTTTGCTCTTGTCACCCAGGCTGGAGTGCAATGGTGCAATCTCGGCTCACTGCAACCTCCGCCTCCCAGGTTCAATCGATTCTCCTGCCTCAGCCTCCTCAGTAGTTGGGATTACAGGCACCCGCCACCACACCCAGCTAATTTTTGTATTTTTAGTAGAGACAGGGTTTCACTATGTTGGCCAGGCTGGTAACTCCTGACCTCAGGTGATCCACCCGCCTTGGCCTCCCAAAGTGCTGGGATTACAGGCGTGAGCCACCATGCCTGGCCAGATCACTAACTTTCAAGAAGGATAGGATGCCTGGGTAAAATGGGCAGTTTTCCTAGTTGAGGCCAGCAGATTTCTCAGCTTCGTTTTCATCCCTTTCCTCTGGCTGAGGATGACTTGTTCCTCCACCATGGAATCCTGGGAATGGCCAGCTGTAGATTCTGAAAAGGTATGTTTTAGACACAGAGAAACAAATCTAGGTATTTTGGCCACTCAGATACTAGCAATGCTGAGGCCCCTGGGTCCCCTCTGTTTCTAGTGTACTTAAGGAAAGCTTTCTGAGCTTGTACTGGGTGTGCCTAGAACTAATCCTGATGGACAGACACTGGAGACAGAGGTGGCCAATGTGTCTTGTGCTTGTTTAATCTGTACTTTGATCTCTTTGTGAAATTTTTGTTTTCACGTGTCTGATCTTCTTGCAGAATCTGAAATGATTCATTTGACTATAATAATCCCCGTGGAGTAACTTTCATTCTCAGACATTTCAGCTCATTTTAGGAAATCAGCTCACCATTTAGACAGAGTGCCCAGGATCTGAAGAATGAAAACTCTTCAAAAGATAGCTGCTGACAGGGAGGAATCCCTGCTACTTCCTCTGCTTGCTTTAAGTCCTTGCTGAGCGAGGAGGGAGCCCCAGCATTTTCTACAGGAAAATTAAAGGATTCAATCTGGACTTGCTTCAGTTCTCTTTGGGTTTCTGAAGTCAGCAGCTCAAGGACTTAGTCTGGCAACTTTATGGAGAGAGGGTGGGAGGAGTATCTTCTTACTCATCTAGTAAAACACATTGCAGTGCACCTTTGTACCGAGCACAAGGCCAAGTCCCCAGCCAAGGACCTTGAAAGGAAGGGCTAAGGCTAAACCATGAGTCTGCCCTAGGCCTAGCCAAGATAGGCATCAAGCCAAGAGGTCTCTCCACTCATCCCTGGCACCAAGCCTCTAAGCAGAGGCAACCCAAAGCTGCCAGAGTTAGATCCTATAGGGACAGGTATGAAGCACCTTAAAGTTCAGCTCCTAGATTGTGGGCTGCAGAGCTGAGACTAAAGAAAAACATACCAAGCTATATCACTGTGGGCAACTTGCACTAATTAATTGCAAAAAGTTAATTTCCTTTTTGCAAAGTGCTGACAAAAGCAAAGTAATATTTACACAGTCAATGTGGTTACTCACTACTGTGTGTTAAGCACTGTACTGGGCAACAGATGCTTGTGAGAGTAGAGTAGAAAACAGCCTAGGCTTTAGAGCAAGACATACTTGGAGTCTGATCCCCAGTCTGAGCTTTATTTCCTCATCTAAAGGAGAGTGAATGCCATGTTCAGAGGATTACAAATTAGATTAGATAATGTAACTCAGGACAGTCACTAGCACACATTAATAGTGATGATGGTAATAGCTAACGTTCACTGAACACTTACTATGTGCCAGATGCTGTTCCTAAGCTAAACCAATGTTTAACTCAATCTTTCAATAATCCTATGAGGAAGGCCTATATTCGTTTTGAGGCTTGTGAAAAAGGTACTATATATGCATTTTTACACAGGTAAAAACAGATCCTGGGATGTTAAATAACTTGTCCAAAGTCACAAAGCTAGTCAGTGGCGTAACTAGGATGTGAAGGTAGCACATCATTGGGATTGAGAGCAGGCTCTGGAACCAGATTGTCTCAGTTAAATGCCCAATAAATTTTAACACTTTTTATTATTAGTTACGTATGTTTCATTCCCTCATTTATTTGGCTTATGACATATGAATTATCCCCATTTATCTGAGGGAACAGGCTTGGATGGCAAGAGTCCTCTTTGCCTGATCAAATACGTTCTGTGACCCACCCCATGCTAACTCCCTATTAGAGCCAGTGTCCTTCAAAACATGCTTGCTCCACTTAGCTGGTCTGGAAGCCATCCTTCCTGCCAAAGAGGTCTTTTATGCTTCTCTCTGCTGCTATCACCCCCTCCTCCATAGCCTACTATTCTTTCTTACACAAAATACACGCATTCCTGTTATAAAAGATTTGAATACACAGCAAATAGAGTCCTTACTGATGGAAATTGACATTGGGACCATTTGTTTACTATTATAAACAATGCTGCAATGAACCTAATAGTATGTATGTCTTATAAAAATACATTTCTGGCCAGGCACAGGGGCTCATGCCTGTAATCCCAACACCTTGAGAGGCTGAGGTGGGAGGATCACTTGAGCCCAGGAGTTTGAGACTACCCTGGGCAACATAGTGAGACCTCATCTCTACCAAAAACAAAAACAAAATTTCTCTTGATTATCCATGATATAGAGCATATTTAGTTTCCTATGTTTTGTGGTTTATTTGTTCACTATTTTTTTTTTTTTTTGAGATGGAGTCTCGCTCTGTCACCTAGGCTGGAGTGCAGTAGCAGGATCTCAGCTCACTGCAACCTTCACTGCATCCTGGGTTCAAGCAATTCTCCTGCCTCAGTCTCCCAAGTAGCTGGGATTACAGGCACACGCCTATCTAATTTTTTTGTGTTTTTAGTAGAGACGGGATTTTGCCATGTTGGCCAGGCTGGTCTCAAACTCCTCATCTCAAGTGATCCACCCAGTTCTGCCTCCCAAAGTGTTGGGATTACAGGCGTGAGCCACTGCGCCTGCCTTACTTGTTCACTTTGCTGTCAAACTATGTGCTTCTTGGTGGCTTCCAGGTACTTTTAATTCTGGATGGTAATCTTTTCTGTTATAATTTACAAATAGGTGATGTCTACTTCATCTTTATTATCTATTTATTTATTGAGACCGTCTTACTCCATCACCCAGGCTAGAATGCAATGGTGCGATCTTGGCTCACTGCCATCTCCACCTCCCAGGTTCAAGTGATTCTCCTGCCTCAGCCTCCCAAGTAGCTGGGATTACACTCAGCATGCGCCACCATGCCTGGCTAATTTTTTTGTATTTTTAGCAGAGATGGGGTTTTGCCATGTTGGCCAGCCTGGTCTTGAACTCCCGACCTCAAGTGAGCCACCATGCCTGGCCTACTTCAGCTTTAAAAGTTCAACTCAACTAATCTCTTCTCTTCTTTGAGATTCTTGCTGAAAACTCCAGTGCACACTGCTTGTTTCCTTTGATGAATCAGCACTGAGCACACACACATAGCGATTTGTCTTTATAATTTGCTGGTTATCCCCTTCAGCCAGAAATAGGATTGTTCTTTAAACTCCTACCTTCTCCCCTTTTCTCTTTACTTCTTCCCCAAATACTGGCATGAAGGTTCAAAGTAAATTTTAAGGCCTACTATACCTCAGATTTGGGCTTCTAATAGATCCTGAAGAAATATTTGTTATTGTCTGGGTGTGGTGGCTCACGCCTTTAATCCCAGCACTTTGGGAGGCTGAGGAGGGTGGATCACTTGAGGTCAGGAGTTTGAGACCAGCCTGGCCAACATGGTGAAACCCCATTCTCTACTAAAAATACAAAAATTAGCCGGGTGTGGTGGTGCTTGCCTGTAGTCCCAGCTACTTGGGAGGCTGAGGCAGGGGGATCACTTGAATTTGGGAGGCAGAGGTTGCAGTGAGCCGAGACTGCGCTACTGCACGCCAGCCTGGGCAACAGAGCAAGACTCCATTTCAAAAAAAAAAAAAAGAATAGAATGGAAGAGTCGTTTTGTTGAAGAAAAATGAGAAATGATATGCAACTGTTTTGAATGGGAAAACACAACCTACTTAAAGGGGGAGTTATTATTCAGCTCCAGCAAATTGTTAAGAGGGAATAAAAATCAATGTTGACATCTTCTCCCCTTTTCAAAAGCTGAAAATCTGTATTTTAGTGTTAAATATACTCTAAAAATGTTAGCCCAACTTTGTGTTTGTTGGGTTGGGAGCAAGTTAAAGCCAGACTTGGTATCTGTTAATTCAACAGAATCTGGCATTTAATAGGTACTCAATGTTTGAATAATTAGCTGGGTGTGGTGATGCACACACCTGTGGTTCCAGCTACTTGAGAGGCTGAGGTGGGAGGATGGCCTGAGCCCACTGAGGATGCAGTGAGCCCTGACTCCACCACCACACTCCAGCCTGGGCAACAGAGACCCTGTCTCAAAAAAACAAAAGAAAAACATATTTGAATAAAAAGTTTCCCCATTTATTTTTCCTTCCACTAAACTGATTGAAACATCCAGAACAAGTGATGAAAGAGAAAGGCACTAATTAGGTAATCAATTTACCATTAGATTGTAAATTTAATTTAAAATAAAATGTCCCTAAAATCATCTCAGTACTTGGCACACTGACTTAAGATGTGGGGTGGGGGAGCATCCCTTAACACATTCTTTGTTTTCCTGGTAAATACTGGTGGAACAAGACAGCTGAGAATGTATGACATCTGACCATGAACATATGACAGCTGTTTGTGCCAGTCATGTCCAAACCCATGGCTCTCAACTCCAGATCCAAAAACTCTCCCCATGTTTTAGACCTCCCACACCAGCATTTAGGATTTCTTCCTCTATAATCTTGCTGGGTGCTGGTCTTGGCAGGGCCATCTACTGGGGATAGGTGGTTTGGGGTCTCAGTGGTGGGCACCGGCTTGTTCTTGCCTCCTCTGCAGCTCCTCTTGCCGCCTCGCCTGCTGTTCACTCATGCAATCCTTGAACGCCTGCACCTGTGGCTGGCATTGCCGCCAGTCCTGGTGCTGGGCCATGCACTCCTGCACTGCAAAGTGGGAGGCAGCACAGCCAGAGCGGGAGATCAGCTGGTCCAGCGGGTCCTCCTCCTCATCGTCTTTCTTCACCCGTTGGGTCCAGGTATGGCCTTGAGGGACTGAGGTTGACATCCTGGGGATGGGGAGTCTATAGAACATTAACAGGTTAGAGTAGGGATATAATATGTAAGGTTCCTAAATTATAAATAGCACTGACCAGACTGCACCATTTAGCCTGTTTAATGTGTCTGTCTCCCGTGGGAGACTCTAAGCTTGAAGACAGATGCTTGTTTTTTTTTTTTTTTTTTTGAGGGTGTCTTGCTTTGTTGCCCAGGCTCACTGTAGCCTCCATCTTTAGGGATCAAGCAATCCTTCCCCCTCAGTCCCTCCCTGGCCAGAGTAGCTGGGACTACAGGTGTGCATCACCACTCAGCTAATTTTTTTGATTCTTTAATAGAGACAAGGTTTTTCCATGTTGCTCAGCATGGTCTCAAACTCCTGGGCTCAAGTGATCCTCCTGCCTTAGCCACCCAAAATGCTGGGATTACAGGTGTGAGCCAACTGTGCCCGGCTGATGTTCGTCTTGATTTACCTTTGTGCCCCCAGCACTAGGCCTGGCTGAGAGCAGGCCTGAAAAGTGGTTTGAACTGAATGAGATAAACTGTGAGAATGCTTGACATAACATTCAATAAGCTCAGTGGATTTTGCTATTGGAATATGAATTAGGTGAAATGTCATCTTTTTAGATAAGCTATCTCTGATCTACCTAAAAAGAACTAAACTTTCAGCTAGGTACGATGGCTCACACCTGTAATCCTAGCATTATGGGAGGCTGAGGCAGGAAGATCCCTTGAGCCCAGGAATTTGAGACCAGCAGGGGTAATAGCAAGACCTCATCTCTACAAAAAAATTTAAAAATGGCTGGATACGGTGGCTCATGCCTATAATCCCAGCACTTTGGGAGACTGAGGCAGTCGGATCACCTGAGGTCGGGAGATCAAGATCAGCCTGACCAACATGGAGAAACCCGTCTCTACTAAAAATACAAAATTAGCAAGGTGTGGTGGCATATGCCTGTAATGCCAGCTACTCAGGAGGCTGAAGCAGGAGAGCCGAGGTTGAACTCGGGAGGCGGAGGTTGCGGAGAGCCGAGATCACACCATTGCACTCCAGCCTGGGCAATAAGAGCAAAACTCCATCTCAAAAAAAAAGAAAAAAGAAAAAAAATGTAAAAATTAGCTGGGCATAGTGGCACACACTTGTAGTCCCAGGTACTCAAGAGGCTGAAGAGGGAGAATCCTTTGAGCCCAGGAGTTCAAAGGCTGCAGTGAGCTATGATGGTGCCACTGTACTCCAGCTTAGGTGACATAGTGAGACCCTGTTTCAAATAAATAACCTTTCTTCTTTTATCCTACTAGCCTTATTCTATGCTGAAGAACAAAGTTTAAAAAGTGAAAGAGGCTGGGTGCAGTGGCTCACACATGTAATCCCAGCAATTTGGGAGCCCGAGGCAGATGGATCATAAGGTCAGAAGTTCAAGACCAGCCTGGCCGGGATGATGAAACCCCGTCTCTACTAAAAATACAAAAATTAGGCGGGCGTGATGGCAGGCACCTGTAATCCCAGCTACTCGGGAGGCTCAGGCAGGAGAATCGCTTTAACCCAAGGGGCGGAGGTTGTAGTGAGCCAAAGATCGTGCCACTGCACTCCAGCCTGGGTGACAGAGTGAGACTCCATCTCCAAAACAAACAAACAAACAAAGTGAAAGAGTGCCCAAATATGGGTAGGTTTTGACACATGGGAAGGATGGAAAGAGTTCACTGTGGCTGTAGCATACAGTATGCAGAAACCTGGCCTCTGGGTCTATAAGGTGAGATGGCTTTGTAAACTATACAAAAATGTGAGGTGTATTTATTTGCCCAAACTGTCTTGCCCGTCTGCATCAGAACACTCAGCAGAAAGCAGCATACAGAAGGAACTTAAGGTTTGAAGAGAAATGACTTCAGCCTTTGCAAAAATTTCACCATGATGGGCTGTAAAGCAACTAGGACTCCTTATTGCCTTAACTGTGTCTCTCATTCACTCAACAAATGATTAAGTACCTATCATGTACCAGGCACTATGCTAGTGCTGAGGATTCAAGACTGTCTAAGTCAGTTAAGTTCCTGGCTTCATGGAGTTTACAACCTAGACAAGGAAACAGGGCAGTTTACTACACAGTGTACAGATAGCAAAGACTGGGACCACAGTGGAGGGATGCCTAATCCAGACAAGGGCAGGAATAGGCAGGGAAGGCTTCCTAGAGGAAGTGATTTCCAAGCTGAAACTTGACAGATGGAACAGAAGTTAGCCAGAGATGGGAAAACTATTTTTGGTCAATGGAAGAGCAGGTGGTTGAGATAGAATCTGACACATGAGAGCAAAAAAAAAAAAAAGTTCAGTGATGGGAGAATACAGTGTGAGAATAAGACAATATTAAACTGGCGATATAAGTAAGTGATCATCACAAGGCTTTGTAGGACATAGTAGGGAGTTTAAGACTTTTTATTCTGAGGGCAATGGGGAATCACAAGAGGGAGTTAGGCACTTTACACAACTCATTTGCCTTGGAGGCGGTATAACTTAAGCAAGAGGGAGAAAATGGGCTTTGAAACAGACTTGGACCTAGCTTTGTCACTGCCTCATTTGGTGCCCTTGGACACATCATTTAATAACCTCTCTGGAAGCACAGAGATGAAGCCGGGTGCCATGGCTCACGCCTGTAATCCCAACACTGGGAGGCTGAGGCGGGAGGATGGTTTGCGCCCAGCCTGGGCAACACTGTGAGCCGTGATCACGCCACTGCATTCCAGCCTGGGTTACAGCGGGAGACCCTGTCTCAAAAAAAAAAAAAAAGAAAAAAAAAAAGGTAAGGTTTGTAAGGAGGCTGGTATGTCTAAAGAGTTCAATAAATGATAGTTTTCTCTTCCTAAATACACTGTTAACTCTTTAAATAGGGCCAGGAGCAAATAATTTAGAGAAAGAACAGTGGAATAGAAAGTGCCTTGATCCTAAACCAAGAGATCCGTGTTCAAATCCCAGCACTACGCCTTACTATGTAATCTTTTTCATTTTAGTTTTCCCATTAATAATATTTAATTCGCACAATTAGAATGAAGATTAATATAACGAATGAAAAGCGCTTGGGCTACTATAGGACTCAGTAAATGCTGCTGTACTCTCCTCTCACCACCTTTTGGCTTCAGTCTCCTCTGGAGTAAAATGACGACGACCCCTGCTCAGAGATCAGGGTAGGCTAGATGGTTGGCAGCTGGATCGTGGAGGCTGGCCTAAACAAGGAAGTCATGGAAAGGATCTTAAAGCAGAAAAATGCTGGCAGCCACGAGGCCTGAGGCGCCTCAGGCGTATCGAGGACTTTGAACTTTGAGGACGCATGCGCGCGCGCGGCCGCTGATCGCAGCCCCGTTGTGCCCGCAACGCCTCCTGAAGAACGCGGTACGCGATGCTCACCGAACAGGTGGGAGAAGAGGGCCCGAACGCACGCTCCTACGCGGCGGCTTGGGTTTCGCAGGCGGTTGGGGATCCTCTGTACATCCTTTCAGGAACCAGCCCCTCGTGGGGAGCGTGCACACGGAAGGGGCGGGGAATGTGAAAAAGTCACGTTTTCATTGGTGGCCTCTTGGTGTTGAGCCCACCTCTGTCCTCGCCGCACGCTTCTCGGGGACTCACTTCCGGGAAGGGGCGGAAGAGGTGGGCTGGTGGAGGCGGGGTCGAGATGGCGGCGCCTTTGAGGATTCAGAGCGACTGGGCGCAAGCCCTCAGGTGAATCCAGGCCCAGAACAGAGTCAGAGGAGGCGGGTAGTGGATGTTGCTTTGCGTCAAGGAGAGCCATGCCTGGTCCAGGATATCAATAGGGGTTACTTCGTCAATTGTCGAGGGATATGGAGGGAACAGGGTCCGGAAAAAGAAGTATCAAACCCGTATGGTCATTCTCTGAAAAGCTATCCCTAGGCCAAGGGAGCACATGAGCTGTGTGATCCCCGCGTCAGAACTAGTATCAGTGAGTTGGAGAAAGACAGGGATACTGGGAGGCAGGAAGGCTTTTGGCCAAGCAGTCATTTAGCAAATATTGATTAGTCGTCAGTTACTTCCAGAAGTCTCTGTACTCACCACCACTTTGTGTATGTGATGGAACCTTTGTATTCTCCTAGGCCCCTAATGCTATATTAGGCATACTGGACGATACTATTAAGGAAACTAATACTGTGTCCAGGCCCCATACTGGATGCTTGGTGGAGCTCAGATGTATACTCTAAATATAAGTGATGGTTCCTGCTCTTCAAGAAGCTGACATCCAGGCCAGGCGCAGTGGCTCATGCCTGTAATCCCAGCACTTTGGAAAACTGAGATTGGTGGATCAGTTGAGGTCAGAAGTTCGAGACCAGCCTGACCAACATGGTGAAACTCCGTCTCTACTAAAAATACAGAAATTAGTCGGGCTTGGTGGTGGGCGCCTATAATCCCAGCTACTCGGGAGGCTGAGGCAGGAGAATCGGTTGAACCCAGGAGGTGGAGGTTGCAGTGAGCCGAGATTGCACCACTGCACTCCAGCCTGGGTGACAGAGCGATACTCATCTCAAAAAAGAAGAAAAGCTGACGTCTTAATTAGGAATACACAGCAAACTATTCATTCATCTAACATTTATTGATCTTATACTATTCCAGTTATTTCTCTAGGCTTCAGGATGAATATAGCAGTGCTATATTTGGCAACTGCTACTACTAATAAGGGTTTTTCAAATTGAAACAATGGTGAAGATGAATGAAACATAGCCTTCTGCATTTAAGAAATTTACACCTTACTAAATTTATACCTTACTTAATTTAGGTGGGCTAAAATACAGACTAGTTGCTAGTACACAGAATGTGATAAGTAATAAAGAACAATAACATGAAGTGCCACTAGCTACCTATGAGAAAATACAGCACCAGAATCAGAAGGCTTAATTTGCCCAAGATCATGCATCTCGTCAAATGATAGAGGGTTGCTGTCAACCTAGATCTTTCTGTCTTAAATGCATAGACCCTTTCCATTATACCCTAAAAGTGCTAGGGTGAAGAGATCAGGATTTGGATGATTGGGCAGGTGCTAAAATAATAAAAGGAATCTTGTTTGGTTATTGTGAGGGTTAATGATTGTGTATGGAAAGTGCTTAGCACAGGGCTTGGTTTACAATAATCCTGATAAATAATTAAATAACCTTGATTTTTCAAAGTGAGCTCACTGTTGATGGATGAGCATTAATTTAACCAACAGATATCTATTCATTAAATAGTTAATCCACAAATATTTCTTGAACAAATAAAGTTTGTCTGTCTTAGAATGATCTATACTCGATGAGAGGTTGGACTATCTCATGTCTAAGTACTATGACCAAGCTGGAGGTTACATGACCTTCTTTCTTCCCTTGTAACTATGGGATCCTATTCAACTTTGGGTAAGCCTAATTAGGCTTTTGTCTTTCTTCGTAGGAAGGATGAAGGGGAGGCCTGGCTGAGCTGTCATCCCCCAGGTAATACCCATGAATTATATATGCTGTGACTTTAAAGGAGAAGGATTAATACCCTTAAAAGAAAGCTTCCTACTTTCTCCTGGCCCAGCCTCCTTACATAATAGTCTGCAAACATGCTTGACCAGTCTGTACTGTATGGCCAACACCCCAACTCCTCCATTCCAAGGGAAGGCCTTCAGATTGATTTTCCATTTGAAAGCCACAGACTTATTCATGGAGACATTGTTGATGCATCTTAATTAGTCACTTACCCTGTGCTATTGTATTCTAAGCACTTCTGCAGCTTCAACTGGGACTTTCTTGATGATAATTTCTAGATCTACAGCCCCAGCCCTGACTTCTCCATGTTCAAGCAGAGATTGATCAGTTGTTTGCTAGATATTTCTGCTTAAAGGTCTCACTGTCACCTTAAGTTACTGGACTTACTGAAGTCCAAAACCAAGCTAAGTACATTTGTTGTCAAGTGAGTTCTCTTTCCTGATTTTTCTCATTTCTTAAGTTACCATCATTTTTCTAGGCATCAGAGTGAAAAACCTAGTTACTTGACCCTGCCATATCCAGGAAGCTCCCAAGTCTTATCAATTTTTCTTTTGAACAACAGTCTTATATCATTCACAGGATTCTTTTCAAATTGTAACCGAGGTGGTACCATTCTAAAACAAATCAACCTTCCTTCTAAATTCTGTAAGAAAGTTTTGTTTTGCTGATTATCTTTCATTTCAAATGCTGCTGATATATTGTATTTCTATGAGAAATAAAGTTTTGGCCAGGCACAGTGGCTCACACCTGTAATCCTAGCACTTTGGGAAGCTGAGGCAGGAGGATCACTTGAGCTCAGGAGTTCGAGACCAGCCTGGGCAACAAAGTGAGACCCCCTCCCCATCTCTATAAAAAACAAAAAAAATTAGTCAGGCATAGTGGCATGCGCATGTAGTCCCAGCTACTTGGGAGGCTGCAATAGGAGGATCTCTTGAGCCCGGGAGGTTGAGGCTGCAGTGAGTTATGATCGAACCATTGCACTTTTGCCTGGGTGACAGAGTGAGACCCCATCATTAAAAAAAAAAAGACTATTGTTTATATCAGTGGAATAAAGGATGGACTTTATAGTGCTGTGACTTGCCAATCATCTTAAAAATAAGGCCAGACGTGGGGGCTCATACCTGTCATCCACCATTCTGGGAGGCCAAGGCGGAGGATTGCTTGAGACCAGCCTGGGAGACATAGGGAGACCTCGTGTCTACAGCAAATAAAACTAGCTGGGCATGGTGTTGGGTGTCTGTAGTCCCAGCTACTCAAGAGGCAGAGGTGGGAGGATTGCTCAAGCCCAGCAAGTCAAGGCTGCAGTGAGCTGTGATTATGCTACTGGACCTCCTACCCTGGACAAGGGTAGCCGTGATCATGCTGCGTGGTCTCCTACCCTGGACCAGAAAGTGAGACCCTGGCTCTAAAAAAAGAAACACACACACAAATACACAAATATATATATATACACACACACATATACATATGTATACTTAACATAAAAATTCAAGGAAAATACTGTATTTTATTTTACCTATTTTATTGTGCTTAATTATGTTCAAAAATCCTATTCTAACTGCTTGAGCTAGGATTGTGCCACTGTACTTCAGCCTGAGAGACAGAGCAAAACCCTGTCTCAGTTAAAAAAAAAAAAAAAAGCCAGGTGCGGTGGCTCTACTAAAAAAAAATACAAAAAATTAGCCGGATGTGGTGGTGGGCCCCTGTAGTCCCAGCTACTCGGGAGCCTGAGGCAGGAGAATGGAGTGAACCCGGGAGGCGGGGCTTGCAGTGAGACCAGATAGTGCCACCGCATTCCAGCTTGGATGACTGAGCAAGACTCTGTCTCGAAAAAAAAAAAAAAAAAAAAAAAAAAAAAAGCCAGGCACAGCAGCTCACGCCTGTGATCCTAGCACTTTAGGAGGCTGTGGCGGGCGGATCACCTGAGGTCAAGAGTTTGAGACCAGCCTGGCTAACATGGTGAAGCCCTGTTTCTACTAAAAATACAAAAAATTACCTGGGCGTGGTGGTGCATGCCTGTAATCCCAGCTACTCGGAAGGCTGAGGCAGGAGAATCGCTTAAACCCAGCAGGTGGAGGTTGCAGTGAGTGGAGATCGTGCCATTGCACTCCAGCCTGGGCAACAAGAGCGAAACTCCATCTCTAAATAAATAAATAAATAAAATAAAAATACACAAAAGACCTACATTTTATTTTAACTAAAATATATAAACATACATTAAAATTCACCTTCTCTTTATTAGTCCACTTATTATTACAAGGACCTTGGCTATCTTGTAATAAACTGTAACCAAAAGGCACAGTTTCTTTAAAGCAAGGCAAATCTTTACTTAGGCTAAAAAAGCAATCTAAGAGCAAAACATCAACTGGGGTTTATATTTTTTTAGATCTTTTCCCTAATATTTTGCATTTTTCTTGCCGATACATACTATTAAAGCAGTATTTTTTAAACAGAATCTAGCTCTGTCACCTAGGCTGGAATGCAGTGGCATGATCTCAGCTCACTGCAACCTCCAGTCCTAGGTTCAAGGGATTCTTGTGCCTCAGCCTCCTGAATAGCTGGGACTACAGCTGGGACTACTACCATGCCCAGCTAATTTTTGTATTTTTAGTAGAGACAGGGTTTCACCATGTTGGCCAGGCTGGTCTTGAACTCCTGAGCTCAAGTGATCCGCCCGCCTTGGCCTCCCAAAGTGCTGGGGTTACAGGTGTGAGCCACTGCCCCCGGCCTAAAACAGTTTTAAAAAAACATTATCAAGTCTTTACAAAGCAACAAACTTAATGTTGTTGTTGTTGTTGTTGTTTTAAATTACCAAGCTACCTTCAACAACCAAGGAGTTTTTTTGTTTGTTTGTTTGTTTGTTTTTGAGATGGAGTCTCACTCTGTTGCCCAGGCTGGAGTGCAGTGGTGCAATCTTGGCTCACTGCAACCTCTGCCTCCTGGGTTCAAGCAATTCTCCAGCCTCAGCCTCCCAAGTAGCTAGGACTACAGGCGCGTGCTACCATGCACGGCTAATTTTTTGTATTTTTTTTTGAGATGGAGCTTTGCTCTTGTTGTCCAGGCTGAAGTGCAATGGTGCCATCTTGGCTCACTGCAACCTCCGCCTCCCAGATTCAAGCAATTCTCCTGCCTCAGCCTCCCGAGTAGCTGGGATTACAAGCATGTGCCACCATGCCTGGCTAATTTTGTATTTTTTTTTTTTAATAGAGACAGAGTTTCTCCATGTTGGTCAGGCTGGTCTCGAACTCCCAACCTCAGGTGACCCGCCTGCCTCAGCCTCCCAAAGTGCTGGGATTACAGGCGTGAGCCACTGTGCCCCGCAATTTTTTGTATTTTTAGTAGAGATGGGGTTTCACTGTGTTAGTCAGGATGGTCTCCATCTCCTGACCTCGTGATCCGCTCCCTGGCCTCCCAAAGTGCTGGGATTACAGGCGTGAGGCACCGTGCCTGCACTTTTTTTTTTTTTTTTTTGAAGGTAACTTGTAGATTCAGTTTTCTTTATGAATTGGAGTTAATGATGTCAACTCTTAAGGAGGAGGGTGGTTTTTGTTTCTGTGTGTGTTTATTTTTATTTTTATTATTTATTTATTTATTTATTTATTTTTGAGATGGAGTTTCGCTCTTGTCGCCCAGGCTGGAGTGCAGTGGTGCGATCTCCGCTCACTGCAACCTCCACCTCCTGGATTCAAGCGATTCTCCTGCCTCAGCCTCCCAAGTAGCTGGGATTTCAGACATGCGCCACCACGCCTGGCTAATTTTTTTGAGACGGAGTCTCGCTCTGTTGCCCAGGCTGGAGTGCAGTGGCATGTTCTCGGCTCACTGCAAGCTCCGCCTTCCAGGTTCATGCCATTCTTCTGCCTCAGCCTCCGAAGTAGCTGGGATTACAGGTGTCCGCCACCACGCCCAGCTAATTTTTTTGTATTTTTAGTAGAGACGGGGTTTCACCGTGTTAAGCAGGATGGTCTCGAACTCCTGACCTTGAGATCCGCCCACCTCGGCCTCCCAAAGTGCTGGGATTACAGGCGTGAGCCACTGTGCCTGGCCTGTTCTTATTTTTTTGAGACAGGGTCTTGCCCTGTTGCCCAGGCTGGAGTACAGTTGCATGATTATGGCTTACTGCAGCCTTGATCTCCTGGGTTCAAGAGATCCTCCCACTTCAGCCTCCTCAGTAGCTGGGACCACAGTCATGCACTACCATACCTGGCTAATTTTTTAAATTTTTTGTAGAGACAAGGTCTCACTATGTTGCCCAGGCTGGTCTTGAACTCCTGTGTTTATTTTTTAATACATGGGGTCTCGCTGTGTTTCCCAGGTGCTGAATTTGAACTCCTGGTCTCCAGTGATCCTCCCTCAGCCTCCCAAGTAGCTGGGACTCTAGGTGTGATCCACCATCTTGTTTCTTGTTTTTGTTTTTAAATAACAGCTTTATTGAGATAAAAATGTGTGCTATCTATGTGCTAGTTACTTTACATATATTATTTCTAGTATCACCCCCAAAACAGTCTATACCCATTAACAGTCACTTTCCACCCCCCAATCCTAGCAACCACTAGTTTACTTTCTAGCTCTGTGGATTTGCCTACTTTGGACATTTCATATAAATGGAATCATAAAATACATGGCCTTTTGTGTGACTTCTTTCACTTAGTATAATGTTTCTTTCTTTCTTTTTTTTTTGAGAGTCTCACTGTGTCGTCTAGGCTGAAGTATAGTGGCACAATCTCGGCTCCTCACTGCAGCCTTCACCTCCCAGGTTCAAGTGATTTTTGTGCCTCAGCCTCCTGAGTAGTTGGGATTACAGGCGCCTGCCACCACACCCGGGTAATTTTTGTATTTTCAGTAGAGACGAACGAGGTTTCGACATGTTGGCCAGGCTGGTCTTGAACTCTTGGCCTCAAGTGATCCTCCCACCTCGGCCTCCCAAAGTGCTGGGATTACAGGCAACTTAGTATAATGTTTCTATTTGTTGTTTTTATCAGTACTTCGTTCCTTTTTGTGGCCCGGTAATACTCTGTTGTATGGATATACTACATTTTGTTTATCCATTCATCAATTAATGGACACATATTTCTAGTTTTTGGCTATTATGAAGGAAGGAGATTTTGATGGCAGGATAGATGGCATGAGAACCAGCTGCTGTGGGGAATGGGAGGGGTGAAAGGATTACAAAACTGCTGAGTTTAGAAACATGAATTGGATTGGTGACAGTCGGCACAGTTGTGTTCTTTTCTGGAGCAGTACTCAGCAGCCTGCATGTAGGAATGTAGAAGGTAAGTGGTTGGATTGATCCTAGTTCTGCTATTATATAGAGAAAACCAAGGCTGAGGTCATTTTAGTGACTTCACAAATGTAGAGAAGTCAGCTGGGCAGGGTAACTCACCCTGTAATCCAAGCACTTTGGGAGGCTGAGGCAGAAGGATTGCTTGAGCCCAGCAGTTCGAGACCAGTCTGAGCAACATAGTGAGACTCTGTCTCTACTAAAAATAAAAATAAAAAAAATAGCTGGGCATGGTGGCATGCAGGCTACTCAGGAAGCTGAGGCGGGAGAATCCCTTGATTCTGGGAGATAGAGGCTGCAGTGAACCATGATCATACCACTGCACTCCAGCCTGGGTGACAGAGCGAGACCCTGTCTCAAATATTAAAAAAATACATATATATACATCCACAAATGTGGAGAAGTCATTGAGTGATTGGTTGAAATGATGCACCATGAGGGCCAGACTTCTTAAGGCAGTTGGTAAACACAATAGGGAATCATGGAGTGGGATAAAAAGTGAAGTTGCTTCAGTTCTGTTTTTGTGGCATCTTTCTGAAATAGTGCTTCATGATACTTCCCTGTGAAAAGCGTCTTTACTAGGTCTTCTCTAGGCCAAACTTCTACCCTAGACTTTGAGTTTCTCTGGGATTTATCCCTCAACTATCATTTCCATGACTGCTATTACCAAACTGGTGTATTAATTGATGAATCCTTCCTTCTTGTTCTTTTTGACTTTCTTTTATTCTTTTTTTTTTTTTTGAGACGGAGTCTCGCTCTGTCGCCCAGGCTGGAGTGCAGTGGCGGGATCTCGGCTCACTGCAAGTTCCGCCTCCCGGGTTCACGCCATTCTCCTGCCTCAGCCTCCCAAGTAGCTGGGACTACAGGCGCCCGCCACTACGCCCGGCTAATTTTTTGTATTTTTAGTAGAGACGGGGTTTCACCGTTTTAGCCGGGATGGTCTCGATCTCCTGACCTCGTGATCCACCCGCCTCGGCCTCCCAAAGTGCTGGGATTACAGGCGTGATATTCTTTTTTTTTGAGATGGAGTCTCACTCTGTCACCCAGGCTGGAGTGCAATGGCGTGGTCTCGGCTCACTGCAACCTCTGCTTGCCAGGTTCAAGGTATTCTCCTGCTTCAGCCTCCTGAGTATCATAGCTGGGACTACAGGCACGTGCCACCACACCTGGCTAATTTTTGTATTTTTAGTAGAGAAGAGGTTTCACTATGTTGGCCAGGCTGGTCTTGAACTCCTGACCTTGTGATCCACCCACCTTGGGCTCCCAAAGTGCTGAGATTACAGGTGTGAGCCACCATGCCCGGCTGACTTTCTTTTATTCTTGATATGCTCCTCCTTGACTTGGAGTTTTCTTTTCCCTATTTTCTTCCTAGCCAGCTCCTATCTTTCTTTGAGGCTCCTATACTCTCTAGAAAGCCCTCCCGGCCTGGTCGTGGTGGCTCACACCTGTAATCCCAGCACTTCGGGAGGTTGAGGTGGGTGGATCACCTGAGGGGAGGAGCTCAAGACCAGCCTGGCCAATATGGTGAAACCCCGTCTCTACTAAAAATACAAAAATTAGCCAGGTGTGGTGGCACGTGCCTTTAATCCCAGGTACTTGGGAGGCTGAGTCATGAGAACTGCTTGAACCCAGGAGGTGGAGGTTGCAGTGAGCTGAGATCACGCCATTGTACTCCAGCCTGGGCGACAAGAGTGAAACTCCATCTCAAAAAAAAAAAAAAAAAAATCCCTCCCACTCTTGTGTGAATCCATGATGATTTCTGCTTCTCTCCTGTAACTTCAGTTTGGCTCAACATTTATTTACTGAATAATAAATGAATGTAGCACCCTGCTAGACTTAAGGACTTCACAGTCTGTTGGGCAAGTCAGACATGTAAACAGTGTGTTATGGGCTGTTATAGACATGAATATATAAGGTGTAGAAGAAGAATGGAAACAGTTTTTAACTTCATTCTATCATCTGCGTGTGTTTATGTGTAGGATAGTATCTTACTTAGCCCATATCTCTGCAAAATCAGTATTCTACTTAGGCAAATTTTACAGGTTACTGAAGCTTAATTCTTTACTATGTATTATGTGTATATACTGTAGATAAATACATGTATGCATACTGATCTTCACCTTTCATCCTGGAAGAATTACATTTCACAGCCAGTTACATCAGGTTGAGATCACTCTAAAAGCCCTCTCTACAAATGCTGTATCAAATCTCTAAATCTTTGTTCTTAGCTTTTAGTCTTGAAAATGTATTTTAGTCAGGCCAGGCGCGGTGGCTCACGCCTGTAATCCCAGCACTGTGGGAGGCTGAGGCGAGTGGATCACGAGGTCAGGAGATCGAGTCCATTCTGGCTAACATGGTGAAACCCCATCTCTACTAAAAATACAAAAAATTAGCCGACATGGTGGCGGGTGCCTGTAGTCCCAGCTGTTCGGAGGCTGAAGCAGGAGAATGGTGTGAACCCAGGAGGTGGAGATTCCAGTGAGCTGAGATCACGCCACTGCACTCCAGCCTGGGCGACAGAGCAAGACTCCATCTCAAAAAAAAAAAAAAAAAAAAAAAAAAGAAAATGTATTTTAGTCTTGAAAGTGTATTCCCTTTCAAATTAGAGTTTAGTGCTATAGTGTGTATGTTTGACCCCTCCAAATCTCATGTTGAAATTTAATCCTCAGTGTTGGAGGTAGGGCCTAATGGGGGGTGTTTGGGTCATGGGGGCAGACCCCTCATGAATAGATTAATGTCCTCCCTGGAGAGTGAGAGTGACTGAGTTCTCACTCTGTTCTTTCCTGAGAAAGCTGATTGTTAAAAAGATCCTGGCATCTCCCTTCTCTCTCTTACTTCCTCTCTCACCATGTGATCTCTGCATACACTGGCTCCCCTTCTCCTTCTGCCATGAGTGGAAGCAGCCTGAGGCTCTCATCAGAAGCAGATGCTGGTGCCATGCTTCTTGTACAGTCTGCAGAACCGTGAGCCAAATAAACCTCTTTTCTTTATAAATTACCCAGCCTCAGGTATTCCTTTATAGCAACACTAAACAGACTAAGACACCTAATCTAATTCTCTTTTTACTTCACCTGACTTTTAACACAGGCACCTGTTTTTCTTTCGTGGGCCAATTTCATGGGTATACTATTTATACAGATGCCTGAATTGGGTCTTCAAAGAGAAAAATAATAAATTTTTCTTATTTTTTGAGACATGCTTCTTTTGTACCATATAGGGAAACCATCTTTGTATGGCAGCCTGACTTGTCAAGGAATTGGCCTAGATGGCATCCCAGAGGTTACAGCTTCAGAAGGATTTACTGTGAATGAAATAAACAAGGTATGTTTTTATGTCTTCTAGATGGCATGATATTTAAAACTATGGTAGTACCCAAACATCTACCTTAGATATTTATACTATTATCTGTGTATCTCCACTTCATTTGTATGAGAATCATAGTTTTTGCTGTCTGTGAGTGTCATTGGTATTTTCTATTGTAGTTACATATACTTTTAAGTGCCATCAGACTTCCTCTTACTTCCCTTATATCAGCTCTGATAATGCAAGATGCATGTGTAATTTAAAATTTTCTAGTGGCCACATTATAGAGATAAAAATAAACAATGAAATTGATTTTGTTTTGTTTTTTGAGATGGAGTCTTGCTCTGTCGCCCAGGCTGGAGTGCAATGGCATGATATTGGCTCACTGCAACTTCTGTCTCCTGGGTTCAAGCAATTCTCCTGCCTCAGCCTCCTTAGCAGCTGGGATTATGGGCGCCCGCCACCACACCCAGCTAATTTTTGCATTTTTAGTAGAGATGGGGTTTCACCATGTTGGCCAGGCTGGTCTCGAACTCCTGACCTCGTGATCCACCTGTCTCGGCCTCCCAAAGTGCTGAGATTACAGGCGTGAGCTACCATGCCCAAGCGAAATTGATTTTAATAATATATTTGATCTAACCCAGTATATCTAAAACATTATTTCAACCTGTAAATAATACTAAAAATTATTAGAGATATTTTACATTTCTTTTTCTTATTAAGTCTTCAAAACTCCATGTATATTTTACTTTTACAGCTTATCTCAGCTCAGACTCTAATTTTTATTAGAAATACTTGATCTGTATTTAGGTTTTATAAAATTTACAGTTGAAAATATAGATGCCCATATCCAAGTAGTTCTCAGTTGCCTGATACGGCCATTACCTACTACACTGAACAATGTAGCCTTATAATCCATATCTGGTGAGGCCTTGATGAAGAGCCTACATTAATAGTACTTAACAGTTTTTCTTGTTTGTCTTTGAGGTGAGTAGATGGGTAAGCAAAGCGTTGGAGAACCCATGATTTGCCTCTCCCTACTCATTCTGACTGCTGCAGTTAGTATGCTCTGGTGAGATGATTCCGTAAGGGTGGACCAGCCTTTTGTTTCATTTTTCATTTTTTGTGTAATTAAACTTTTTAGTTATAAAAAATATTTTGGGTATACTGACAAGAATAGAGAATACTTTGTTTTTTACATAAGATTTTTAGCAAATGTTCATTCATTACTCTCTTTGGGCCAGGTAGTAGGCTACATGTTATTATATATTTTATATTTGTTTTTCATAAACAGCTATGGGTATTATAGGTATCAGAAGATCTAAGTCTTAGTTAACTCTGACACTTATTAGCTGTGTGATTTTGGACAAATAACTTAGTTCTCTGAGTCTCAGTTTCCTCATCAATAAAGCTGAGATCCTATTCTACCTCCTAGAATGGTTAATGGGGAATGAGACTGCATGTGGATGAATCTATAAAATACTACAGAAGTTAGTTTTGGTTCTTTTACCATAACAATCCTGTGGGATTGGCATTTTAAATTTCCATTTTGCAGATAAGCAAACCAACTCAGAGAGGTTAATTAATCTCAAATAATCAAAGACAGACTGTATGCTGGAATTGAAACCCAGTTCTGTTGATTCCAAGTTTAGCACTACCATGCAAGCCTACGTTTTTCCCAGGTGTTTTGGCACAGCCTGGGTGCTGACTTCTTTCTTCCCTTCATACTCAGACCTGGATACAGTCTTTATCACTTCAAACATGATTGCTAATTTTTGCTGTGAACCTGCTGAGTGGGTTCAGACAGTAAGTGCTTATGGTTGAACATTCATTTGTTTCCTAACTGCCATGAGTCACTTTGCTAATTTGATATTGCTACATTGTTCTCTTAAACAGTAGATCTGTCATTATGCTTAAATGTCTAACCCTGGAGCATAAAAATGTTTGACTTAGAATTTTATCTTAGTGCAGCATACTCACACTTTTTCCCCTTGGATTTTGTCTGTTCTGATCTCTCTTGCAGTTTTTCTTTAAAATATTTTCATTAACAGCATGATTGTCCACTGCTAATGTTGGAAGATATTTTAACATTTATCTTCCTTTGTAGTCTGTTTGTGGATTAAAGATTGATTTGCAAGACTGCAAAGTAGGAGAAAAGTACTGATTATTGAAATCTGTCACATAGCTCCAAAGAAATGAAGTCTTCTGAGAGCAAATCCAATTCTTACAGAGGCCCAAACACTAAGCTTTTGAAGCTCCTTGCATCCTTGCTAATATGAATATTCAGCCAAGAGGATTTAGCTGACGCTTTAGTTTCTGGTACAAGAGGCAGTTCCAAATCCAGGCCAGCACTCTTGCAGCTATATGGGCTTTATCACACAGTTAGAAGCAAAAACTCATTTAGTGAAAGGCCTGCAGGCAGCCAGGCATGGATATGCTGGCTAAGAAAGTGCTGTTTGTGTAGATAGTCTAATTGTCATTTTAAAGGAGTAGATGATCTGTAAAGAGCATACTGATTCAATGATGAGAATATTTTGACTTTGAAACCATTCTTTCTAATGAACTGTGAGGACCTGTGCTTGTTGGATATAAAGAGGTTCAGAAAATTTTGATTATTGAAGACATTTTCATTGTCCTGAAGAATTACCAGAGACTTTGAAGTACTACTGCAGAAGAGATAAAAGGTTAGGGGTCATTTGGTGAGTGCAGCTCCTCAGTTCCTTATAGGAGATCTATACTTAAGTGATAGTATTGGTATTATGCTGGTTAGAGTAAGGGACTGTCATATTGCAAGAGTCCTTGAGGGAGGGTTTACCAAGCCTTTTTCTTTTTTTTACCTCTACACGTGCTACCTTCAAACGCCAATATTCTTACCTAAAATGGTTACAAATGGCCCTTAGCAAGTCATGTCTCCTGAATCTAACATCTGGTTCTAGGTATAGTTTCCTAATATGCCACCAGTGTTATCTTCCTACAGTAGTTGAAAGACAGGTGATAATGACTAGGTAGAACACATGGGGCATCAAAATATAGCTGTGTTACAACAACCAGTCTATGAACATGTACAGTCAATTTAAGTCTTAGGAGGGAATAGGCACCGTAAGCCTGACCCAGGCCTACATATTTTATGGGTGTACCATAATTTACTTTACCAATTTCATCTGGTCATTGTAAATGTCAGTAGTCTAACATTCTCTCTAAAAGTTCTTGTAGACAGCAAGTTTACTTTTAGACTTGTCTTTTAAGACCTAGGTTTGGGGGATGGTGTTGAAGAGTTTCCTTATATCTCTTTATGTCCTCTTCGCACTGATCCTGTTCCTTGCCCCACTGCTAATTGAGAGTATTGGTATTAGATTTTCTTCTTAAAACGAATGCTCTAATGCTTATTGGTTGTATCATATTGTTTGTCTGTCTTCTGTGGAGCAGCTTATTTCAACACAAAAAGATAATGGCATCTTAGCAATACCAAATTACACTGTAGCCCTCAACAGTTTAAAAGGACTGCTGATCTATGGGGGAGGGATAGTTTTGTGGGGTGGGAAAGGAGAACGAGAGAGGGTACACTGAGAAGATGAGAATGTCCTGTAGTCCTAATGTTTTCTTTAAGAGGCTTTAATTATAATACATTGGAGGAGTTTTACTGATGAATCTCATCTTTTCCTCTTTGTTTAGAAAAGCATTCATATTTCATGTCCAAAGGAAAATGCATCTTCTAAGTTTTTGGCACCATATACTACTTTTTCCAGAATTCATACAAAGAGTGTAAGTATTTTGATAAAATGAAGAGAAAATGTAATAGCATGTTAATTTTTCATTTTATTTGCTTGTCTAGTGCTATAAACATATTCATAATTAATATGTCTTTCATTTACTTTGCATTGTAAGATGATACAGCTGATGAAGTCTGATGTGTTTGGCAAAACTGGTACTCTAGTCCACATAGAATATGTGTTCAAATCTACTCACTGGTCATCTTAGAGATTATATGAAATTTCCTTACATATGTTTTAGGAGAGTTACCAGCTTTCAGATAATGATATAATACTTGATGCTTGGCTAGGTGCAGTGGCTCACACCTGCAATCCTAGCACTTTGGGAGGCAGAGGCAGGAGGATCACTTGAGGCCAAGAGTTTGAGACCAGCCTGGGCAACAGAGTGAAACCCTGTCTCCACAAAAAAACAAAAATTAGCTGAGCGTGGTGGCACTTACCTGTAGTCCTAGCTACTCAGGAGGCTGAGGTGGGAGAATTTTTTGAGCCCAGGAGTTGGAGGCTGCAGTGAGCTGAGATTATGCCACTGCACTGCAGCCTGGACTCTGTCTCCAAAAAATAAATAAAAATAAATAAATTTGTAATAGTTGATGCTTATATAATAATGCTGCTGCTCATATTTTATTCCTTTTCCTATAGGACAGGGATATTTTCTCAAAATTTCAAATATACCACATTGAGGAATAATTTTCAAAGGTCTTTGTGATATAAAGCCTTTTCTACTACCATGGGCTTCTTGGAAGCAGAAGTGAGAAATTGCTAGATAAAACTGATTATGTTGAAGCCATTCACTTCTTACTGTGTGGTACGTTTTTTAAAAGAGCAATTTTTGGCCAGGCACAGTGGCTCATGCCCGTAATCCTAGCACTTTGAGAGGCCGAGGTGGGTGGATCACTTGAGCTCAGGAGTTCAAGACCAGCCTGAGCAACATGGTGAAACTCTGTCTCTACAGAAAAATACAAAAATTAGCCAGACATGGTGCCACATGTTGTAGTCCCAGCTACTCTGAATGCTGAGGTAGGAGGATTGCTTGAGCCCAGGAGGTTGAGGCTGCAGTGAGCCATGATCATGCCACTGCACTCCAGCCTGGGCAACAGAATGAGACACTGTCTCACCAAAAAAAAAAAAAAAAAGAAAGAAAGAAAAAGAGCTCTTTTTCACCCTTATTACAAAACAGATATATACTTAGTGATGAAAATTTAGGACATGTAAAAAAAGGAGAATCACTCATATTTCTGTATCCTAAAGATAACTGTTAGGAACTTTTGTTGTATATCCCTTTTAAATAATAATCATAGTAGTAAAGCTCACATTTATTGATTGCCTACTATGAGCCAGCACTGTGGCAACTCTACATATCATTATTTTACTTAATACTCTGTCTTTTCCTTAAATATTTTACCAAAATGGGTTTTTACATTACATGCTATTTTATAACTTGCTTTTTGTTTTGTTTTGTTTTTGTTTTGAGATGGAGTCTCGCTCTGTTGCCCAGGCTGGAGTGCAGTGGTGCAGTCTCGGCTCACTGCAAGCTCCACCTCCTGGGTTCACACCATTCTCTGCCTCAGCCTCCCGAATAGCTGGGATTACAGGTGCCTGCCACCACGCCCGGCTAATTTTTTTTGTATTTTTAGTAGAGACGGGGTTTCACTGTGTTAGCCAGGATGGTCTCAATCTCCTGACCTTGTGATCCGCCCACCTCGGCCTCCCAGAGTGCTGGGATTACAGGTGTGAGCCACCGTGCCCAGCCTATAACTTGCTTTTTATTACTTAATTATATGTCCATTATTCTATGCTGTCTTTCAATGTATCCTTCTAAGAGCTGCATGGTATTCTATTGATGAGTTTACTATAATTTAATTTAACAGTTTTATATTACTGGACATTCAGGTGTTTCCAGTTTTGTGATTTTGTATTTTTATGAATACATTTATAGCTAAAGTTTTGCTCCCAAAGATGGGAAGAAATTAGAATACATTTGTAAAAGTGGAATTGCTAAGTCATAGGGTGTGGGAATTATGAGGCTTTGGGTGTGTTCTAATGCATTGCCGCTTAACTGATGTATAGAGTCAATTGTTGCTCTTCATTTCCTCTGTAAAACATACCGTTAGGTTGAAAGTTTATCAAGAGTCAATTGTAATGCCAGTTATATTATTTTTGAAATTATATAAATTAATTAAATCTTATGTTAAATCAATAAAATGTGAATGTGAAAAGCGGAAAGCAGTTATTTATTTGAAAACTAGGCTGGGCGCAGTGGCTCATGCCTGTAATCCCAGCACTTTGGGAGGCCGAGGCAGGTGAATCACCTGAGGTGAGGAGTTCAAGACCAGCCTGGACAACATGGCGAAACCCCGTCTCTGTTAAAAATACAAAAATTAGCCAGGCGTGGTGGCGTGCACCTATAATCCCAGCTACTCGGGAGGTTGAGGCAGGAGAATCGCTTGAACGCGGGAGGCAGAGGTTGCAGTGAGCCAAGATTGCGCCATTGCACTCCAGCCTGGGAGACAAAAGTGAAACTCTGTCTCCAAAAAAAAAAAAAAAAAAAAAAAGAAAGAAAAAACTAAACGTGGGCGCGGTGGCTCATGCTTATAATCCCAGCACTTAGGGAGACCCAGAAAGGAGAATCACTTGAGCCCAAGAGTTCAAGACCAGCCTGGACAACATAGTAAGACCTCGTCTCTACAAAAAAATTAAAAGTTAGCCAGGTATGGTGATGTACATCTGTAGTCCCAGCTAGTCGCCTGGCTTAAAAATTTTTATTCTTATTTTTTGTAGCGGTGGAGTCCTGCTCTGTTGCCCAGGCTGGTCTCAAACTCCTGACTTCAAGCAGTCCTCTCTCCTTGGCTTCCCAAAATGCTGGGATTATAGGTATAAGCCACTGTGCCTGGCCTTTATACATCATTTTTTATTATTTTCTGCTTTAACTGAGGGAGAAGGCAATTCACCTCTTGGGAGAGTTGGGAATGCCGCTCACCTTTTGAGAAGTAAGTCATTTTAAAAATCATTTACAGGCTAGGCACAGTGGCCCATGCCTGTACCCAGCACTCTGGGAGTCCAAGGCAGGAGGATCACTTGAGCCCAGGAGTTTGAGACCAGCCTAGGCAACATAGTGAGACCTTGTCTCTACAAAAAAATAAACAAAATAGGCTGGTTGTAGTGGCTCACACCTGTAATCCCATCACTTTGGGAGGCTGGGGTGGGCAGATCAATTGAGGCCAGGAATTCAAGACCAGCCTGGCCAACATAATGAAACCCCATCTCTACTAAAAATATAAAAATCGGAGGGAAGGGATAGCATTAGGAGATGTACCTAATGTTAAATGACGAGTTAATGGGTGCAGCACACCAGCATGGCACATGTATACATATGTAACTAACCTGCACATTGTGCACGTGTACCCTAAAACTTAAAGTATAATAATAAAAAAAAATCTACTAAAAAAAATAAAAATAAAAAAAAAATCAGCTGGGCATGGTGGCACACGCCTGTAATCCCAGCTACTCCGGAGGCTAAGGCACAAGAATCGCTTGAACCCAGGAGGCAGAGGTTGCAGTGAGCCGAGGTTGCGCCACTGCACTCCAGCCTGTGTTACTGAGCAAGACTCTGTCTCAAAAAATAAAATTAGCTGGATGTGGTAGTGTGTGCCTGTAGTCCCAGCTGCTCGAGAGGCTGGGATGGAAGGATTGCTTGAGCCTAGGAGGTCAGGGCTGCAGTGAGCTGTGATTGTGCCATTGCATTCCAGGCTGGGTGACAGAGTGAGACCATGTCTCAAAAACAAACATAACTGTGCTCCTTTTCTATTTCTTATTCTCTTTTTATTTGAGCTTACTGAAAGATGATTCATCCATTTATTAATCACCTACTATATTTCAGCCAGTCTTCTGGATACTGAATAAAATAAATAAAACTGCCCTTATAGATCTTACATGCTAGAGATGTGGGACTAGACGTGATTTGCTGATGACTTGGATGTTAAGTATGAGAGAAAAGGAGGAGTTGGGATGATTCAAAAAATTTTGGCCTGAGAAGTAGGTGAATTGTGTTCCATTTACTAATTGGAGGAGGAGGAGTTGTATTGGGATGGGGCAGGGGAAATAAAAGTTTTCTTTGGACATGTTCAGTTTGAGGTTTCCAGTCTAGCCTAGGTGTTCACTGCCTACCAGCAAGCAATTGGATAGATACCACCTGTATCAGGACAGAACCTGAAGTATGTTGCTTACAAGTAAAGGATCCACTACTAAGTTAGCAGTCCTTTTATTCCGAGGAAGCAAAATGAAGAAGAAAAGTCTTAGAAAATGTTAGAGTTGATGGATATATCCCTATAGTTCTTCCCAAACTTATTTATTATGGTTTAATTGACATAGAACAAAGTAAAATGGAAAGTTGGATAATTAAAGCCAAAGTCCCTACTTTTTTCTTAATAACTTATGTGGGAATTATTGTTGCTGGGAATGTGTCTGGAATTGCATATCTTGGTCCATCATTTCTGGAGCATTTGCAGCTGGTTGTTTTTTAATAAAAGTGTACATGTATGCATGTGTATAAAAGATTTGTTATTCTGATAATGGCTTATGCATGAAGTGATTGCTGATACTGAAATTACAAAAGTGAGGCTGGGCGCGGTGGCTCACGCCTGTGATCCTAGCACTTTGGGAGGCCAAGGCAGAAGGATAGCTTGAGCCCAGGAGTTCAAGACCACCCTGGGCAACATAGGGGGACCCCATCTCTCCAAAAAAAAGTTAAAAAATTAGCTGGACATGCCAGCCCATGTTTGTAATCTCAGCTATTGGGAAGCTCAGGCAGGAGGATCACTTGTTCCTGAGAGGCTAAGGCTGTAGTGAGTTGTAATCATGCCCCTGCACTTCAGCCTGAGCAACAGAGTGAGACCCTGTCTTTAAAAAAAACACAAAAACTATAAAAGTGAGTTTGGAAAACAAAAAGTGAATCTGAAATTTCTCTATTCTTTATTCTGAAAGATCTATATCTGTATATTTTCTATAGCTATACCTATATATAGGTATATGTGGAAATATCTGAACTCTTTTTTTTTTTTTTTACGATGTTTCTTTTTTTCTTTTTTTCTTTTTTATTTATTTTTTTTTTTATTGATCATTCTTGGGTGTTTCTCGCAGAGGGGGATTTGGCAGGGTCACAGGACAATAGTGGAGAGAAGGTCAGCAGATAAACAAGTGAACAAAGGTCTCTGGTTTTCCTAGGCAGAGGACCCTGCGGCCTTCCGCAGTGTTTGTGTCCCTGGGTACTTGAGATTAGGGAGTGGTGATGACTCTTAAGGAGCATGCTGCCTTCAAGCATCTGTTTAACAAAGCACATCTTGCACCGCCCTTAATCCATTCAACCCTGAGTGGATACAGCACATGTTTCAGAGAGCACAGGGTTGGGGGTAAGGTCACCGATCAACAGGATCCCAAGGCAGAAGAATTTTTCTTAGTACGGAACAAAATGAAAAGTCTCCCATGTCTACCTCTTTCTACACAGACACGGCAACCATCCGATTCTCAATCTTTTCCCCACCTTTCCCCCCTTTCTATTCTACAAAACCGCCATTGTCCTCATGGCCCGTTCTCAATGAGCTGTTGGGTACACCTCCCAGACGGGGTGGTGGCCGGGCAGAGGGGCTCCTCACTTCCCAGTAGGCGCGGCCAGGCAGAGGCGCCCCTCACCTCCCGGACGGGGCGGCTGGCCGGACGGGGGGGCTGACCCCCCAGACCTCCCTCCCCGACGGGGCGGCTGGCCGGGCGGGGGGGCTGACCCCCCCACCTCCCTCCTGGACGGGGCGGCTGGCCGGGCAGAGGGGCTCCTCACTTCCCAGTAGGGGCGGCCGGGCAGAGGCGCCCCTCACCTCCCAGACGGGGCGGCTGGCCGGGCAGAGTGGCTCCTCACTTCCCAGTAGGGGCGGCCGGGCAGAGGCGCCCCTCACCTCCCGGACGGGGCGGCTGGCCGTGCGGGGGGCTGACCCCCCCACCTCCCTCCCGGACGGGGCGGCTGGCCGGGCGGGGGGCTGACCCCCCCCACCTCCCTCCCGGACGGGGCGGCTGGCCGTGTGGGGGGCTGACCCCCCCACTTCCCTCCCGGACGAGGTGGCTGCCAGGCGGAGACGCTCCTCACTTCCCAGACGGGGTGGCTGCTGGGCGGAGGGGCTCCTCACTTCTCAGACGGGGTGGCTGCTGGGCGGAGGGGCTCCTCACTTCTCAGACGGGGCGGTTGCCAGGCAGAGGGTCTCCTCACTTCTCAGACGGGGCGGCCGGGCAGAGACGCTCCTCACATCCCGGACAGGGTGGCAGGGCAGAGGTGCTCCCCACATCTCAGACGATGGGCGGCCGGGCAGAGACGCTCCTCACTTCCCAGATGTGATGGCGGCCGGGAAGAGGCGCTCCTCACTTCCTAGATGGGATGGCGGCCGGGCAGAGAGGCTCCTCACTTTCCAGACTGGGCGGCCGGGCAGAGAGGCTCCTCACTTTCCAGACTGGGCAGCCAGGCAGAGGGGCTCCTCACATCCCAGAAGATGGGCGGCCAGGCAGAGATGCTCCTCACTTCCCAGACAGGGTGGCGGCCGGGCAGAGGCTGCAATCTCGGCACTTTGGGAGGCCAAGGCAGGCTGCTGGGAGGTGGAGGTTGTAGCGAGCCGAGATCACACCACTGCACTCCAGCCTGGGGCACCATTGAGCACTGAGTGAACGAGACTCCGTCTGCAATCCCGGCACCTCGGGAGGCCGAGGCTGGCGGATCACTCATGGTTAGGAGCTGCAGACCAGCCCAGCCAACACAGCGAATCCCCGTCTCCACCAAAAAAACACGAAAACCAGTCAGGCGTGGCGGCGCGCGCCTGCAATTGCAGGCACTCGGCAAGCTGAGGCAGGAGAATCAGGCAGGGAGGTTGCAGTGAGCTGAGATGGCAGCAGTACCGTCCAGCTGGGCATCAGAGGGAGACCGTGGAAAGAGAGGGAGAGGGAGACCGTGGGGAGAGGGAGGGGGAGGGGAAGGGGGAGGGAGAGGGAGAGGGAGAGGGAGAGGGAGAAGGAGAGGGAGAGGGAGAGGAATAGCTGAACTCTTGAATCCTCCTGGTGCATCTTAGAACATTATCTTTTGTGTAAGTGGGTTCCTAAGAATTAGGAGAGGTATCTTAATTTTCTTTTTATTTTTTATATTTACTTTAAAATTTTTTGTAGAGATGGAGTCTCATTATATTGCCCAGGCTGGTCTCGAACTCCTGGGCTCAAGTAATCTTCCTGCCTTGGCCTCCCAGAGTGTTGGGATTACACAGGTGTGAGCCACTGCACCTGGTCTTAATTTTAAAATAAAATAGCAGGGCTGGGCACGGTGGCCTATAATCCCAGCACTCTGGGAGGCTGAGATGGGAGAATCACTTGAGCTCAGGAGTTTGAGACTAACTTGGGCAACATGGTGAAACTCTGTCTCTACCGAAAAATACAGAAATAAGGCACAGTGGTGTGCGCCTGTAGTCCCAGCTACTCGGGAGGCTGAGGCAGGAGAATCACTTGAGCCTGGGAGGCAGAGGTTGCAGTGAGCTGAGATGGGGACATTGCACTCCAGCCTGGGTGATGGGAGTGAAACTCTGTCAAACAAACAAACAAACAAACAAATAAATAAATGCAACACATGGAAACTATGGAAATGAAATGGGGATAGGGAAAACTTTTTAGCTGAAGCATTAGACTTCAGATGATTAGAGGAATATCTTTTTGTTTGAAGAAGTAAAAGGTGTTTACTTCAGCCTTGTTGGGAGGTTGGTGATGATAACTCAACCTTTACATCAAACACAAGTCCTTTTGTTGGGAAACACAGGCTTCAGGAAGTCTTGGAAGAGTGAAAAAAGGGAAGTTTATAACATATTTCAAGGGAATAAGAGTATTTCATTATTTCTAACACATTGTTTGTTTTCTCTTTGAACAGATAACATGCCTGGACATTTCCAGCAGAGGAGGTCTTGGTGTGTCTTCTAGTACTGACGGGACCATGAAAATCTGGCAGGCTTCCAATGGAGAACTCAGGGTAAAGGATTTGGATGTACTTTTAGGTCTTAAACACAAAGGGTGGTCTGAGAAGCCTTGGACTGGGACATGGAAGGAAGAATGGCCCATTCTAAAAATGTGGGACCACTCTGCATGTCAGTTGATCTCTTTTCTCCCATTTGTGTGTTTCTTTTTCTTTTTCTCTTTTTTTTTTTTTTTTTTTTTTTGAGACAGTCTTGCTGTGTTGCCCAGGCTGGAGTGCAGTGGTGTGATCTCAGCTCACTGCAACCTCCGCCTCCTGGGTTCAAGCGATTCTTGTGCCTCAGCCTCCCAAGTAGCTGAGATTACAGGCATGTGCCACCACACACATCTAATTTTTGTATTTTTAGTAGAGATGGGCTTTCGCCATGTCGGCCAGGCTGGTTTCCAACTCCTCACGTCAAGTGATCTGCCCACCTTGGCCTCCCAAAGTGCTGGGATTACAGGTGTGAGCCACCGCTCCTGGCCTCTCAGCTGTCAATTCGAGAACCTTTCTCAAGCTCAGTGATTTGGCAGAACAGAGTGGGGCTGGAGCAGTTAAGGAGCCAGACCAGTGAAGGTCTAAGTGGGTGTGCCCTTGTTTTTTAATTGCCTTCAGTGATCCATTTCCAAGACAGAATAGCTTGGCTGTTAGACTGAATCTATGGCTGAGCCTCCAACCTTTACAAAGGATTTTAAACAGAGATGAGTGAAAAAGTCCCCAAGCCACCTCAGCTCTTTAACTAGATCTAGAGATGGCTGTGAAAGCCATGGAATTCTTTTTTTTTTTTTTTAACCTAGGCTCTGGGGTGTTTTTACATGGAATTCAGTTCTATAACCTCTATAGCTGAATTCGAGGAAACACCTTTTAGAACACTGCCTGCTAGACAAATGAGCTAAGAGATCCTTTGGATATCCTTAGTTTTAAAACCCAGCATGTGGGTTTAGCATGTAGGTATTTCATATAAGGGACCAGAGTATGGGAGGTAAGAGAACATCAAGGGATGGACAAGAGAACTAGCATGGAATTTTCTTTTGTTTTTCCAGAGAGTATTGGAAGGACATGTGTTTGATGTGAATTGTTGCAGGTTTTTCCCATCAGGCCTTGTGGTCCTGAGTGGGGGAATGGATGCCCAGCTGAAGATATGGTCAGCTGAAGATGCTAGCTGCGTGGTGACCTTCAAAGGTCACAAAGGAGGTATGAAGTGTGCTTTCTCCAAAAGGCTTCTCTAATGATCCCCAGAAATGAATCACTGAAAAGGTAGAAACAAGCTAGTTTATTCACAAATACACAAATAATCCATCCAGCTGGGCATTTAGATGAGCTGCCATTTCCCTAAGGACCAGAAATTCCTTTGCCACACAGTCTTTTTATTGCTATCTTGAACTGTCTTACACAGTTGGTTTGATACCTAAAGCCTTTTCCAGCTGGGTGCAGTGGTGCATGCCTGTAATCCCAGCTTTAAAAGTTGTTTTCTGGCCGGGCGCGGTGGCTCACGCCTGTAATCCCAGCACTTTGGGAGGCCGAGGCGGGCGGATCACGAGGTCAGGAGATGGAGACCATCCCGGCTAAAACGGTGAAACCCCGTCTCTACTAAAAATACAAAAAATTAGCCGGGCGTAGTGGCGGGCGCCTGTAGTCCCAGCTACTTGGGAGGCTGAGGCAGGAGAATGGCGTGAACCCGGGAGGCGGAGCTTGCAGTGAGCCGAGATCCCGCCACTGCACTCCAACCTGGGCGACAGAGCGAGACTCCGTCTCAAAAAAAAAAAAAAAAAAAAAAAAAAAAAAAAAGTTGTTTTCTACAATTGATAAAGGAAAAAAAAAATCCTCTCCAGGAAATCGTATACTTGTGTGCTGGGAAATAGAGAGAGAGAGTGAGAGAAAAGGAGATGTGTCTGCATTTTCTCATATTAGTCTTTTTGGCTGAGGGAACAGTAAAAGCTGGGTGGCTAATGGCTGCATCATCAGACATTATGATAGAGCTTGATGATTCCCATAGATTTAAATTACAGTTCGTGTTTTAAAAATGGATTAGCCATATAACCAGTTAATATCAGATTATAGATATACAGTGGGAACATCTTCCCTTTGTAACTGAGTTTTGTGGGGAAAAAATATTATTTAGGTATGTTTTATCCTTAATTGGAGTATTAAAAAGGAGATAAGTATGCTATTCCTATTTTACAAGTTTGAATATTTTAAAAATATGTGATAATATCCCCAAATAATTCCTTGATCCTTCTTCTGGAACCATAATACATATTGCGTGTACCACTCATTTGGGAATTAATTTGTATTGCCCTCTACTTCTGGGATTTTTAACTCTGTGTTTTTGTGAACCTCAGTACATTGTAACTTGTGTGTGGAGATCAAGTTTTAAGATTTTTTTTTTTTTTTAAGATGGAGTCTCACTCTGTCGCCTAGGCCGGAGTCCAGTGGCATGATCTCAGCTCAGTGTAACCTCTGCTTCCCAAGTAGCTGGGACTACGGGTACACGCCCCACACCTGGCTAATTTTTGTATTTTTAGTAGAGATGGGGTTTCACCATATTGGTCAGGCTGGTCTCAAACTCTTGACCTCAGGGTGATCCACCAGCCTCGGCCTCCCAAAGTGCTGGGATAACAGGCATTAGCCACTGCGCCTTGCCTTTTTTTTTTTTTTTTTTTAGTTTCGCTTGTTGCCCAGTCTGGAGTGCAGTGATGCCAGCTCGGCTCACTGCAACCTCCCCATCCCAGGCTCATGCGATCCTTGTGCCTCAGCTTCTCAAGTAGCTGGGATCACAGGCGTGCACCACCACATCCAACTAATTTTTGTATTTTTTAGTAGAGATGGGGTTTCGCTGTGTTGGCTGGGCTGGTCTTAAACTGGCCTCAAGTGATCTGCCTACCTTGGCCTCCCAAAGTGCTGGGATTACAGGTATGAGCCACTGCGCCTGGCCCAAGTTTTAAGTTTTAATATTTCTTTATAACATTTTGCCAGATTACATGCTGATGTTTTAGCAAACACACACATTAACCTAAGTACATAAATGGTTTACTTCCATGATGTAAGAAAACGGGTACATTGAGAGGGAATAGAAACAATATTCAGAGCCTTCCTTACATTACTGAAGAACTCATCACCTCCTGAAGAACTGAGAGATTGAAGGAGTCAGAATGGCCTACAGATCTGGGGAGTCCAGGAGCCAAAGTAGTCTAGAGGAACAGTGCAAGCTTCACCTCCGATCTGGCCATCCCTCTGAAGGTGTGGGCACAGGAAAACATTTCAGTGGAACAAGTCATGACTCAGCATGTTGAACTTAATTAACAAGATGCATATTCAACATCAGTGCACATCCAGTTTATAAATACCTTTGGATCACTGCAATTATTGTTCCCTTTACAGAATCCTAAGTCTCCCAACATTCCTTAATTCTCCCTAAGAATATGTATGGACCTTTAGCTTAGAGTAAATAGTAGAATGTTATTTATTTATTTATTATTATTTTTTTTGAGATGGAGTCTCACTCTGTCTCCTAGGCTGGGGTGCAGTGGCGCGATCTTGGCTCACTGCAACCTCTGCCTCCTTGGTTCAAGCAATTCTCCTGCCGCAGCCTCCCCAGTAACTGGGATTACAGGCATGCGCCACCATGCCCGGCTAATTTTTTTTTGTATTTTTAGTAGAGACTGGGTTTCACCATATTGGCCAGGCTGGTCTCAAACTCCTGACCTTGTGATCGCCTGCCGTGGCCTCCCAAAGTGCCGGGATTACAGGCGTGAGCCACTGCGCCCGGCCTAGAATGTTAAATCAATTTAGATATAAGCTTTTATTCATGTAGTTGTTCCATTCTTTTGGCCTTGTGAGAAAGTCCTGGGGTAGAGTAGTGCCTTCTGCAGAGTATAACAGCCCTGACTTTTTTCTTGAGAAGGGAGTTTTTAGTAGATTGAACGGAATGATATACTTTAGAAGAAATGACATGAAGTCAGATCCAGGCTGGCCTCTTATCAGGTCACAAAGGCTCCTTTCCAGTTCGTTGAATAAAGTAGCCCCAGGTTTGGGGTTGCCCATTCTTCCACAGCGTGGCAAAAATCAGGATTGATCTCTGATAGCTTAACAGCGTATATATAGATAGATCTGATAGCTTAGCAACCTATAGATTGACCGATCATCACTGTCTCCAACCAAATGACTTCCAAGTTGCTTTGTGTGACTTAAAAAGAAAAAAAATCTTGGTCCGGGCACTGTGGCTCATGCCTGTAATCCTAGCACTTTGGGAGGCCGAGGCGGGTGGATCATCTGAGGTCAGGAGTTCAAGACCAGCCTGGCCAACATGGTGAAACCCAGTCTCTACTAAAAATACAAAAATGAGCTGGGTGTGGTGGCTGGAGCCTGTAATCCTAGCTACTTGGGAGTCTGAGGCAGGAGAATCGCTTGAACTCAGGAGGCAGAGGTTGCAGTGAGCTGAGATCACACCATTGCACTCCAGCCTGGCCAACAAATGAAACTCTGTCTTCAAAAAAAAAAAAAATCTCTTATGAGATTTTGAAGCATTTTGTTCAGAGCCATGAACCCATATAAAAAGAAACATTAAAAAAAATTGGCCGGGCGCAGCGTCTCACCCCTGTAATCCCAGTACTTTGGGAGGCCGAGGTGGGAGGATCACCTGAGGTCAGGAGTTCAAAACCAGCCTGGCAAACATGGTAAAACCCTGTCTCTACAAAAAATACAAAAATTAGCCAGGTGTAGTGGTGTGCGCCTGTAATCCCAGCTACTTGGAAAGCTGAGGCAGGAGAATCACTTGAACCTGGGAGGCAGAGGTTGCATTGAGCCAAGATTGCACTACTTCACTCCAGCCTGGGCAACAGAGCGAGACTCCGTCTCAAAAAAAAAAAAAGTATATATATATACATAAATTGGTCCCCCAATTGTGTGTGTGTGTGTATTTAAATATATATAACTAAAGGATTAGTTTGTTCTCTACTTAATTAACAAGCAGAGGTAAGGTTTCTGTGTATGCTGAATTTTTCAAGTGGAAAGGTAGACTAAAAGTAGTTTTGTGATTGTAACATATGAGTTCAATAAGTAATTCTAAAATGCACTTTAATCAGTTTGAAGTTAAATTGCCCAGGCCATTTAAGTAAGCTTGTGAAATTTGGGGATATACATTTATAATCCTAATTCTTTATAATAAGCATTACATCTTTCATAATCAGTGAAACATTGAGACCAAATTACACCCTATTTTAGTTAACTAGTTGGCTTTATTTTTATTTTTTTTCTCATAATGGTAGTGGAAATGCTTACATTTATAGAATAATTTTAAGAAACCAGGTTGCAGTATCAGCACTTGCGCCATTATTTTCCAAGTCTTAAATACTTTCTTAGAAATTGGCTATGCCGCCTCCAAGTAATAGGAGGTGCTTCAAGGCTTATTTTTTTTTCGGAGATCTGAGTCATAGCCATTAATTTTCCCATATACGCATGTATGTATATTGCTCCCTAGCAACATTAAAACAGCTTAATATGATAGAGAAACTAAATAAATACACTTGTTAAGAATATACACCTGGGAATATGAAATTTGCTTTATTTCTTACAAATATTTATTTCAGGAATAGTTTCATCTAATGTTATTCGTATTTCCAGACTTTGGCTGGGATGCTCGTATGTGATTCTGCTGAATCTTTTCTTGAAGGCAAATGCTTTTGTGTTCTGGTTTGTATGGTGAAGACTTGTATCTATTTGGTTTGATATCTAAAGCCTTTTCCAGCTGGGTGCAGTGGTGCATGTCTGTAATCCCAGCTATTTGGAAGGCAAAGGTAGGTAGATCTCTTGAGGCCAGGAGTTCAGGGCTGCAGTGTGATATAATTGTGCCTGTGAATAGCAATGGCACTCTAGTCTGGGCAATATAGTGAGATCCCATCTCAACAAAACAAAACAAAAATAACAGTAAAGCTTTTTGCAGCTTCTGGTAAGTCTTAGCTATGGCTGCTTCTCTTGGAAAGGCATTCTTGAAATTGCTGCTTTCTTTTTTTTTTTGAGACAGAATCTCACTCTGTTGCCCAGGCTGGTGTGCAGTGGCGTGATCTCAGCTCAGTGCAACCTCCGCCTCCTGGGTTCAAGTGATTCTTCTGCCTCAGCTTCCCAAGTAGCTGGGACTACAGGTACACGCCACCATGCCCGGCTAATTTTTGTATTTTTAGAAGAAACTGGGTTTCACCATATTGGCAAGGCTGGTCTCAAACTCCTGACCTTGTGATCCTCCCTCATTGGCCTCCCAAAGTGCTGGGATTACAGGCATGAGCTACCATGCCTAGCCAAAATTGCTACTTTGATAGCTTCTTTCTAAAGTCATTCTTCATAGGTTCCCACTTCTCTAGGCTCCTCTTTTCTTTATTCTTGTCGTGTAAGTGTTAAGAGACCCACACTAGATGCTGTTACATTATGAGTGACATTTTATTTACTAAAGAGAGGGTGATAATTTTCCACTCTGCTTTTATAGAAAAGGAAAACTATCTAGATTGCAGCTCTTTGGTGAGTATTACTTGAAATTTATACACAATTAATAATATAGTCAGCTTTCTAGCCACAGCTATAGCATCCCTGCCTTGAATACATACTTTTCAGAATTTTTTTTTTCCAAAAGCATGTATCACTTCCGTGGAACTCAGTAGCATTTTGAAATAGTGGTTGGAACTTCCAGTAGAGACATAAGGAGATCTTTGATTGCTTAATAAGAGCTGAAAGACCTTCCTTATGGTGATTCCTTAGGATTCTTAAAAGCTCTAAGATACTTTCTAATTAGATTTTTGCTGAATGTATTATGGAGTTGAAATAGAAATGTAGATTTTCCAAACTCAAAATACTTTAGTGACCAATTGCAAAATAAGAAACAAGATGGCAGCAAACCATATGGGCTTGATAGATCTGTTTTTGAAAGGAAGACTGAAAAATCTTTTCTCTAGTGGCCTATATCCAGTGGGTATATAGCTGTGAGAATTACATTTACCTAACAACCGTTGCCAGCTGTATAAATTGAATTTCGTTTAGTTTTGTTTGTTTGTTTGTTTTTTTGAGATTCCCTCTGTTACCCAGGCTGGAGTGTAGTGGTGCAATCTCCGCTCACTTCAACCTCTGCCTCTCGGGTTCAAGTGATTCTTGTGCCTCAGCCTCCCAAGTAGCTGGGATTACAGGCACCTGCCACCACACCTGGCTAATTTTTGTATTTTAGTAGAGACGGGTTTCGCTACGTTGGCCAGGCTGGTCTTGAACTCCTGGCCTCGAGTGATCTGCCCGCCTCAGACTCCCAAAGTGCTGGGATTACAGTTGTGAGGCACTGTACCTGGCCTGGATTTAGTTTTTATTTTAAATTGGATCTATTTGAAAAGTTACACTATAGTGATTAGGTCCCACCTGAGTTGCTTTTAATGATATTTTCTCACACAGACCCTAAATTGGCTACTTTTTAAAGCTGTGGCATTTTCTTAAACTCATCTTTTTCTAAACAAAGTGAAATTTCCAGTAAGACTTGAGAGACATGTGGTTAATCACATTGGATTGGCACTTGTACGTTACGCTGAGTTGCTGTAGAGTTTTTGTCAAGGTTTGTGTATCTGAAGTCATTTCATTTTAAGAGGAAAGAAAGTATGCTAAAGACCACTAATTAGCTATGTGACTTTTGGTCAGTTACTCTTAATTTATTGGGCACCTATACTAAGCATCGTTAAATGGGTTTTAATGAAACAAATACTAGCCCTGCCTGGATCACCATAGGGTTGCACTACCTCTCTACTCCATACAACTCTGTGTTTTTACACCTGTACCATTGTATTGTATGTCTTTTTTTTTCCAGATATATTCTGTTTGTGTATTTTTTCTCTTTTTTTTTTTCCATTGTAAGTCTTTATGTCTATAATCAACTCTATTTTTTTATGCTGTGTATTCCTGAGGCTAGGGACCATAGCAAATATTCAGATTATAGATAATAAAGGGCTTCAAAAACTATAAAATCGATAGGCATTTTGGACATTATAACACTCGATCTTAATTCCATCATCTTTTTTGGCAGGCAGTTCCCTGTTGAGGTATGGTATGAGGGCTGGGTAGATAAGAATGTTCAGCCACCTACTGGACTCCCCTGACACTACCCTGGCAAAAGTGGAGCACTGACTCATACCGCCTCACACTGCAGACAGGGGAGGTGGAAGTTCAGCTTCCCCCTTGGTCCTGTGTCATCTTCTTGGTGAAAGTAGGACACAGTTGCACCACCTGACTTGCATCACCTCATTGCCTTCTAGTGGCGTTATAAGCTTGGTTCCCTGCTGACTGACACCTGGGAAGGGGTGGTGGGCACCTCAGGGCACCTCTTTGTGCCTGTCACTGCCAGGTGGGGATGGAAACTGAGCTCACTGCTAGATCCTGTGACAGTACCCTACTTAACCTGGTCAACCCCACTGGGTAGGGGAATGGGAGTGCTGCTGCCGGCTTCCATGGGAGCGGGGTAGATGATCACCTCCTGTTCAGCCCCACTGAAACCATGGGGGAGGGGAAGTAACAGTTTTTCTGTTGATGTCTACTGGTATAGGGTGGATGTTGCCAAGATTTCTATTTTGTGAGCTACTTCTTTCTCAGTCTTTGGGCTAGGGGCAACAGACTTTACTGGGAGTTTTGTTTTGTTTTGTTTTTTAACTCTGTTCCTGTTAGCAGTTTTGTGTTGGAGGCTTCTGCAGTGTCCTGTCCAGGACATGTGGGAGGCAATAAGGAAATCCAGGAACTCATTGCTGTGTTGTTTTTTAAGTCCTGAGGTCCTTAAGTGGTCCACCACCTTCTTTCCATCATTCCAAGTCTTACTATGCTTGTGGTGTCAATGACTTTTCAGTTGTAAACAGAAGGACCTAGGAGCAATGGGACTACTCTTTCTTGGCCAAAACCAGAAGTCATGTCCTTTTTTCAAATGGGGAGGCTAACCCTTTTAATCAATTATCAGTGAAAGCAGCAGCAGCATATATGTAAATAAATATATATATATGTGTGTATATATATGTGTATATATATGTATATATGTGTATATATGTGTATATATGTATATATATGTGTGTATATATGTATATATATGTGTATATATGTATATATATGTGTATATATGTGTATATATGTGTGTATATATATATGTATATATATGTGTGTATATATATATGTGTATATATATGTGTGTATATATATATATGGGTCTTGCTCCACTGCCCAGGCTGGAGTGCAGTGGAGCAATCATGGCTTACTGTAGCCTTGAACTCCAGGGCTCAAGCAATCCTCCCACCTCAGCCTCCTGAGTAGCTGGGATTACAGGCACGAGCCACCATACCTAAATTAAATTTTTTGTACAGACAGAGTCATGCTGTGTCACCCAGGCTGGTCTTAAACTCCTGCGCTCAAGAGATTCTCCTGCCTCAGCCTCCCAAAGTGCTGGAATTACAGGTGTGTACCACTGCACCTGGCCAAGGCAGTGATTTTCAAACTGAATTAGCTTAGGTGTCAACTTTTTTTTCCTCCAAAGTTCTTGTTAAGGTGTCTACTTAATTTTTATTTTTTATTTATTTATTTATTTTTTGAGACGGAGTCTCCTCTGTTGAAGGCTGGAGTGCAGTGGCGTGATCTCGGGTCACTGCAACCTACGCCTCCCAGGTTCGAGCGATTCTCCTGCCTCAGCCTCCTGTTTAGCTGGGATTACAGGCATGTGTCACCACGCCTGGCTATTTTGTATTTTTAGTAAAGACAGGGTTTCATCATGTTAGCTAGGCTGGTCTTGAACTGCTGAGCTCAGGCAATCCACCTGCCTCGGCCTCCCAAAGTGCTGGGATTACAGGTGTGAGCCACCACGCCCGACCTCTTAATTTTTCTTTTTAAAAAAGAGTTTTGAAGACAAAATAAAAAACTTGAACATGATTTCTCTAGCACACTCCACTAAAAATTAAATCCAGTACTTGTTTTTCCATGCCTGTCTTTCACAGCTAGACTTTGATTCATTGGGAAGCTGGGACTCTATTTCTGTTTTTCTAGCACTTGAACATGGCCAGCATGTGGTACCTGTTCAGAACATGTTTGTGAAGGGATGGAGTCATTTATGCAGCTCCATCTTCTCTGCCCTTGTAGTTCCTTTACTCCATCCTCCATCTTAGGGAGTTTTTTTCTCTTGCTAGGTATCCTGGATACAGCCATCGTTGATCGGGGGAGGAATGTGGTGTCTGCTTCTCGAGATGGGACAGCACGACTTTGGGATTGTGGGCGCTCAGCCTGCTTGGGAGTCCTTGCAGATTGTGGTTCTTCTATCAATGGAGTGGCGGTGGGTGCTGCTGACAACTCCATAAACCTTGGCTCCCCTGAGCAGATGCCCAGTAAGTTGATAATGATATGTAGCATTGTTTTATTTTCTTAGGCCCCCTTCAGTGATTGCCTTAGTTTCTCCTTTTCTTCCTCATCCTTTTCTGCTCTGTGCCTGGTATTTCTGTTTTCACCATACGATTAATATTTACTCTGTACCTACTATGTTTCTATTACTTTGGAATCTACAAAGGAAGTATATGTCATAGCACTGCGTTTCAGTAAGTACAATCTAATGTAGAAGATGAGATAAATGCCTATAAAGCAGGGGTGTCCGATCTTTTGGCTTCCCTGGGCCACATTGGAAGACTTGTCTTGGGCCACACATAAAATACACAACATTGATGATAGCTGAGCTAAAAATAAATAAATCTCATAATATTTTAAGAAAGTTTATGAATTTGTGTTGGGCCTCATTCAGAGCCACCCTGGGCTGCAGGTTGGACAAGCTTGCTTTAAAACATTTAGAGAACAGTAACATTTGGCTGAAATAATTAGTGATTCTTTTTATTTATTTTATTCTTTTAGCGATAGAGTCCTGCTGTTTTGCCCAGGCTGGCATTGAACTCCTGGGCTCAAGTGATGCTCCCACCACAGCCTCCCTAATAGCTGGGACTACAGGCCTGCACCACCATGCCTGGCAAATTAGCAAGTCCTAATGCAAATATAATAGGTTTTCAGAGGGACGGAGTGTTCCCGGTTAGTATAGATAGGAAAGATGTCACAAAAGAAGTTGGCTTGAACCTTTAGAGGATAAGTTGAAGTTGAACAGACAGTAATTGTAAGGATAGGACAATGGGAGCTAGGGCAAGGGGTAGGTGTAGGGGCAGTTTGCATTATAGCTTGGACGTGAAACTAAGTGTTATATAAAAAGATATGTTTGACTGGGCTAGAAAGTTGAATTAAGAGGGGTAGTAGTAGGAAATGGGTTGAATAGCTGTGGTGAGAGACTAATAAAGGTCCTAATAAGGCAACTTTCCTTCTTATTTTCCCATAATAATAGTTGCATCTCTGTTCCATAGGACAATGTTTTTTCTACTGTTGTCTTAGCCCCTCACATTTTAAAAAATAGCCCTTATTTTTTAGGGCCATTTTAGGCTCACAGCAAAATTTAGCAGAAAGTACAGGGGACCAGGTGCAGTGGCTCACGCCTGTAATCCCAGCACTTTGGGAGGCCGAGGCGGGCGATTCACAAGGTCAGGAGCTCGAAACCAGTCTGGCCAACATAGTGAAACCCCATCTCTACTAAAAATACAAAAAATTAGTTGGGTGTGGTAGTGTGTGCATGTAATCCCAGCTACTCGGGAGGCTAAGGCAGGAGAATCGTGTGAACCTGGGAGGAGGAAGTTGCAGTGAGCTGAGATCGCTCCATTGCACTCCAGCCCAGGCGACAGTGTGAGACTCTGTCTCAAAAAAAAAAAAAAAAAAAAAAGTACAGGGAGTTCTTATATACCTTTTGCCTTACCCACTCACACATAGCCCTCCTCACTATCAATATCCCCCACCAGAGTGGTACATTTATTACAGCTGATGAACCTACGTGACACATTATTGTCACCCAAAGTTCAGAGTTTACATTAGGGCTTACTCTTGGTGTTATATATCCTATAGGGTCTGACAAGTGTACAGTGACATGTATTTACCATTGCAGTATCATACATAGTAGTTTCTTAGCCCTAATAATCCTCTGTACTCTGTTCAAGCAGTTCTCCTGCCTCTCACCCTCTCGAGTAGCTAGGACTCTAGGCATGCACCACTACACCTAGCTACTTTTTTTTATTTTTGTAGAGACAGGGTCTCACTATGTTGCCCAGGCTGGTGTTGAACTCATGGCCTCAAGTGATTCTCCCATCTTAGCCTCCCAAAGTGCTAGGATTACAAGCATGAGCCACAGCTCCTGGCCCTAAAGTAATTTAAATGAGAATATTTTTTCTTGTTTTCTGTAATTTTTCATTTCCCATTTACTCTTCAACCCATTCTAGGATGGTTTGTGCCCAAGTACTTGACTGAAATGGCTGTTGTTAAAGTCACCAGTGACCTTCCTTTTTTTTTTTTTTTTTTTGAGATGGAGTCTCACTCTGTTGCCCAGGCTGGAGTGCAGTGGTGCGATCTCTTGGCTCACTGCAGCCTCCACCTCCCAGGTTCAAGTGTTCGAGTGATTCTTGTGCCTCAGCCTCCCGAGTAGCTGGGATTACGGGTGCCCACCACCATGCCTGGCTAATTTTTGTATTTGTAGTACAGATGAGGTTTCACCATGTTGGCCAGGCTGGTCATGAACTTCTGGCCTCAAGTGATCCACCCTCCTAAGCCTCCCAAAGTGCTGGGCTTACAGGTGTGAGCTATGGGCCCCAGCCACCAGTGACCTTCTTCTTGCCTAATCCACCTTGTTTCTCTGTGCTTGTCTTTCTGAATTCAGTGGTATTTCACATAGTAAACCCTCTCCTCAAAAAACTTTTTTTTTTCATGGCTTCTGTGATACCACATAACACTGGTTTTCTTCCTATTTCATTGACTGCTACTTCTTAAAGGTCTCCTTTTATGAAACTCCTCTCTTCTACCTTTAAATACTAGAGGGCCCCACTATTAAGTTCTGGGCCCTCAGCTATAACTACAGTTTCTTCCTTTGTGACCTCATCTGTTCTATAGCTATCATTCCAAAGTTCATGTAAAGCATAGACCTTTCACCTGAGTTTCAGACTCTATTTCGATGTCTAATAAATAAGTTGAACTTACCTTGTCTAACAAGGAGTGTTTGATCCCTCCCCACCCCAAACTGTTTTTTTCCATCTCAGAAGATGGCACCGCTATCTACCCATTTGCTCAAGCCCAAAGCCTGAGATTCACTCACAGTCCACCCTCTCTTTCCTCATGTCCCACATCAGCAAAGTCTATCATCTCTAACTTCAAAGTGTTTCTAATTTTTCTATTTCTCCCTCTCCCTCCCCCTCTCTCCCTTCCTCCTGTCAACATCTGGTCCAAACTATCATCATCTATTGCCTGTACTACTGCCTAGACTATTCTCCTATAAGCCATTCTTTTCAGAGCAATCTTGTGGTCATTTAAGAAAATCATAAGTCATGTCACATTCCTGCTTAAAACTCTCCAGTGGCCTCCCTTTATAAATATGTTGAAATCCTAACCCCTTAGCATGGTTTACAACAAGCTCTTATACTTTCTGACCCCTACACTTCTCTCCAGTCTCATGTCATACCACCCTCTGCCATGTTCACTACATTTCAGCCACAGGCCTTCAGTTTCTTCTTTCAGTACAGTAGACTCTCCCAGTCTCCTGGACTTTGCCTTCTTTTTTTTAAATTGAGATGGAGTTTCCCTCTTTTGCCAGGCTGAATGCAGTGGCACGTTCTCGGCTCACTGCAACCTCCACCTCCTAGGTTCAAGCAATTCTCCCGCCTCAGCCTCCCGAGTAACTGGGATTACAGGCGTGCACTACCATGCCTGGCTATTTTTTGTATTTTTAGTAGAGATGGGGTTTTGCCATGTTGGCCAGGCTGGTCTTAAACTCTTCACCTCAAGTGATCTACCTGCCTTGGGCTCCCAAAATTCTGGGATTACAGGCGTGAGCCACCGCACCTGGCCTGACTTTGCCTTCTTTTTCCCTTGGTCTGGAATATACTCCTGCAGGTCTTCACATGACTGGTTTCTGTTCACCATTCAGGTCTTGCCATTCAGTTGAAAAGTGACTTCCACAGAGGCTTTTTAAAGTTAAAGTTTAGGCTGGACGTGGTAGCTCACGCCCATAATCCCAGCACTTTGGGAGGCTGAGGTGGGCGAATTGCTCGAGCCCAGGAGTTCAAGACTAGCCTGGGCAATATAGTGAGATCCCATCTCTATAAAAAATATTTTAAAAAATAAATAAAGTTGAAGTTTACATTTAAAGTTACCCTCCCCATCTAGCCTTCCACCATCTATTCACTTCTGATCTTATTTTCCTATTTTATTTTATTTTAGAACTCATCACTTTCTGAAAGTATCCTACTTGTTTATTTACCTATTCACTAGAATCCTTGAGAGTGAGGACCTTATCTGTTTGTTCATCACTATTTCCTTAGCAGTTAGAATAGTGTGTGATGTCATCACATAGAAGATGAGGGTAAAAAAAGAAAAAAAAAAAGAAAAAAAGAATAGTGCCTGATACATAGTAGGCCCTAAAGAAATATTTGGTGAGTAAATGAATAAATTTCATTTTCTCTAGGCTGTAAGATCTTTGAGGTCAGAGACTGTTTTTTGCAGTATTGTATCCCAACTCCTAGTGTGGTGTCTTATCATGGTACAAACAACTTAATATTTTAAAAGTTGGGCTTATTGCCAGCCATGGTGTGCACACCTGTAGTCCCAGCTACTCAGGAGGCTGAGGTGGGAGGATTGCTTGCACCCAGGGATTCAAGACTGTGGGGTGCTATGTTTGTGCTTGTGAATGGCCCCTGCACTCCAGCCTGGACAACATACTAGACTCTGTCTCAAAAAAAAGTACACACACACACAGGCACATTTTAAAAATAAATTTGGATTTACTGAGGTATCTTTTACATATGGTAAAAGTCACCCTTTTCCTTGGCTACTGGATACCATTAAAAAACATTTTTAAAATGTAAAAGTAAAGTCAGTATTTTTAATTGTATAGTTCTGTGAGTTTTGACAAATATATCCAGTTGTATAAATAATACCACAGTGAGATACAGAACATAATAAATGTTTTCTTTGTAATAAGTGAATCGCTAACAAAATCAGTAATCAACCATCAGTATTGGTGCTGTGTGGGCACTACCAGCTGATCAGCCTCACTGTTATTAACATAGTTTATTTGTCATGCAGGTGAACGGGAGGTTGGAACAGAGGCCAAAATGCTGCTCTTGGCCCGGGAAGATAAGAAACTTCAGTGCTTGGGACTACAGAGCAGGCAGCTGGCAAGTGGTTCCTATATGACCTTTGAACTCTGAGGCAACCTGGGTCACTCTGTGTCTTAGAAAGCTATTTTGGAAACATTTCTACTTGCTCCCTGTGTTCACTTTTGAGAAGGCTGCGTGAGTAAGAGGCAGTACAGTGTAATGATTAAGAGTTGTGGGATTTGGAATAAGGGCAACATTTAAATCCCAGTTCTTTTTTTTTTTTTTTTTTGGAGACAGAGTCTCACTCTGTCGCCCAGGTTGGATGGAGTGCAGTGGCGCAATCTCGGTTCAGCTCACTGCAACCTCCACCTCCTAGGTTCAAGTGATTCTCCTGCATCAGCCTCCTGAGTAGCTGGGATTACAAGCCCACCACCATGCCTGGCTAATTTTTGTATTTTCAGTAGAGACGGGGTTTCACCATGTTGGCCAGACTAGTCTCAAACTCCTGACTCAAGTGATCCGCCTGCCTCAATCTCCCAAAGTACTGGGAGTACAGATGTGAGCCACTGAGCCCAGCCCTGAATCCCAGTTCTTGTGCAGCACTTGCAGAGAATAAAAAAATAAAATAAATCTCAGTTCTTCTATTAATACTTAATGGTTCCAGCATTGGACAAGTTACTTAACCTCTCTGAGCCTGCTTCCTCATCACTAAACTGGTCATAATAGGGTATGTGATGAGGATTAAATGGTCTACTGTTTTGTGATCTTTGTTAAGTCACTTTCCCTCTCTGGACCTTAGTGTGCTATATGTAAAATGATGAAGTTGTATAGATTTTCTTTATGAGTCCTGCTACCTCTAAGGTAATGTGAAAAAATTCTGAGTAAAGAACTCACGCCCACTGGGCATAGTGGCTCATGCCTGTAATCCCAGCTTTCTGGGAGGCCCAGAAAGGGTGGATTGCTTGAGTCCAGGAGTTCGAGACTGGCCTGGGCAAAAAAACCCATCTCTATTAAAAATACAAAAAATTGGCTGGGCATGGTGGCATGCACCTGTAATCCCAGCTACAGCTACTTGGGAGGCTGAGGTGGGAATATCACCTTAGCCTGGAAGGTCGAGGCTGCAGTGAGCCAAGATTGCGCCACTGTACTCCAGCCTGGGGAACAAGAGTGAGACCCTGTCTCAAAAAAGGGACTCATGCATTCAGGACTCTTGATCAATTAATGAACAGACCATTAGTTGAAGTTTCTTCCTACATCCTCTGAATTTTTGCTGGGCAGATTATGTTCTTAACTAAATTCTCTCTTCCCAGAGATTAGATTTTTAAAATTTCCTTCTAGCTCCTGTGATCGTCATCCAGACAACTTTAGTGATTTGATTTGGCCACAGGGTTTGCTGTTTTCATTTCATCTTGTTACTCCACTGTGCTGGTGATATTTCCATTTTCAAAGTTTGTTTCAGGAACATTACCATTTTTGCTAATATCGCCTTTGTACTTGAGTTTCCATGCTGGCTTTTACTTCCAGAGGGAAATCAGGTTTTTTTGTTTGTTTATTTTGTTTTTTGCCTTTTCTTTTTAGTATGTTTGGGGAAGACATGATCAGTTTGAGCTAACAGTAAGGAGAAAATAAAACTATAATAATTTTTTTTTTCAGATTCATGGGGAGAATTGTGATTCTTTACATTGCTACTTTATTTAAGCCTGTTCATTTTCCTACAAAATACCCTCCTTCAAAAGGTTGAAGTGACATGGAGCAAAACTTACATGTGGGAATTGCAAGTGTTTCTCAGAAAGTTGTCATGAAAAAGGGGCAAAGAAGGAATTTTGGTGGTGAGGATCCTGTGAGACAGTGTGTTGAGTGGTAGTAGTTGGAAAACTGCTACTTCAGAGTATATTATATAACCTGCTCAAGTCCTTAGTCAACCCCAGGTTCCTGAAATCCTGGGAGTACTTCCTTCTCAGTTTTTGGTGAATGTGTAATTTACCATTTGAGAATAATTAAAGGGGGAAGGAAGAAAATATCTCAAAATATAGTGAAATTTTTCCTTTTTTGGTGCCTGTTTATTCTTGGAAACAAATTAATCTTTAAACAGCATTTTTGCCTCCTACTTGTTCCCAGGTGTTCCTCTTTATTGGCTCAGACGCTTTCAACTGCTGTACTTTTCTCTCTGGCTTCTTGCTATTGGCTGGGACTCAAGATGGAAACATTTATCAGCTGGATGTGAGGAGTCCAAGGTGAGTCACCATTCATTTACATGATGCAGGTCTTCTGCAGAGTGGAAATTTTTATTGGCTTTAACATTGATTTAGCCTAGCATATAGATAACTATTGAATCAAGGGTATATTTTTCCATTTACAAAGGTTTTCCAGTCTGAATTTTCTGATTTTTCTTATTATTCCTGGACTCATATTAAAATATATGATTCATACCATTATGATTGTCTGACTAATGATTGCTTTGAAAATTAAGCTTAAATATAAACTAACATTTCATTTAAATTGATTGTCTAGAACTTTTAATTTTAAAGAGCTCAGTAATTTTCTCTTACATTAGACCCTGGCTACCCTAAGATTGAAAGATTGAATTATTTTTATTTATTTATTTATTTTTTGAGATGGAGTCTCCCTCTGTCGCCCAGGCTGGAGTGCAGTGGTGCTATCTCGGCTTACTGCAACCTTTGCCTCCCGGGTTCAAGCAATTCTCCTGCCTCAGCCTCCTGAGTAGCTGGGATTACAGGTGCGCGCTACCACACCCAGCTAATTTTTGTATATTTAGTAGAGACAGGGTTTCATCATGTTGGTCAGGCTGATCTCGAATTCCTGACCTCGTGATCTGCCCGCCTCAGCCTCCGAAAGTGCTGGGATTACAGGCATGAGCCACTGTACCCAGCCCTGAATGATCATTTTTAGTTCAAGGAACCCAGCTCTGTTAGTTATGTAGTTTTGATCATGACCTTTCTAAACAGGCTTTTCTTTGGCCTTAAAGATATCCAAAGAGAATCACACAATCTCTCTGTTGCAGGATTTAACAATTTCTACAATTTTGTCCCTTCCTCCTTTGATTTCCTTCCTTTTTTCAACTGATATTTATTGAAAATAGCTTCTGTGGGCATCAGGCTTGGTTCAAGGCACTGAAAACCAGAAATAAAAGGTACAGGCTCTGGGCTGGGCGTGGTGGCTCACGCCTGTAACCCCAGCACTTTGGAAGGTCAAGGTGGGTGGATCACCTGAGGTCAGGAGTTCAAGACCAGCCTGGCCAACATGGCGAAACCCTGTCTCTACTAAAAATACAAAAATTAGCTGGGCATGGTGGCACGTACCTATAATCCCAGGTACTGGGGGGCTGAGGCAGGAGGATCGCTTGAACCTGGGAAGTGGAGGTTGCAGTGAGCTGAGATCGTGCCACTGGACTCCAGCCTGGGCAACAGAGCGAGACTCTATCTCAAAAAAAAAAAAAAAAAGATACAGACTCTGCCTTTGAGGCACCTGGAGTCTAATGGTAAAGATGGACAAGTAAAAGACTGTTGTGCAGTGTGATCACTTGTCTGACAGGGCTAGCTACAGAAATCTAAGGAAGCACCAAAAAGGAGAGGGAAGGAGGTGAGACTGCTTCTCCAAGGAAATGAGAAACATTGGGTCTTGTTGAGTAGGACGTTGCCAAGTAAAGAAGGAGGAAAAGAGCTGGCCTCGGTAGAATCCCATGTATAGAATCCCATATATGAAGGCATGTGAAGGGGATTGTTTTCAGGAGTCTATGACAGGTATGTTCCCTGCATATGAGGGCAGTGGTGAGAAGTGATACCAGCAGGAAAACAGGAGCTGCTCTGACCTTACCTGCCATTCTAAGTTTATTCCAAGAGTAGGGAATAAATTCCAGTAGATGGTGACTAGCTTATACCTTTTCTTCCATCATTTCAGTTACTTAATTTTTTTTTTTTTTTTTTTTTTTTTTTTTTTGCCTCCACAGAGATAGGGAATCTCTGATCACTATTATAAAGTCACACTTACATATATATTAAATTGATTCTCACTCAGCTTTCTCTTTCTTTTTTTTTTTTATTTTTTTTTGAGATGGAGTCTTGCTCTGTAGCCCAGGTTGGAGTGCAGTGGCGCGATCTCGGCTCACTGCAAGCTCCACCTCCCGGGTTCCCGCCATTCTCCTGCCTCAGCCTCTTTCTTTTTAGAGTCCTGACAATTTTAATATTTTACAACAAATCTTAATTCTTTTGTTAAGTGAAAAGTTTAACATACTGCTAATATTGTTATCTTCAACCCATGTCATACCTACCTTAAAAACTCAGGATTTGGGTGGTGACTTAGTTCATGTTTAGAGACATGGATGGTTTTTGAATTACCTTAATCTGCCAGTTAAGGTTCTTGCCAGGAAAGAAACCATAGAAATGTTTAATCTTTCTTCACATTTTATCCTGTTTGCTCTTATGTGGTTAGTACTATATGTTGAATATAGTCAAGTATTGCTTTTGAAGAAAGAAAGTAAAATTTCCCCTTTCTCTGAATCCTAGGGCTCCGGTACAAGTCATCCACAGATCAGGAGCACCAGTTCTATCCCTGCTAAGTGTCAGAGATGGATTCATTGCTAGCCAAGGTGGGTCCATGGGCCAATTGAGAGAGATGCTTCTCTGTAGTTCAGTTAATTAAACATAGTTTTAAGTGTCTGATCTATGGCTGGGTTGGGGCATGGTCCCCCATGATTCTTTGGCATATTGTACCTATCAATAGTGTTTATCACTCTACGTTGTGATTGTCTGTGTCCCCCTCCAGTTCAAACTCCTTGAGGGTGGTGACTGTGCCTTATTCATTGTGTTATTCCCAGAATTTAGCTCAATGCCCACCACTCTTCTGCCTTAAAGGAGCTCACAGTAAGGCAGACAGACGTGTGAACATTTGATTGCAGTCCAGTTTGATAAGGACTACATCAGAAGACTGCATGAGGAAATGAAGAATAGCTAATTCTAGAGGTAGGAGTGCTGTCAGCAAGGTCTTCGTGAACTACGTGACATGTAAACTGATAAAGATTTCACCCACTGGAGATGTAAAGAGGGACACTGAAAGCTGAAGCTATTGTATATGCAAAGTCATAGATGAGGCAAGCGGGGGCAAAAGAAGAAGAGCACTAGCATTTCCAGAGGGCCTGCTATGTAGTAGGTACTGTGTTTGATGCTTTACATACATATTCTAGGTAAAGCGAGTATCTTAATGTAGCCAGGACAAACTCTTTGGAATGGAGTTCAGGAATGGTGTTGGGGAAATGCCTGGAGCAAAGTGTACATTAAGGGACACTGGATCCTTGTAGGAATGATGTAGGTCAGGAGGACTGGACTATACAGCCTGGAGGGACTACCTACCTACCTTGAGCATTTCAGTATGTCAGTTAGGATGTTTTGGGCTGTTATTTACAGAACACCCAGCTGAATATGGTTTAAACAGTTAGGAAAGGATACTGCTTCACTTAACAAGAAGTCCAGAGTCCATTTCAGATTATATTAATTTAGTGATTTGAAAATAAAGTCAACCAAAGAGACTAAGGAAACTTGACAACTAAGTCAGTGGTATTCTGGATTGGATCCAGGATGTTAAGGAAAGACTGGTGAAAAAAAAAAAGCATGCTGTTTAGGTGGTAGTAGTGTACCAATATTGGCATCTTAGTTTTGACAAATGTAAGGTGATAACATTTGGGAAAACCTGAAACTGATTAAGGGCATATGGGAACCTTCTGTATTATCTTTAACTAACTTTTCTGTAAACCTAAAGTCACTCCAAAATATAATATTTTTTATATATTTTTTTAATTTAAAAAACAAGTAGGCTGGGCACAGTGGCTCATGCCTATAATCCCAGCATTTTGGGAGGCTGAGGCGGGAGGATCACTTGAGCCCAGGAGTTTGAGGTCAGCCTGGGCAACATAGGAGACCCTGTCTCTACAAAAAATAAAAATTAGCCAGGCATGGTGGTTCATTTCTGTGGTCCCAGCTACTCAGGAGGCTGAGGTGGGAGGATCACTTGAATCTAGGAGGTGAGGCTGCAGTGAGCCATGATTGTGCCACTGCATTTCACCCTGGGTGACAAAGCGAGACTCTGTCTCAAAAATAATTTTTTCAATTAAAAAAATATTAAAAAGATAGTGACTGGGCGTGGTGGCTCACACCTGTAATCCCAGCACTTTGGGAAGCTGAAGCGGGTGGATTCCTTGAGGTCAGGAATTTGAGACTACCCTGGCCAACATGGTGAAACGCTGTCTCTACTAAAAATACAGAAATTAGCTGGCATGGTGGCACACATCTATAGTCCCAACTACTCAGGAGGCTGAGGGAAGAGAATCACTTGAACCTGGGAGGTGGAGGATGCAGTAAGCTGAGAGCACGCCACTGCACTCCAGCCTGGGTGACAGAGTGAGACTCTGTCTCAAAAAAAAAAAAAAATTAAAAATTAAAAAATAAGGTTGGGTGTAGTGGCTCACGCCTGTAATCCCAGCACTTTGGGAGGCCAAGGCGGATAGATCACCTGAGGCCTTGATATTTCTCGCCTCCTCTGTCCTATCTACAGGCCATTTTACTGATTATTAACATCTCTGGCTGGGTGCAGTGGCTCACATCTGTTATCCCAGCACTTTGGGAGGTCAAGGCGGGTGGATCAGCTGAGGTCAGGAGTTTAAGACCAGCCTGGCCAACATAGCGAAACGCCATCTCTACTAAAAATACCAATATTAGCTAGGCATGGTGGTGTGCACCTGTAATCCCAGCTACTTGGGAGGCTGAGGCAGGAGAATCACTTGAACCTGGGAGGTGGAGGTTGCAGTGAGCCAAGATTGTACCACCGCACTCCAGCCTCAGCGACAGAGTGAGACTGCCTCGCAAAAAAAAAAAAAAATCTCTGTTGCAAGGTGATGTGTGGGTTATATGAGGAGTGTAGGTGGAGAAGAGCTGACTCATGGTTCTACTTTTTGTACTTTTTTTTTTTGGAATGTTAGAAATTTCTTTATTATTACTTATTCTTACTAAGCGCCAGCTTAATGCTGCAGAAAATTTCAAATCACTGTTGATAACCCACTTTCTTTTCTCCCACCCAAATTCTTGATCAAGAGTTTTTCAAGTAAAGACATGGTCTTCTCTCTTCTGTATAAAACTTTATGAAATAAAGGCAAAAGATTCGTATATCTTGCTGGAAAATGCTGCCCAGGGCTCTGGAGATGGTGGCTGCCCGTGCTCCTTTCACTGTCCAGGTCTTGAAAGACTCTAGCATGAACTGTCTCTTCACAAAACAAGTCCACCACTTGCAGCGTTTATCATTCTGAGGGTCGAAAACTTTCTCACAAAGTCTCAGCCCAGTCTCTTGCCTTAGATGTTGTAAATAGGCCCTCATCACTTCATCTTCCTGTTTGTTTGCAGGTTTGGGATACATTGCATTAAGTGGAAAACCAGGTTCTCCAGGAATGGGAAAGTTAGTGATTCCCAGTGTATACATTTCTTTCTCACCTTGGCTTTTGGAATTGCACTTCTGGAGTTCCTTCAGACACTCAGAAACGTAGACAGAGATACGTATATCAAGGTCCTGTCAGCTTCATTCTTAACTTCATAGTTTTTGAAGAAGACATTGGCCTTGAACTAATAGATGGCTTCATCCACAGTATCTGTATCTTTTGTCTCTCTGGGGGCAGGTCCTTTGAATTGACTTCTGATAGGTAACAGTGCCATGTTTCCAATGAGTTCAGTGTCAGGATCCATGAGAGAAGAGTGGTAAGCTGGCATCTTGGTGGCGCCCGGGTTTCAACCCAGAGGAGCAGATTTTTTGTACTTTTCTACTTTTCTGCTGGGAAGAAGGCAAGGCATAACTTCCAGTACTGATGTCTAAAGGCAAAGGGAGTAAGATTATAACTCTGTTTTCAGAGGACAAAACTAAGACCAATAAGAGAAAGTTATCAGAAACCACATTTCAGTTAATTATAAAGGAAAAGCTTTCTTTTCCTTAAGAAAGAAGCTGCCCTTAAGGTAGTGGGCACCCCTAACTCTGGAGATGGGCAAGTGTAGGCTGTTTGGCCGCTCTGCCATGTGCTGTAGAGGGAGTTCTGTACTGGTTTAGAAGTTGGATATAGGCCGGGCACAGTGGCTCACACCTGTAATCCCAGCACTTTCGGAGGCCGAGGCGGGCGGATCACGAGGTCAGGAGATCGAGACCATCCTGGCTAACATGGTGAAACCCCGTCTCTACTAAAAATACAAAAAATTAGCCGGGCATCATGGCGGGCGCCTGTAGTCCCAGCTACTTGGGAGGCTGAGGCAGGAGAATGGCGTGAACCTGGGAAGTGGAGCTTGCAGTGAGCCGAGATCGCGCCACTGCACTCCAGCTTGGGTGACAGAGCGAGACTCCGTCTCAAAAAAAAAAAAAAAAAAAGAAGTTGGATATAGATGATTTTTGAGGTCCTTTGGAACTCTTTGATTATTAGTGAGGAGATTTAAGTTGCCAGATGAAACAAAATAAAAAACAAAATTTTTTGATGCAAATTGCCAAACATATCTAAAAGTAGACAGAATGGCACGATGAACCTGTTATACCCATTATCCAACTTAAGCTATTATCAATATATTGCTAATCTTGTTTTACCCATTCCCTTGCATTCCTCAGTCTTCATATATTTTGAAATATATCATGAGCGTCTTATTTCATCTGTTAGCATTTCTATATGTCTCTCTAAAAGACAAGGATTCATTTTTGGAGAAGGTGATTTTTAATAGTAATGCAAAAAAGGGTAAGGTACTACCTCGTATATGCTGCTGCTTGAATGTAGATTAACAGATAAATTTGGAAAACAGTTGTTCAGATTTCCAAAAAGTTTGAAAAGGTTAATGTCTGCTGATTCTTTTCCAGGTCTTTATATATACAAAGTCATAATCTTAATACAGAAAAAACTTTATGCATAAAGACATTCGTTTATGCACATGCTGTCAACCATGTAAAATAGGCACAAAAAAATAGATCAAAATGTTAACAGTAATTGCCTTTGAATGGTAGATTAGGGGTGATTTTTGTACCTCTGCTTTGTTTAGTTTTAAAGTTTTGTTCAGTGAGCATGTACTACTTCTATTTATTTATGTTTTTATGTATTTATTTTGAGACAGAGTCTCACTCTGTCGCCCAGGCTGGAGTGCAGTGGCACCATCTTGGCTCACTGCAACCTCTGCTTCCCGGGTTCAAGCGATTCTCCTGCCTCAGCCTCCTGAGTATCTGGGATTACAGGCATGCACTACCATGCTCGGCTAATTTTTTTTGTATTTTTACTACTTTTATATTAACAAAAAGAAATCACCTTATTAAGCAGTTTATAGATCACCCCTATGATTCATTTGTTTCATTTGTCCATGCTCTTTTAAGAATTAGATACACTTTTACTTTCTTAGTGTAACTGTCCTCTTTCTCCTAGTGTATACAGTCAAATTTACAGATTGAGGAATAATCTGGGAACATTTTAATAGGGAATATCTACACAAATGTTTCTTTAAAAAATGTTAAAGACATTTTTTAGACATTCCCTATTAAATATAATCTAGGATAAGTTTATAAATACACACACACACACACACACACACCTGTGGTTGCTTGCTCTGTGCCTTTGGCAGGCATTGCTAATCAAAGACATCTCTTTTTCCCACAGAACTTGCACTTGCTCTTCAAATCCAGCCCAGCTCAGCATTCTAGGCAGCCACTATAGATCATCATAATTGGCCCACATAGGCCGGGTATGGTGGCTCACGCTTGTAATCCCAGCACCTTGGGAGGCTGAGGCAGGTGGATCACCTGAGGTCAGGAGTTTGAGACCAGCCTGGCCAACATGGTGAAACCCCGTCTCTACAAAAATTAGCCAGGCGTGGTGGTGGGCACCTGTAATCCCAGCTGCTTGGGAGGCTGAGGCAGGAGAATTGCTTGAACCTGGGAGGTGGAGGTTGCAGTTTGCTGAGATCATGCCATTGTACTCTAGCCTGGGCAAAAAGAACGAAACTCTGTCTCAAAAAACAAAAAAAAAGTTGGCCCACGTAATAAGATCTATTTGCCATTCTGGGTCTTTGGACCATCTTCTTTACACTAGTGATCTACAGAAGCAAATAAAAATACTGAGTTTTTAAACTCTGGATGCAGTTTTCTCTTAGTTATATGAATTTTCTTTCTGCCTTTCAGGTGATGGAAGCTGTTTTATTGTCCAGCAAGACTTAGACTATGTCACTGAGCTCACTGGGGCTGACTGTGACCCTGTGTACAAGGTACAGGCCTGAGACGACACCAGACCTGGGTGATTCTCATGAGAGATCTAGGGCTTTTATGAGACTGAATCCAGATACCTTGTGGTCATTAGGGATGATAAAATAGTGCTTATTGTATAAGCAGTGTGGTAGGATGGCAAGAAATCAAGAGCTTAACTCAGAAGTGATTTCTGGGCCAGGCATGGTGGCTCACGCCTGTAATCCCAGTACTTTGGGAGGCCGAGACAGGTGGATCACTTGAGGTCAGGAGTTCAAGACCAGCCTGGCCAGCATGGTGAAACCCCGTCTCTACTAAAAATACAAAAAAATTAGCTGGGCGTGGTGGTACATGCCTGTAGTTCCAGTTACTTGGGAGGCTGAGGCAGGAGAATCGCTTGAACCTGGGAGGTGGAGGCTGCAGTGAGCCTCAAGATCGTACCACTACACTCCAGCCTGGGCAACAGAGTGAGACTCCATCTCAAAAAAAAAAAAAAAAAAACAAGTGACTTCTGGCTGACAGCTGTAACCCCAGCACTTTTGGAGGCTGAAGCAGGTGGATCACTTGAGCCCAGGAGTTTGAAACCAGCCTAGGCAATAAGATGAGACCCCCGTCTCTACAAAAAATACAGAAAAATTAGCTGGGCATGGTGGCACACACACCTGTAGTCCCAGCTACTCATTTGGGAGGCCAAGATGGGACGATTGCTTGGGCCTGGGAAGTTGAGGCTGCAGTGAGCTGTGATTGTACCATTGCACTCTAGTCTGGGCAACAGAGTGAGACCCTGTCTCAAAAAAAAAAAAAAAAAGTGACTTCATCACTTACTAGCTCTAGAAACTTAAAAACTTACTTTACCTCACTAGTCTGTCAATTCATCTGTAAAGATAGTAATCTGAAAACTCTTTGTAAATACATTCTATAAATATTATTCATTCTTATTATTATTAAGACTTCTAGACTGATTTTTTCATTTGATTCAAATAGAGAAAAACAAAAGGGGAATATTTATTGACCAGACACTGTGCTGAACGTTTTATATACGTTATCTCATGTAATCTTTGTTACTATTTGTTGAGGTGTAGGTATTACTATTCCTATTTTTTCCTATAATTTAAAAAAAGTTGTACAATTAATATCTGTAAAAGTTCAAACAATACAGAATGATACAGATTTAAAAGTCTCCTTTACGACCTTTTTGGTTCCCTTTCTCTTTTCCAGAAGTAACTAGCATTAAAAGTTTGGCACATATTTTTCAAGACTATTTTCAGAGAATTTGCACACTTACATCTTTATGTATTAATGTAAATAATATACTTTTATCTTCAGTTTGTACGTAATTGAGACTATCTCTATATATTGCCCTGTGACTTTTTTTTAATTACCATCTTAGAGCTGTTTCCAGGTAAATGCATATAGATCTATTTCTTTCTTTCTTTCTTTCTTTTTTTTGAGATGGAGTTTCGCTCTTGTTGCCCAGGCTGGAGTGCAATGGCGCGATCTCAGCCCACAGCAACCTCCGCCTCCCAGGTTCAAGCGATTCTCCTGCCTCAGCCTCTCGAGCAGCTGGGATTACAGGCATGCGCCACCACACCCGGCTAATTTTGTATTTTTAGTAGAGACGAGGTTTCTCCATGTTGGTCAGGCTGGTCTTGAACTCCCGACTGAGGCCTGCCTCAGCCTCCCAAAGTGCTCGGATTACAGGCGTGAGCCACCGCGCCCAGCCATCTATTTCATTTTTAAAAATTCTTGCGTAGTGTTCCGGCCGGGCGTGGTGGCTCATGCCCAGCACTTTGGGAGGCGGAGGGGGTGCGAATCACGAGGTCAGGAGATTGAGACCATCCTGGCCAACACGGTGAAACCCTGTCTCTACTAACAATACAAAAAATTAGCCAGGCGTGGTGGTGGGTGTGTGTAGTCCCAGCTACTTGGGAGGCTGAGGCAGGAGAATGGCGTGAACCCGGGAGGCGGAGCTTGCAGTGAGCCAAGATGGCGTCACTGCACTCCAGCCTGAGCGACGGAGCAAGAGTCTGTCTCAAAAAACAAACAAACAAAATTCTTGTGTAGTGTTCCATATTTTGAATCAACACATTTCCATTGTACAAATGAGGCAACTGGGGCCTGGGGGGTTGAGAAAGTTGCCCTAGGTCATGCAGCTAGTTGGTAGTAAAGCTGAGACTAACTCCAGAATTCATGCTGTTTTCCTTGAGGAGTTGATGAAATCCTCCTCAGAAAAAAAGACACATATTCAGAACATTTTTGCATCCAATTTTATAAGGTTCAAGAATAGTCAAGCCCATCTCTGAACCATCTCCTCCCTAGAGGCAGACCATCTGTGCTAAACCTGAACAATACTAATGGGTTTGCTTTCCACTTGGGCCAATTAGTTTCTCTGTTATATAGTCATGGTGCATCCCAACCATTGGTGATTGGGATGCATCCATCACTATGGGCCAACAATTTTTGTAAGCACATAATTATGGATGTAATTCTGTTGCCTTCATAAAGCCTTCTCAGACTCCATGGGACTAGTGTGTGTCAATCATAAGCCTCCATCTTTTTGAAATGGAAGAATCCCAGGCTTCCTTTGAACTGTGAATTCTTGTGTTTTAGGTAGCCACATGGGAGAAGCAGATCTACACATGCTGTCGAGACGGTCTTGTACGACGCTACCAGCTTTCTGACCTCTGACTTCTTGGAAAGAGCAGTCCCGGTTAGTGAAAAGGTTTGACCCTGATCAACAATGAGCAGAAACATCATCAGTCCTTCCCAAGGACCATGGCGTTTAATGTCTTGGGCACCCCTTGGAAATCACAGAAAGTCAGCTGTACTGGCCGTGTGGAACTCTCATCCCAAGACCTACTTTGAACTGAGTAAGAAGGTCATTGTGCCCACTGCATTTGTTCCAACTTCTCCTTGTATAAACTCACCCCAGCAACACAGGGCAAGGATATAGATGCTTTTAGTTTGTTCTTAAACCAGTTTTGTTAAATGTTTACAAGGACCTCAGTACTAAAGCCTGTTCTCTGGAGGAAATAAAGAAAATATGTTTGGAGGTGCCTGAATATGAAGAACTTTGTTAAATACTCTTACTCCAGCAAAAAGTTGGTCAGGACGATGGAATTCCTTCCTCAGCACTCCCTGTTGCCTGGCCATAGAGAAGGCCTGCTTGGCAGTAGCAATAAATGTCCTGTAAGCTGCCACCTGGGAGAGATTCTTATGCAGGTGGTAACCAACTGTCCCAGTTTGCTTGGAACTAAGGGGTTTTCTGTGACTTGAAACTTTCAATGCCAAAACTGGGGCAGTCTCAAACCAACATGATTGGTCAGCCTATATGTAGGTGAGGAAACTGAATCATAAGCATTGTAAAGGCATTGGCTGTCAAAGTGTGGTTCTTAGAACAGCAGCATCAGTATCACCTGGGAACTTGACAGGAAATAGAAATTGTTAGGCCCAATCCTAGACCTAAATCAGAAATTCTACGGGTGCAGCCAGCAGTCTGTATTTTAACAAGCATTCCAGGTGATTCTGATGTATGCTAAAGCTTGAGAGCCACTGATCTAGAGGAAGAGATGGTGGAGGGCACTTTAGTCACAGCTGGAACCCAGGGCTCAAAATGACAAGATCGGTCTGTAGGAGATGAGGCCACAGAGGTTGGCAGAGCCCAAATAGTGAAGGAGCACGAATGTTAGCTAAGGAGCTCAGACTTTACGTGGTTGGCAGTGGGGAACCACTGAAGGGTTTTAAGCAAGAGAATGGCATGGTCACCTCCTTTTTTCTCTAAACATAAAAATGGAATCATAATGTATGTATTCCATGGCTTATTTTCACTTAATGTCTCTGAGATTTTCCATCTCAGTACATGTAGACGTTCCTCATTCTTTTTTAACAATGTCCAGAATATGGATACCATATTATTTATATTTTTGAGATTATTAGAGAAAAGTTTCTTGAAAGATGTAACACTTGAGCTGGGACATGCAGATTAAGATTTTTATTTATTTAACGGAGGAAGGTCATTTCTGGCTGGGGTAATAATGTTGTTGACAGAGTTCTTTTTTTTGTTTTTTTTGAGACGGAGTCTCGCTCTGTCACCCAGACTGGTGCGATCTTGGCTCACTGCAACCTCCACCTCTCAGGTTCAAACGATTCTCCTGCCTCAGCCTCCCTAGTAGCTGGGACTGCAGGCATGCACCACCATGCCCGGCTAATATTTTTTTTGTATTTTTATTAGAGATGGGGTTTCACCATGTTGGCCAGGCTGGTCTCGAACTCCTGACCTTGTGATCCACCTGCCTTGGCCTCCCAAAGTGCTGGGATTACAGGTGTGAGCCACCGTACCCGGCCGGCCACCAGAGTTTTTAAAGGCGTATTCTCATGTAAATTTTTTTTTTTTAAAGACAGGGTCTTGCTCTGTTGCCCAGGCTGGAATGCGTTGGCATGATTACAGCTTCTGCCTTAACCTCCTGGGCTCAAGCAATCCTCCCACTTCAGCCTCCCAAGTAGCTGAAACCATGGGTGCACACCACCACACTCGGCTAATTTTTTAAATTTTTTGTAGAGACAGAGTCTCACCATGTTGCCCAGGCTGGTCTCAAACTCCTGAACTCAAGTATTCCTCCCACCTTGGCCTCTCATAGTGCTGGCATTACAGGCATGAGCCACGGCACTCAACCAGGAACTTTGTCTTAACTTTAAATCCCATTTTTTTCTACAACACCCTGTTACTTAAACCAAAGTGTAAAAAGAAAATACTGCAATTCATTTAATATCTACTCTGTTCTAGATACTATATTTATATATCTAATTCTTACAAGACTCAAAAAGCGAATGTTATTATTTGTTTTATTCCGATAAGGAAACTGAGACTCAATACATTAAATACCAGAGGCTTCATTTGGACCTTGGACAGCACCTTCTGCTGCACTGTGTAATCACAGGCAGGTAGCAAGAGACTTTTGTGACTAGAGCAATTTCATTTCAAGGTGCAGTTTGTGACAGGGTCAGGTAGACCAGAATGGACATATTCCAGAACTTAGAAACATTAAATCCTAGGAGCTCCAGGTGGAACATCTAAGAAGTCAGATTAAGAAAACAGGATGAGGCTGGGCATGGTGGCTCACGCCTATAATCCCAGCACTTTGGGAGGCCAAGACGGGTGGATCACCTGAGGTCAGGAGTTCGAGACCAGCCTGACCAACATGGAGAAACCCCGTCTCTACTAAAAATACAGAATTAGCCGGGCATGATGGCGCATGTCTGTAATCCCAGCTACTTGGGAGGCTGAGGCAGGAGAATCACTTGATCCCGGGAGGCAGAGGTTGTGGTGGGCTGAGATTGCGCCATTGCGCTCCAGCCTGGGCAACAAGAGTGAAACTCCGTCTCAAAAAAAAAAAAAAAGAAAACAGGATGAAATGGGCCGGGCGCAGTGGCTCACGCCTGTAATCCCAGCACTTTGGGAGGCCGAGGCGGGCGGATCACAAGGTAAGGAGATTGAGACCATCCTGGCTAACACAGTGAAACCCTGTCTACAAAAAATACAAAAAAATTTAGCCAGGCATGGTGGCAGGCACCTATAGTCCCAGCTACTTGGGAGGCTGAGGCAGGAGAATGGTGTGAACCTGGCAGGCAGAGCTTGCAGTAAGCTGAGATCGGGCCACAGCACTCCAGCCTGGGCGACAGAGCGAGGCTCTATCTCAAGAAAAAAAAAAAGAAAAAAAGAAAACAGGAAGAAATGTTGTCATTTATTTGTAGAATCTGAAACATTTGAACTCATAGAAGCAGTGAGTGGAAGAACCAGCGTGGTGGCTCACGCCTGTAATCCCAGCACTTTGGGAGGCTGGGGTGGGTGGATCGCTGGAGCCCAGGAATTGGAGACCAGCCTGCACAACATGAGGAAACTCTGTCTCTACTAAAAATACAAAACTTAGCCAGGTGTGGTGGTGGGCACCTGTAATACCAGCTACTAAGGAGACTGAGGCAGGAGAATTGCTTGAACCCAGGAGGTGGAGGGTGTAGTGAGCTGAGATTGCACCACTGCACTCCAGCTTGGGCAACAGAGCGAGACTCTCTCTCAAAAAAGAAAAAAAAAATATGTATATATATATGTATATATATATATTTATATATGTAGAAGCAGTGAGTAGAATGGTGGTTACAGAGACTCGGGGAGGAGGAATGGGGAAATGATGGTCATAGGGTGCAAAGTCTCAGGAGGAATATATTGTGTTTTGAGATCTATTGCATAGCATGGTAGATTGCTAAGAGTAAATTTCAAATGTTCTCAACCCAAAAAATGTTAAGCATTTGAGGTGATGGATATGTTAACTGGCTTCATTTAATTATTCCATATTGTATTTATAAGTCACAATAGGACTTTGTGGCCCATAATTATAAACAAGTATAAATTGTCCATTTACAATTAAAAATCAATTAAAAGAAAAGAGGATAAGGAGGGATATGGCTGAGTACACACAACACGTGAATGTCTGTGAGTTCTCATTCCAGGGCTCACTCTTCTACATTGCCACCACATTCGTCCGCTCCTTTTCATACGTCTCCAGAGTCGATGTCCTGGTTGTGATATATGCAGTGACCCTTGACAGCTGCTCTGAAATCCAGACCCAAACAGAAGGAAAGGAGACCAGCTCTCAGGTGCTCCATAGCCTTGTCCACTGTGAAAGGAAGGAGCCCCTGCTTTTAGCAGACAAAGCTTTTTCTTTTTTTTCTTTAGGATTAAGGAGTGCATTCTGGGTAAGGAACGGTAGGACACCGACAGCTCTACAGACTCAGTGAACTTCTGTGCTAGATGGTGTTTCTTGGCTTTGGGATGCCCCCTTGTGACTTCTTATGAGAAATAACCTTTCTCTCCAGACCTGAAAAGCTGGCAGCAGCAGCAGCAGCTATTCAGCATGTACTTGGTACCAGGCACAGGCCTCACAATAGGTAGATTTCTTTTCTAAACAATACTCTTTGTGCATATACTTTATGTTCTTTTTCTATTTTAACTTTTATTTTGCCAATAACCTTAAACTTGCAGAAAAATTGCAAAAATAGTACAAAGGATAGGAAACAAACATGAGAAATATTTAAAAATAATAAAAAGAATAAAAAAGAATAGCATCAAGGATTTCAGTACACCCTCACCCGAATCTCCCAGTTGTTGAATTTTTTTTTTTTTTGAGACAGAGTCTCACTCTGTCGCCCAGGCTGGAGTGAAGTGGTGCGATCTTGGCTCACTGCAACCTCTGCCTCCCGGGTTCAAGCAATTCTCCTGCCCAGTCTCCTGAGTAGCTGGGATTACAAGGGTGCACCACCACACCTGGCTGATTTTTGTATTTTTAATAGAGACAGGGTTTCACCGTGTTGGCCAGGTTGGTCTCAAACTCCTGACGTCAAATGATCCGCCCGCCTCAGACTCCCAAAGTGCTGGGATGACAGGCGTGAGCCACCGTGCCCAGCCCAGTTGTCAACTTTTTATTATGTTTGCTTTATCACTCTCTTTCTGTATATATGTACACAGGTTATATATGCTATATTTTTTCTGACTCATTTGAGAGTAATATGTAAATGTTACATTCTATTACTTTATTACCATTTGTGATGGTAAATTTTATGTGTCAGCTTGACTGGCCATGGTGCCCAGATGGTTGGTCAATTTTCTGGATGTTTCTTTCAAGGTATTTTTTTTTTTATGAGATGAACATTTAAAATCAGTGAATTTTGGGGCCAGGCAAGCTACTCAAGTCCAGCTACTCAAGAGGCTGAAGTAGGAGGATCGATTGGGCCCAGAAGGTTGAGGCTTCAGTGAGCCATGATCATACCACTGAGCTCCAGCCTAGGCAACAGAGCAATACCATGTCTCAAAAAATAAATGAATAAACTAAAATCAGGGGATTTTGAGTAAAGCAGATTACCCTCCATAGTGTGATAGTGTGAGTCGGCCACATCCAATCAGTTGAAGACCTTAATAGAACAAAGACTGTTGTCCCCCAAGCAAGAAGTTCTGTCAACAGACTGCCTTTGGACTCAGACTGCAGTTCTTCCCTGAGTCTCCAGACCATCAGCCTACTCTATCAGTTTCTGGATTTGCCAAGCTTCCTGTGAGCCAATTCCTTAAATGTCTCTCTCTCTTTCTATGTATATATACACATACACACACGTATCTATATGAAAACAGAACGTACACATCTTATTTGTCCGCCTTCTCTGGAGAGACCTGACATATGTCATTGTATGGATATACCGCATTTTGTTTATCCATTCGTCAGTTGATGAATGGGCTGACATTTGGGCTGTTTCCACTTTTTAGCTACTATGAAATACACTGCTAGCAGCATTCATGTGCAAGTTCTTGCGTTAACATATGCCTTCAGTTCTATTTGGTATATACCTAACAGTGGAATTGCTGGGTCATATGGTACCTATATTTAACTTTTTGAGGGGCTGCCAACTGTTTTCTAAAGTGGCTGTAACCATTTTACATCCTCTCTAGCAGTGTACGAGGGTTCTCATTTTTCCATGTCCTTGTTTTTTATTTATTTTATTTTTTTCTGAGACGGAGTTTCGCTCTTGTTGCCCAGGCTGGAGTGCAATGGCGTGATCTTGGCTCACTGCAATCTCCACCTCCTGGGTTCAGGCGATTCTCCTGCCTCAGCCTCCTGAGTAGCTGGGATTACAGGCATGTGCCACGACGCCTGGCTAATTTTTGCATTTTTAGTAGAGACAGGGTTTCACCATGTTAGTGAAGTGAACTCCTGACCTCAGGTGATCCACCTGCCCCAGCCTCCCAAAGTGCTGGAATTACAGGCGTGAGCCACCGCGCCCAGCCATGTCCTTGTTTTTTTCCATTTTTAAAGTTATAGTCTGTTGATGTTAAGGTGGTTAAAATGGTGTCTTCCAAGTTTCTCCACAGAAAATTAATAAGCATTTTGTGGGGAGCTACTTTGAAACTATATAAATATCCTGTTCCCATGAAACTTGCGTCAACTAGTTTTAGCATTCTTAGATGATTCTTGTCTGAATGAGTTATTCCCATGCTATTAATAATTGCCAAAGGGTGACTTTCTTATTCCATCATTCTTTCTATATTTATAATTAGCATTCTACCATAAGTTAGAACTTTCCCTTCTACCCCATTTATTTATTTAGTCATTTGCTTGTTTGTTCATTCGTAGATATATCAGTGTGGACTACTCATGGATTCATATTCTATGATTACAACTCATTCTTACTTTTATTTACTTTGATGTTAAAATTGTTCCAGTTTGGCCAGTGGACACTCCTTCAAGCTGGATCCTGTGTCCTTTTGACACGTTCCCATCATTCTCTGAGCACTTCCATATTTTCTGGTACCACAAGATGTTCCAGCCTCACCTTGTATTTTTCCAGCCCCATCCCTAGAACCAGTCACTTGTGTATGCGGCCTTGGTTCCATTTAGTAGATAATGGTATTCAGAAACCAAGATCCGGGCGCTAGTATACTTTGTTACTGGAGTGTTCCTGCTTCGGGGCCCTATCGGGGACAGTACATGAATGGCCCTTTCCACATCCATCGTTCTATAGTAAAAAGCATGAGTTCACACTGATGTCTCCAATTCCAGCCCACCTCCACAGGTTTTATTTTAGCCTTCCACGTATATACTTCCTTTCTTCAACAGTGAGGAACTTGCCTCTCATAATCCTCAATACCTCTCATAATCCACAGTACCTCTGTGAGTAACCAACCTGCCAGTACACAGCCCATCTCCTGTTTTACCCTCCCCCTGCACACATGGTTGTCACTCAGATGAGGTCTTCCTCTCTCCCTCCACCTCAGCCAGGCCTAGGCTGAGCAAGGCCTTCTCCCAACCCTCTGGATTTTCATTTTAATACATTTCTTTTCTAGTGGTAAGAGTGAAACAAATGACCAGCAAACGTGAAAAGATGCTCAACTTCATTAGTAATTAAACAAATGTAAATTAAAATTCAAAAGAAGGCTTGGTAATGCAAAAAAGGGTAATTCCATATTTTCATTTTGTAAATAGGAAAATGTGGCTAAGAAATAATTGTTTAAGGTCAGAAAACTAGTAGCTAACAGATAGGATTTGAACCTGGTCTTTGAGTCTACTGCCTCAAGGCTGAAGGAACATCTTCTATATGCTACATGCTTTCCTATAACTTTTATTATTATTATTCTAATTTTTTTGTAGACACGGGGTCTGGCTATGGTGCCCAGGATGGTCTTGAACTCCTGGCCTCAGCAACCCTCTGCCTCTGCCTCCCAAAATGCTAGGATTACAAGTGTCTGAAGTAGGAGGATCCATTGGGCCCACCTGGCCACCTATAACTTTATGTATTTTCCTACCAACCCTGTGTTACAGTTGATTGTTAATAATCCCATTTATGCGAACAAACTTAGGCTTAGGGCCATTAAGCAAGCTTGCTTCAAGTCATACAACTGGCAGGTGAGCTCGGCAGCATGAAGATTTGGTCACTTTCTGACCACTCAATTTACCCAAAACTTGCAGTTTATTTTTTAGCTCTTTAATTGACTTTTCTGTCCTTTGGCCCACCTCCAAAAGCGTGTTTTACTTACTCCAAATACACCTAAAGTAAGCCTTTTGCCTCAAATAATATGAAAGAGCTACTTCAAGGCAGGCCATCCTCTGTAACAGTGTGGTTTCAGAGACCCAGGAAAGTTCTTCAATATCTTAGGCACTAGTATCTGAAATGCCATCAGGGAACCAAGCTTTTCCTTCTGCAGTTAGAGATGAGATTTTTTTTGTTTGTTTTTTTAATTCAAGTAAGTTTATTTCTTTTTTTTTTTTTAAATGATTTAACTTTTATTCTGAAAAGCCTCCTGAATATTTATATCCCTAGAACGATACATAAGAATTGATCATCTTTCCTTATGGGAGGACTTTTTTCTTTTTTCTTTTTTTTTTTTTTTCTTTTTAATTTTATTTTTTTTTTAATTGATCATTCTTGGGTGTTTCTCACAGAGGGGGATTTGGCAGGGTCATAGGACACTAGTGGAGGGAAGGTCAGCAGACAAACAAGTGAACAAAGGTCTCTGGTTTTCCTAGGCAGAGTGTTTGTGTCCCTGGGTACTTGAGATTAGGGAGTGGTGATGACTCTTAAGGAGCATGCTGCCTTCAAGCATCTGTTTAACAAAGCACATCTTGCACCGCCCTTAATCCATTTAACCCTGAGTGGACACAGCACATGTTTCAGAGAGCACAGGGTTGGGGGTAAGGTCATAGATCAACAAGATCCCAAGGCAGAAGAATTTTTCTTAGTACAGAACAAAATGAAAATTCTCCCATGTCTACTTCTTTCTACACAGACACGGCAACCATCCGATTTCTCAATCTTTTCCCCACCTTGCCCCCTTTTCTATTCCAGAAAACCGCCATCGTCATCATGGCCCATTCTCAATGAGCTGTTGGGTACACCTCCCAGACGGGGTGGTGGCCGGGCAGAGGGGCTCCTCACTTCCCAGTAGGGGCAGCCGGGCAGAGGCGCCCCTCAGCTCCCGGACCGGGTGGCTGGCCAGGCGGGGGGCTGACCCCCCAACCTCCCTCCCAGACGGGGCGGCTGGCCGGGTGGGGGGCTGACCCCCCCACCTCCCTCCCGGACGGAGCGGCTGGCCGGGCAGGGGGCTGAGCCCCCCACCTCCCTCCTGGATGGGGCGGCTGGCCGGGCAGAGTGGCTCCTCACTTCCCAGTAGGGGCGGCCGGGCAGAGGCGCCCCTCACCTCCCGGACGGGGCGGCTGGCCGGGCAGGGGGCTGACCCCCCCACCTCCCTCCCGGACGGGGCGGCTGGCCGGGCGGGGGGCTGACTCCCCCACCTCCCTCCCGGACGGGGCAGCTGGCCGGGCAGAGGGGCTCCTCACTTCCCAGTAGGGGCGGCCGGGCAGAGGCGCCCCTCACCTCCCGGACGGGGCGGCTGGCCGGGCGGGGGGCTGACCCCCCCACCTCCCTCCCAGATGGGGCAGCTGGCTGGGCAGAGGGGCTCCTGGCTGGGCAGAGGGGCTCCTCACTTCCCAGTAGGGGCGGCCGGGCAGAGGCGCCCCTCACCTCCCAGACGGGGCGGCTGGCCGGGCGGGGGGCAGAGCCCCCCACCTCCCTCCCGGACGGGGCGGCTGGCCGGGTGGGGGGCTGACCCCCACCTCCCTCCCGGACGGGGTGGCTGCCGGGCGGAGACGCTCCTCACTTCCCAGACGGGGTGGCAGCCAGGCGGAGGGGCTCCTCACTTCTCAGACGGGGCGGTTGCCAGGCGGAGGGTCTCCTCACTTCTCAGACGGGGCGGCCGGGCAGAGACGCTCCTCACCTCCCAGACGGGGTCGCGGCCGGGCCGAGGCGCTCCTCACATCCCAGATGAGGCGGCGGGGCAGAGGCGCTCTCCACATCTCAGACGATGGGCTGCCGGGCAGAGACGCTCCTCACTTCCTAGATGGGATGGCGGCCGGGACGAGGTGCTCCTCACTTCCCAGGTGGGATGGCGGCTGGGCAGAGACGCTCCTCACTTTCCAGACTCGGCAGCCAGGCAGAGGGGCTCCTCACATCCCAGACGATGGGCAGCCAGGCAGAGACGCTCCTCACTTCCCAGATGGGGTGGCGGCCGGGCAGAGGCTGCAATCTCCGCACTTTGGGGGGCCAAGGCAGGCGGCTGGGAGGTGGAGGCCGTAGCGAGCCGAGATCATGCCACTGCACTCCAGCCTGGGCACCATTGAGCACTGAGTGAATGAGACTCCGTCTGCAATCCCGGCACCTCGGGAGGCCGAGGCTGGCGGAACACTCGCGGCTAGGAGCTGGAGACCAGTCCGGCCAACACAGCGAAACCCTGTCCCCACCAAAAAAACACGAAAACCAGTCAGGCGTGGCGGCGCGCGCCTGCAATCGCAGGCACTCGGCAGGCTGAGGCAGGAGAATCAGGCAGGGAGGCTGCAGCGAGCCGAGATGGCAGCAGTACAGTCCAGCTTTGGCCCGGCATGAGAGGGAGACCGTGGAAAGGAGAGGGAGAGGGAGACGGGAGAGGGAGAGGGAGAGGGAGAGGGAGACGGGAGAGGGAGAGGGAGACGGGAGAGGGAGAGCGAGGAGAGATGAGATTTTAAACACAGCACTCCTTTTTCCCTATATGAGTGATGTGAGATTCTTTTTTTTTTTTTTTTAATTGAGACGGAGTCTCGCTCTGTTGCCCAGGCTGGAGTGTAATGGCATGATCTCAGCTCACGGCAGCCTCTGCCTCCTGGGTTCAAGTGATTTCTCCCTACCTCAGCCTCTCGAGTAGCTGAGATTACAGGCCCCTGCCACCACACCTGTTTAATTTTTGTATTTTTTTCTGTAGAGACGGGGTTTCACCATGTTGGCCAGGCTGGTCTCGAACTCCTGAACTCAGGTGATCCACCAGCCTTGGCCTCCCAAAGTGCAGGGATTACAAGTGAGCCACTGCGCCCGGCCTGAGCCAGTGCACCCGGCCAGATGCTTTCTTAACATGTTTCCATTTGAGGGGAGTAAGAGGCTGACTGGTTGGGTGTGGTGGCTCATGTCTGTAATCTCAGCACTTTGGGAGGTGGTGGCGGGTGGATCACTTGAGCTCAGGAGTTCAAGATCAGCCTGGGCAACATGGTGAAACCTCGTCTCTACCACAAATTATTTAAAAAAAAAAAATCGGCTGGGCGTGGTGGCTCATGCCTGTAATCCCAGCACTTTGGGAGGCCGAGGCTGGTGGATCATGAGGTCAGGAGTTCAAGACCTGCCTGGTCAAGATGGTGAAATCCTGTCTCTACTAAAAATACAAAAATTAGCTGGGTGTCGTGGCACGCACCTGTAATCCCAGCTACTCGGGAGGCTGAGGCAGGAGAATCACTTGAACCCAGGAGGCGGAGGTTGCAGTGAGCCGAGATAGCACTACTGCACTCCAGCCTGGGCGACAGAGCAAGACTCTATCTCAAAAAAAAAAAAAAATTATCTGAGCATGGTGGCATGCCCTCGTGGTCCCAGCTACTCTGGAGGCTGAGGTGGGAGGATCACTTGAATCCAAGAGGTGGAGGTTGCAGTGAGCTGTGATCATGCATCATGCCACTGCGCTCCAACCTTGGTGACAGAGTGAGACCCTGTCTCAAAACAACAACAAAGAAGAGGCTGACTGAAGGAGTAGTACTTAGGGAAGATACTGCTGAAGAAAAAGAATGGGGAGAGGGAGAGAAAAAGAAGGTTATATTGTGTGGCATTGTGCTGGGGTGATCAGACCCAACACCAGGTCGTGGGGGTTATGAAGTCCGGTGGAGTCAAAGGAATGAGACAAGACAAGAGTGCATAAAGTGGGTCCAGGGGGCCAACACCAGTATGGCAGCTGTGAAGGCCCTGAGCTCTGGAAGCCCACATTATTTTTTGGTGATCAAAGAAGCAGGTGGTGAGGACGTGAGGATGTGGGGGTAGAAAGGAAGCAGTGCATCAAGCGTTTGACCTATAGCTGTGGTGGTTTAGCATTTTCTTTTAAGCATATGGAATATGCTCTGCTACTCGAGATAATGGAGAACATGTTTTTCTACCTCAAGATGCAATCAATTTATGAGCCTGGGAGAGCAAGAAGCAAGGAGCCAGCAAGTCTAGACACATTCCAGAGGCCATGAGGTGTTTTATGCCCTCAGCCCTGGATTCCATCCAAGCCACGAGGGGTTTTATGCCCTGAGCTTAGATTGTGGTGCGGCAGGGCAGCCTTCCACTCTTTGGCACAGAGCTTGGTGTTCCAAAGGCCATGAGGGGTTTTAGACCCTGGACTCAGGACAGTTCCAAGACTCTTTTACATTATGTCAGACAAGCAAGTCTTGCCTCAGCCCTTCTACCAACATGTCTCCCTTTTCTTTTTTGCAAAACCGCCACAGCTATCATTGCTTGTTCTTGGTGGCGGCTTTCTCTCCAGAGGTGGCTTCTGCATTTGCCAACTAACATGAGACAGCACAAGCACATAATTATTAGAATAAAGTTTACAAATGTAGAACTTCCAGTGGCCTTAATCCATTTAAGAGGATTGACTGCAGACAACCCATCAGCTGCCTTGCTCAAAATATCGGTTCCAGGGAGCAGGGTTAAGTGAGCCTGAGAGGTTTCAAAAACCTGCTCTTTTAGTTTTACGATATTGAGGGTGAGATTTTCCTCTTTTCTTTCCAAATGGTGTTTAACTTTTTCCCATTGGTGTTCTGTTTCATTATAACTATGGAGAGTGATACAAAAATCAGATGTATCCAGTCACATTGTATTTGAATTCTATTTTCTAAACTCATAATACGAACCCCCATCCAAATTACAGTCTGATGGAGATCATTAATTTGATTAACTATTTTTTGATCTGTTTGAAGCTGAGAGTTCCATAATTTTGTGGAATTTTTCTGCCACTTATCAACAAATTCAGCAGTTTGCACAGATGACTGTAAAGCTACACCAGCTACTGCAGCAGTAGTAGTAACAGCAGTGAGGCCAATTATAGCAAATGTGAGAGCCACTATAAATCTTTTTGAATGGGATAAAAGTTTCCTAAGGATTTCAGTTATAATATGAATAGTGATGCTTCCCATGGTCTATTTAGAGACACAGGGATCCAAACTCCTTCCCTGGCTCTAATTAACAGAATAGTTTTTTTTGTTTTGTGGTTTTTTTTTTTTTTATCAAAAGTTGAGTTAATGCAGGTAAATAGGCGACATTCTGGGCAGGTAACAGAGTGTGTATTTATATCAATAGTAACATTTCCTATTGCTAACATAAAAGGTGGTCGAATGCAACTTTGAATCCAAAACGTCCTGTTGGAAAGAAAAGAAAGAGCATATTTATCCTTACCTCCCTCCCCACTGTACTTTTCATATTTACCCTCCCAAATTTTAATTGGACTTTGAGCTACAGCTAATTTTCATAATTCTGAATGTTCCTGTCCTATGGCAGGAGATATCATTTTTGGACTAGGGGCGATAATGCCAGCAGGATTCCATATGATAGGGGCATCAGCTTCCATCTGAATGTATTGTGTATGATTACATTGCCAGCGATTCCATCAGTTTGTTAAATTTGCTTTACAAGAGGGCCTTCTTGTGCAATTTGGTTTAAAAATCCCCTTAGGGGACCAATCAATGACAATTCCATAGGAATTCTTTTGTAGCACCTCAGCCTTACTTGCTATATAATCTTCTCAAGTCCAAGTATCTACACCTTCAAACCAAACTTTATTTTTCTTACATTTGAGCTTGTTTGGACAGAATTGCTGAGTTTTAGGGCTGGAATGGTTATATGTTAAATTTTGCCCTGAAATCATTTGTAAAGCAGCCTGTGATTTATTTTTTCCAGGGATTACTGCCAACCAGACTTGTGTGCCAATTTGTAAGCATCCAGCGGCAGGTCCCAGGCATATTGGAAGATATTTATATCCTATTGATATATTCATTTTCATCCCTTCCTCATTAGAATGCATTGGCCTTGATTATCTATGGGCTCAGGCATCCAGGTACTGTTGTTGGTGTACACCTCAATAACCGGGTCCATCCAACTCACAGACCTAATTAAAGGAGGAAATGGGACATATGCCCAATAAGTAAAATTTTGAGTTGCTCCTACAGTAGGGAGGCTTATCGCCACAGTGAGTACTGCCAGCATGGCCACCATTAAGTTACTAGTTGTTTTTGGTTTGTTCTGTGCTCTCAAGCTGTCCTCTGCCATCTGCGCCAGCTTCTTGATTTGTCCCCATGTTGGAGGATCCGCCTGACGAGTATTCTCGGTCTTCTCTTTTGTCTCTGAGATGTTCATTCACGCCATCACTCGTATTGGGAGCTCTGGCTCTTCCCAGAGTCCTCTCTTCCTGGTGTGGCTCATGATAGATCTTCAGATGTTTGATGGGCACCCACACAGGTACCTGATTTTCACCTGGAGAGACACAAGCAAATCCTCTTCCCCACGTAATTATCTTTCCTTTTTCCCAGTTTTTTGTGTGAGTATCTCTCCATCATATATCTTGTCTGGCCTTTTTGTTTTCCTTTTGTCCTGTCAAGTGTTGTTCAGCTGCAGTCATGGATTGATCTTTTTGTAAATTTAGAAAATGTAATATTAATAAAGCTAAGTGTAATTGCATATGCGGTGTTTTATATTCCTGGTCTCCCCCTTTTTGTTTTTGTATTTGAGTTTTTAAAGCATGATTAGCTCTTTCAACTATTGCTTGTCCTTGTGAGTTATATGGAATACCTGTAGTATGGGTAATATTCCACTGTTGAAAAAAATGTAGCCATAGCTTTACTACAGTACCCTGGGCCGTTATCAGTTTTGATTTTTTCTGGGATTCCCATAACTGCAAAGCAAGGTAAAAGATGTCTTTTAACATGAGCTGTAGCTTCTCCTGTTTGACATGTGGCCCAAATAAAATGTGAGTAAGTATCTACTGAAACATGAACAAAGGACAACTTTCCAAAGGCAGGAACATGTGTTACATCCCTCTGCCAGATGGAATTTGGAGATAAACCTCTAGGGTTAACTCCTGTTCCTTGATGTGGCAGGTGTAAGACTTGGCAGGCAGAGCAATGTTGTACAATTTCCTTAGCCTGTTTCCAAGATAAGCCATATCTGTTTCCAAGGCCTGCAGCATTAGGATGGGTTAAAGAATGGAATGTTTGTGTATCAGTAAAAGCTGCAGAAACCAGTGCATCTGCCCTTTGATTGAGTTTGGTTAAAGGGACGGGGAGGTTAGTATGTGCTCTTATATGAGTGATATACAAAGGGGAATGCCTTTGTTGTACTGCTTGTTGTAAAGAATGAAATAAAAGATTGAGTTGATCATCAGTTACATTTTCAATTAAGGCACATTCAATATTTTGCACAGCTTGCATCACATAGGCCGAATCAGAAATAATGTTTACTGGCTGTTTAAAGGTTTTTAGTACTGTAATTACAGCCATAAGTTCAGCCCTTTGAGCAGAAGCAAAGTCAGTTTGAACAACTTGTTGTTGAGGTCCTACAAATGAGGCCTTTCCATTACTAGATCCATCAGTAAAAACAGTATTGGCCCCTTCAATAGGGGTCTTTTGAGTAGTGGAGGGTAATATCCATGATGTCAATTTTAGAAATTGGAATATTTTGGATTTAGGATAATGATTATCAAGTATACCAATAAAACCAGCTAAATTAACTTGCCATTTCTGGGAGTTAACATAAGCTTGCTGAATTTGTTGTTTATTTAAAGGAACTATAATTTGATTTGGATCATATCCCATTAATTTTGTTGTATACAGCCTTGCTTGACCTATCAGTACAGCAATTTGATCTAAGTACAGAGTAAGTGTTCTAGTTGTATTGTGAGGTAGAAAAAGCCACTCAGCTAGATCATCCTGTTGAACAGTAACACCTGTAGTTGAATGTTTAGTAGGAAAAATGAAAAACTGTAATGGCTGTAGTAGATCAATTCAAGTCACTTGTGCCTGATGAATTTTTTCTTCAATTAATTGAAGTTCTTACAATGCTTCTTTGGATAGAGAGCATTTGCTGTTAAGATCAGAATCACCTCATAAGTTAGAAAAGAGGTGAGACATAGCATAAGTAGGAATGCCTAAAGTGGGAATAATTTTTGAAAATCATTTAGAGGTTTTTTTTTTTTTTTTTTTTTTTTTTGAGACAGAGTCTCGCTCTGTCACCCAGGCTGGAGTGCGGTGGTGCAATCTCGGCTCACTGCAAGCTCCGCCTCCTGGGTTCATGCCATTCTCCTGCCTCAGCCTCCCTAGTAGCTGGGACTACAGGTGCCTGCCACCACGCCTGGCTAATTTTTTGTATTTTTAGTAGAGACAGGGTTTCACCGTGTTAGCCAGGATGGTCTCCATCTCCTGACCTTGTGATCCACCCACCTCAGCCTCCCAAAGTGCTGGGATTACAGGCGTGAGCCACCACGCCCGGCCTCATTTAGAGTTTTTAAATTATCTCTTTGAATTTGAACCTTTTGAGGCTTAATAGTACTTTGTTTTACTTTCCTTCCTAAATATTGAAATAGAGTGGAAGTTTGGATTTTATCGGGGGCTGTGATTAATCCTGCAGCAGTTACAGCCTTTTCTGTTTGTAGCATAGTATTCATTCCTCCCTAGTTTCAGCTGCACATAAGATATTATCCATGTAACGGATGATATAACATTTTTTAAACTGTTTTCTAACTGGCATAAAAACTTTAACAACATAAGTTGGACAAATAGTTGGGCTATTTAACATGCCTTGTGGAAATACGTTCCAATAGTATCTATCTGCTGATTCTTTGTTATTTATGACGGGAACAGTAAAAGCAAATTTTTCATAATCTTGGGTCGCTAAAGGAATGGTAAAAAAGCAACCTTTTAAATCTATCACTATGAGAGGCCAGTATTTAGGAATCGTAGTTGGGGAGGGCAGCCCTGGTTGCAGCGCGCCCATGAGTTGAATTACAGCATTAACGGCCCTCAAGTCTGTTAACATTTTCCATTTCCCTGATTTTTTCTTAATGACAAACATAGGAGAATTCCAAGAAGAGAAAGTAGGCTCTATGTGTCCCTTTTGCAATTGTTCTTGCACCAATTCTTTTAAAGCCTCCAGTTTTTCCCGTTTCAGTGGCCATTGCTCCACCCAAACCAGTTTGGCAGTTAGCCAAACAAGAGGAATGGGTGCCAGAGGCTCGACAATGGCCGCTCCTAAAAATGATACCCCGATCCAGTTTGCTCTGTTTAACCTTTTAGTTCTAAAGGTTCTGGTTGTCCATTTTCATTTTTTGCTAGTCCTTTCCCCGGGAGATATCCCATTTTTTTCATCATTTGTTTATTGTTATTACTATATTGATCCATAGGAATAGATATTTCAGCACCCCGTTGTTGGAATAAGTCCCTTCCTGACCATCTGGCCCTTGACATGGCAGAATTAAGGAACTTTGAAACACTTCTGAGGCAGCTCCTACTCCAACAATACTAAGGATGCCTTTTGTTTGGGCCAATGCTGGCACCATTGATCTAAAGCAATAATAGAAACATCATCTCCAGTATCTACTAGTCCCTCAAAGTCTTTACCTCGAATCGTTACTGTACAAATAGGTCTTTTGTCAGACACTTGATTAACCCAATAGACAGCCTTTCCTGCTGGATTTGTACTACCAAAGCCTCCCATTCCTTTTACTATGCTGCTTCCCAGTTTTGTATAAGGTAGAAGTAACAACTGAGCAATTCTTTCTCCTGGGGAAGCAGACCATGGAGTTGAGGAACTGATAACTAGTTGAATTTCTCCGGTATAATCAGAATCAATTATTCCTGTATGTACAGTGGCACCTCTTAAATTTAAACTAGCCCTTCCAAGCAATAGACCAGCTGATCCTGAGGGTAAAGGGCCCCTAACTCCCGTGGGGACCTTCTTTGGTGGCTCCCCAGGAAGTAGGGAGACAGGACTTGTGCTGCAGAGGTCTACGGCAGCACCGCCTGCTGTGGCGGGGGACAATTGTACGTTTGTAAGGGCACTGGCTGTGCCAGATACGCCTCGGTTTGTTGAGGGGCCCAAAAGAGAGTTTGTCCATCTTTGCTAAATTTAGAATGACACTGATTTGCCCAGTGATTTCCCTTTTTACATCGGGGGCAGATACCGGAACTTTTTTTGCTGCTTACTGGTAGTAACCTTTGCCTGTTGATTTCCTTTTTTACATTCCTTTTTTGTGTGTCCAAATTGCCCACAATTAAAACAAGAACCCGAGAAACGAGGCATATTTTTTCCGGCTTTTAATCCAGCCATAGCCTGAGCTAAAAGAGTAGCCTCATGTAAGTTACCCCCAATGCCATCACAAGCCTTAATATACTCAGCCAAATGAGGCTTCCCTCTCCTAGGTCGAATAGCAGTTTGACATTCTGCATTGGCATTATCGTATGCAAGAAGCTTTATTACAACATCTTGAGGTTGTTTTGTCAGTTATGGCTTTATACACAGCCTCCTGGAGCCGAGCAATAAAATCAGTATATGGTTCCTTGTCAGACAGAACTGAAAGATGGATATTTTTCCTCTATAACATTTATTCTTTCCCATGCCCTTAAGCATACAGAGCATAACTGAGCAATGGCAACATCCTCCATTAATGCTTGATTGTCTAATCGACCCCTGTTAGGGCTGACCCCCATTAACTGTTCAGAGGACACAGGCACAGGCGGCTGTGCCTGTGTGTTTTCTCTTGCCTGAGTTTGAGCTTCATTAGCCCACCAAGTTTTAAATTGCAAGTACTGAGACAGAGTGAGAACAGATTTTGTTAAAGTATCCCAATCATATGGTACTAACCTATTATCAAGAGCCACATTTTTTAGTAAAGTTCACACAAAAGGAGAATTTGGCCCATATTGACTAATGGCTTGCTTGAATTCTTTTAATAACTTAAAAGGAAAAGTGGCCCAATTAGCTGTATTCTGTCCTCCTTGTTGGGTTATAGTAACTGGAAATTGCCATGCTTCAAGGTGTCCTTCAGCTCTAGCCTTCTGAATAGAATTTTGTATAGCACCACCAGTTGCTTCAGATTTTAATGTTGTCACTACAGGAGCAGTAATTTTTACAGCTGCTTCACTTTCTCACCCATTGTGGGAGAGGGAGGAGGTGGCCATTCACTTAATTCAGCAGGCGGAGCTGATGGACCAGTAAAATATGTCTTTTTCAGCTTTCCTTTCTTTTCTATGATTTCCTCCGGCTCCTGTGCCTCGCGTTCAGAATCTGATGTTAGTTTCTTACACTCATCCTCCTCTTCTTCATCTGAATCTGCCTCATCATCTGTTTGAAATGGCTCAGGAGCTGCCTTTATTAACGCCCACACTGACCAAACAGAAACTGGAATTTTGGCTCCATCTTTATATGCCTTTTTAAAATCTCTGCCAGTTCTTTCCCATTCATCCAACTCCATAGTCCCTTGTTCCGGAAGCCATGGGCAGAACTGCTCTACTGTGCTGAAAAGTGTTAATAGACTTTGAGTACTAACTTTCACTCCCCCTCTCCGTAATAAATGCCTTAAGAAATTTAAATAAGCAGAATATTTGCTTTCATTCTGTCCCATTGTTACCCTGGTTCTTCCAAGCGTCCAGCTTACCTGCCGAGCTTCTTTCAGTCATCCTCTGGTGTCCTCTGACAATTGTCCTCTGCTTCCGCATGCTCTAGCGTTCCTTCACAGGGGTTTTCGTTGCCCCACATTGGGTGCCAGAAATGTTGGAGTGATCAGACCCAACACCAGGCTGTGGGGGCTACAAAGTCTGGCAGAGTCGAAGGAATGAGACAAGACAAGAATGCATAAAGTGGGTCCAGGGGGCCAACACCAGTATGGCAGCTGCGAAGGCCCTGAGCTCTGGGAGCCCACGCTCTTTATTGGTGATCAAACAGAAGCAGGTGGTGAGGACGTGAGGACATGGGGTTAGAAAGGAAGCGGTGCATCAAGCGTTTGACCTATAGCTGTGGCAGTTTAGCATTTTCTTTTAAGCATATGGAGTATGCTCTGCTACTCGAGATAATGGAGAACGTGTTTTTCTATCTCAAGATAACAATCAATTTACAAACCTGGGACAGCAAGAAGCAAGGAGCCAGCAAGTCTGGACACATTCCAGAGGCCACAAGGGGTTTTATTCCCTGAGCCCTGGATTGCATCCAAGCCACGAGGGGTTTTATGCCCTGGGCTTAGATTGTGGTGTGGCAGGGCAGCCTTCCACCCTTTGGCACAGAGCTTGGTGTTCCAAAGGCCACGAGGGGTTTTAGACCCTGGACCCAGGACATGTTCCAAGACTCTCTTACGTTATGTCAGACAAGCAAGACTTGCCTCAGCTCTTCTAGCAACACATTGCCCCAGTGATAGACCAATGGACAGTAGTTCCAGACACCAACCCATGCATATGTGGAAATTTCATATCTAACACAGCAGTCAGTACAGATCGGTGGGAAGACAATGGACAATTAAATAAATGATCTGAGCAGTTGGATATCTTTCAGAAAAGATACTATCTTGCTCCATATACAAAAAAATAAACTCTAGGTGTGTTAAATATTTAAATGTGAAATGGACTTTCGGAAGATCATATAGGTGAAGATCTTTATGCCCTCACATAAGGAAATATTTCTTAAACTAGACACACACAAAACGTGTAACCAGAAAGGAAAAGATTGATACATTTGACTTTTAAAAAGGTGAAAAAAGCTTCAAGTTGAAGAAAGGATTCGTATTTCATATTATCAACAAAGAGTTTGTTTTCAAAAAACATAAAAAGCCACTAGTCAGTTTTTTTTTTTTTTTTTTTTTTTGAGACGGAGTTTCGTTCTTGTTGCCCAGGCTGGAGTGAAGTGGCACAATCTCTGCTCACCGCAACCTCTGCCTCCCAGGTTCAAGCTATTCTTCTGCCTCAGCCTCCCAAGTAGCTGGGATTACAGGCATGCGCCACCATGTCCAGCTAATTTTGTATTTTTAGTAGAGATGGGGTTTCTCCATGTTGGTCAGGCTGGTCTTGTACTCCTGACCTCAGGTGATCCATCCACCTCGGCCTCCCCAAGTGCTGGGATTACAGGCATGAGCCACTATGCCCGGCCTGTCAGTTTGTAAAAAGGATAGTCAAATAGAAAAAAATGGGCAAAAACATAAATAGGTGTTTCACAATGAGGAAAAACAAATGGCCAATAAGTATGAAAAGATACTCAACCAAGAAATGCAAATTAAAATCCACAATGAGATGCCACTTTATGCCTACTATATTGGCAAACGTTTTAAAACTTGACATCAAGAGTTGGTGAGGGCCAGGAGTGTTGGCTCATGTCCATAATCCCAGCACTTTGGGAAGCTGAGATGGAAGGATCACTTGAGCCCATGAGTTCAAGACCTGTTTGCACAATATGGCAAGACCTCGTCTCTACAAAAAATTTAAAAATTAGCCTGATGTGGTGGTGTGTGCCTGGGTTTCCAGCTACTTGCGAGGCTGAGGCAGGAGGATTGCTTAAGCCCAGGAAGTCGAGGCTGCAGGAGGTTGAGCCATGATCGCACCACTGCACTCCAGCCTGGGCAATAGAGGGAGACCCTGTCTTAAAAAAAAAAAAGAGTTGGTAAGGATATGAAGCAAAAGAAACTGATACACTGCTGTTGCCAGCGTAAATTAGAAAACCACACCAGAAAACTTTGGCATTGCCTTGCAAAGTGGGCGCATATACCCAAATGTTCATCAACAGAGAGTACTATACAGCCTGTGACAATAAGTCACACACACAAATACCTACCATTTGTATAAATGATACCATTTATATAAAGTTCAAAAATATGAAAAGGTAAATATGTTGCTGTGGATATTTGCAGTGTGGCACTGGAGCTGGCTTGTACTGGCTTGGGAAGAACTGGCAAATGCCACAAAACAGCACACCACTGGGTACAGGCATATGGAGTAAAGCTCTAAAGAAAAGCAAGAGAATTACAAACAGGTAGGGAGGGGCACATCGGGGCAATATTCCTTCAACAAGGAATGTTCTAATGCTGCTCTTTTTCTTCCTAAGAAGAAAAAACAAATAGAAGTTAGCTGGGTTGAGGCGAGGGTCTGTGGTGGGTGGGGTGGGAGGTTCTGAGCAGAGGTAGCAGCAGAGGTGAATGAGGAGAGGGGATGGCTGGTTTGGGCAGTGGCAGGCACTGCAGTCCATTCTGACAAGCAGTGGGTGCGTGTAGGGCAGTGGTGAGAGCTCAGGTGGAAAGGGAGGCACCAGATCACAGAGGGCCTGTGTGCCATGGTAAGCAGTTTGGAGTTCACTCGAAGTAATGAGGAGTGTGGGCTTTGCAGAACAGAGACAAGGCAGGCAGGCCCGCGAGGAAGTTGTTGTGGTCTTGCTGAAAGATGAATCCAGAGCTGGGCCCTGATTATGAGGAGGAAGAGCAGAGGAGCTGGGCTTGAGAGGTTGTCTAGGAAGCAGAATGGACTGAGCTTGGTGACCAGTTGGATTTGGGATGTGCATGGAAAACAGGGCTCTGCTGTACTCAGAGAGGTGGAGCATAACTCCCTCACTGTAAGGGTGGGCCGCACAGTGACTGCCTTCCAAAGAGTGCAATACAGCAAGTGGGGAAGGAGGGCTGGCGCGGTGGCTCACGCCTGTAATCCCAACACTTTGGGAGGCTGAGGTGGGTGGATCACTTGAGGTCAGGAGTTTGAGACCAGCCTGGCCAACATGGTGAAACCCCGTCTCTAGTAAAAATAACAAAAATTAGCCGGGCATGGTGGCACATGCCTGTAATCTCAGCTACTTGGGAGGCTGAGGCAGGAGAATCGCTGGAACCCGGGAGGCAGAGGTTGCAGTGAGCTGAAATTGTGCCACTGCACTCCAGCCTGGGCGATGGAGTGAGACTCCATCTCAAAAAACAAAAACAAACAAACAAAAAGAAAAACACCAAACAAATTCCAATTGCAGGACATTCTACAAAACACCTGACCATTATTACTTAAACTGTCAAGGTCATCAAAAACATGGAAAGTCTGAGAAACTGTCACAGTCAGGAGGCACCAGAGGAGATGCAACAGCTAAGTGTAACGTGGCATCCTGGATGGGGTCCGGAACAGAAATAAGATATTAGGTTAAAACAACTAGTAAATCTGAATAAAATGTGGATTTTAGTTAATAATAATGTATCAATATTGGTCATTATTTGTGACAAATGTACCATACTAATGTAAGATGTTAATAATAGGGGAATGTGAATGCAGTGGCTCACACCTGTAATCCCAGCACTTTGGGAGGCCAAGCCGAGCCCAAGAGTTCAAGACCAGTCTGGGCAACATGGTGAAACCCCATCTCTACAAAACATACAAAAATTAGCCAGGCATGGTAGTGCACGCCTGTGTCTCAGCTACTTGGAAGGCTGAGGTGGAAGAATCCCTTGAGCCTGGGAGGTTGAGACTGCAGTGAGGTGTGATCCTGCCACTGCCCACCAGCCTGGGTGACAGAGTGAAGACCCTGTCTCAAAAACATGATAATGATAATAATAATAATAAAATAGGAGAATGTGGATGTGAGGTATATGGGAACTCTCTGTACTGTCTTCTCAACTTTTCTAAACTCTAAAACTGTTCTAAAATAAATGTATTTTTAAAAAATTAGCCAAATGCATTTCTTCTAAAACCTTTTTATTAAAACTAATTACTGCTCTCTTTAAAAACAAAAACAAAATAAAACAGAGCCCTGTGAGTCTTCAATTTCCGAGTTGAGTGACCTTTCACAGGGTCGCAGAATCAGCCCCAGCTCTCCCCCAGTCCTTTCACTGACTCCTCTCTGTGGCAGAGCTGAAATTTGTTTAGGGAAGTGGGACTACAACTCCCAGAGTGCACCTGTGCGGTTGTCAGGAGCAACCAAGGAAGCCAACTAACAGCCTTGCTAGAGTCTGAGGACTATCCAGGGCCTGACTGCCAGCTAGCCAGCCATGGGCCAGGATTATTACTCTGTGCTCGGGATCACTCGCAATTCAGAGGATGCCCAGATCAAGCAGGCGTAAGTTGGGGTGGGAGCCAGGCCTTAGGGGTGTGCTGGGGCAGGCCCTGCCCTCTTCTCTTCCAAAACGAGCTTTCCTGCACAGCTTAGCGCAGACAAGGTAAACCTTGTTCCTCCTTTCACTTCTTGCATACCTGTATCCTGGCTTTGGTCTGGGTCAGGGCCCAGGTTGGAAATTTGAACTCTTTAGTTCCTCAATCTGCTCCCAACCCATCTCCCTTTATGCTCCATGCCCTATATCCTCTCCTGGGTGCCTTGCTTTTCCCAGCAATGAAGTGGGGACAAAGGAGCCATTTGAACTTTATCTTGAATATTATGGAGAACCAGAGGCTTGTGAACAAGGGAGTGGCCAGGCCAGATGGATGTTTTAAATTCAATTCTGGCCATGATGGAGGTTTTCAGCATTGACTAAACTACATTCCTGAATACTTCCATCGGATCTTAAGGACGTTCTGGCTCGTTCCTAAGAAAGCCTACAACAGGAGTCAGTACATTTTTCTGAAAACATGTTTTTGTTTTTTGTTTTGAGACGGAGTCTTGGTCTTGTTGCCCAGGCTGGAGTGCAATGGCGTGATCTCGGCTCACCGCAACCTCCACCTCCTGGGTTCAAGCGATTCTTCTGCCTCAGCTTCCCAAGTAGCTGGGATTACAGGCATGCACCACCATGCCCAGCTAATTTTGTATTTTTAGTAGAGATGGGGTTTCTCCTTTTTGGTCAGGCTGGTCTCAAATTCCCGACCTCTGGTGATCCACCCGCCTCAGCCTTCCCAAGTGCTGGGATTATAGGTGTGAGTCACCGCACCTGGCCAAAAACATGTTTTTTTTTTTAACAAATATTTATTGAGCGTCTACCACAAGGGTTGAGAGGGTACTTCACTCCTGCTGCAGTGGTAGCAGCTGGAGATAAATGTCGGAATCCGACATCGACACTCCCTTACCTCATGCAGCTAGATTTTGTTGCTGAATAGATGTTGAATAAGTCACCACAACTGTGATGAGTGTTACAGAAGAGGAAGTATGGGGGGCTGTGGAAGTTATCTTGGAAGGAGAGAGACCCTTTAGGAGGCTGTTCGTGGTAATCAAGGCAAAAGATGAGGCCAGAGAAAGGGGAGGGAATGGACTTGGTAATTAAGTGGATCACTGGAGGGTGAAGAAAAGAGGAGTCCAGGATAACTCAATCAATTAAGTTAGGCAGTGACAATAGGTGTATGTTTTGAGTGTGTAGGTGCTGTTCTGAGAACTTTCCATCACTGTTTAACCCTCACAACAGCCCTGAGAATTAAGTGCCATTATTATCCCACAAGTGCACTAGTAAATGGTGGAGCCAGTGTTCAGATATCAGGCCTCCCAGAGTTGCCAGTCATGGGCCTATTCCTGGGCCAGGTCCTGTAGGGGATCAGTGGCATAAGTGGAGAGTCTGCGGTGTTGGAGAAAAAAGACACAAACTCATGAAAGGATCTGAGAACAATTCAGGACAGTGTATGATGTCACCCACTCTTCGGAGCATCTCATTGACCAGAAGGACCCATCCAGGGAAAGGTAATCAGGAGGAAGGGCAGTGGGCGTGCAGAAAGATAAGCACAGCTTAAGCACTGGAAAGGGCTGGATCAGAATCCAGATTCACTTACCTGCTAGCTGCGTGACCTGGGCAAATTACTTAACCTCTTTGAGCCGAAGTTTTCCCATGTCTAAAAATCATCATCATAATAAAGGTTGCTGTGAGATTGAAATAGGATTAGATGAGATAATGCATGTGTCCAGCAATCATTTGCATGTGAAACCATGTCATATAAAGAGTGATTAAGGCCTGGCATGGTGTTTCATGCCTGTAATCTGAGCACTTTAGGAGGCCAAAGCAGGAGGATCCCTTGGGCCCAGGAGTTTGAGAGGGCAGCCTGGGCATCATAGGGAGACCCTGTCTCTACAGAAAATTTAAAAATTAGCTGGGCATGATGGCACACACCTGTAGTCCCAGCTACTTGGGAGGCTGAGGTGGGAGGATTGCTTGAGCCCAGAAGGTAGAGGCTGCATTGAGCTATGATTGCACCACTGCACTCCAGTCTGGGCAACAGAGCAACACCTGTCTCAAAAAAATAAAAATGGCTGGGCCGGGCACCGTGGCTCATGCCTGTAATCCCAGCACTTTGGGAGGCCGAGGTAGGCGGATCACGAGGTCAGGAGATCGAGACTGTAGCAGGACGAGCCGCAGAAAAAACCTCTCAGACACCGAGTTGTAGAAGGAAGAGCTTTATTCAGCTGGGAGCATCGGCCAGCTACTGCCTTAAAATCCGAGCTCCCCGAGTGTACAATTTCTGTCCCTTTTAAGGGCTCACAACACTAAAGATTTCACATGAAAGGGTCGTGATTGATTTGAGCAAACAAGGGGTACGTGACGGGTTTCATGCACTGGTAGTCAGAGAGAAACAGAACAGGGCAGGGAGTTTCACAATGTTCTTCTATACAATGTCTGGAATCTATGAATAACATCGGTTTCTAAATTATGAGTTGATTTTTAACTACTGGGTTTAGGCCAGGCAGGCCCAGGCCTGGTTTCAGGCCTGGCGCTGGGCTGCCTGTCTTTGGTTTTACTTCCTTGTTGCTTTTTTTTAAAACAGGTACTGAGTATAAAACAATATGAGATGGTCGCTCTCTTCCCTCAAGACCATCCTGGCTAACACACTGAAACCCCGTCTCTACTAAAAAATACAAAAAATTAGCCGGGCACCTGTAGTCCCAGCTACTCGGGAGGCTGAGGCAGGAGAATGGCGTGAACCCGGGAGGTGGAGCTTACAGTGAGCGAGATTGCGCCACTGCACTCCAGCCTGGGCGACAGAGCGAGACTCTGTCTCAAAAATAATAATAAAATAATAATAATAATAATAATAATAATAATAATAATAATAATGGCTGGACACAGTGGCTCACACCTGTAATCCTAGCACTTTGGGAGGCTGAGGCAGGTGGACCACTTGAGGTCAGGAGTTTGAGACCAGCCTGGCCAACTTGGTGAAACCACTTCTCTATTAAAAATACAAAAAATTAGCCAGGTGTAGTGGCGCATGCCTGTAATCCCAGCTACTGGGGAGGCTGAGACAGGAGAATTGCTTGAACCCAGGAGGCAGAGGTTGCAGTGAGCCGAGATCGTGCCATTGCACTCCAGCCTGGGTGACAGAGTGAGACTTCGTCTCAAAAAAATAAATAAAAAAAAGTAGGCCGGGCGCAGTGGCTCACACCTGTAATCCCAGCACTTTGGGAGGCTGAGGCGGGCGGATCACGAGTTCAGGAGATCAAGACCATCCTGGATAACATGGTGAAACCCCGTCTCTACTAAAAATACAAAAAAATAGCCGGGCGTGGTAGCAGGTGCCTGTAGTCCCAGCTACTCGGGAGGGTGAGGCAGGAGAATGGCGTGAACCTGGGAGGCGGAATTTGCAGTGAGCCGAGATCGCGCCACTGCACTCCAGCCTGGGCAACAGAGTGAGACTCCGTCTCAAAAAAAAAAAATAAAATAAATAAATAAATAAATAAATAAATAAGGCTGGGCACGGTGGCTCATGCCTGTAATCCCAGCACTTTGGGAGGACGAGGCAGGAGGATCTCCTGAGGTCGGAAGTTCAAGACCAGCCTGGCCAACAAGGTAAAACCCTGTCTCTACTAAAAAAAATTAGCCAGGCGTGGTGACGGGTACCTGTAATCCCAGCTACGCGGGAGGCTGAGGCAGAAGAATCGTTTGAACCTGGGAGGTGGAGGTTGCAGTGAACCAAGATTGAGTCATTGTACTCCAGCCTGAGCAACAAGAGCAAAACTCCATTTCAAAAATAAATAATAAATAAAAATAAATAGAGTGATTAAAAGAACTATGTAGGTTTCAAAAAGCAGTCCTTAACCCTTCTCCCCTGCAATAACTCTAAGTCACATGTATGACATGCTTGCTCATGGGATCACCTAGATATTGATCAAAAAAAAAAAGAGCTAAACTTATATAAGGAAGAAAAACATCATGATAGTTTATAATTGCCCAGGATTCATAATTGCAGCGTTCAAGCTGTGATTTCACCCCTTTCTCTCCCACTCAGGAAAGCAGGTGAATGAGAGTGATGTTATTGCAGGGATAATTTTGAAACCACTCAAATTTATATGAAAAACTAAACCTTTCTCAAACCTTGTTACTTTTTTTTTTTTTTTTTTTGAAACGGAGTCTCTCTCTGCCACCCAGGCTGGAGTGCAGTGGCAGGATCTCTGCTCACTGCAACCTCCACCTTCTAGGTTCAAGTGATTCTTCTGCCTCAGCCCCCTGAGTAGCTGGGACTACAGGTGTGTGCCACTGTGCCCGGCTAATTTTTTTATTTTTAGTAGAGACGGGGTTTCACCATGTTGGCCAGCCTGGTCTCGAACTCCTGATCTCAAGTGATCTGCCTGCCTCGGCCTCCCAAATTGCTGGGATTACAGGAGACTGAGATGGGCAGATCACTTGAGGCCAGGAGTTTGAGACCAGCATGGCCAACACGGCAAAAACCCGTCTCTACTAAAAATACAAAAATTAGCCAGGTGTGGTGGTGGGCACCTGTAGTTCCAGCTACTTGAACCTGGGAGGCGGACAATGCAGTGAGCCCAGATCGCGCCACTGCACTCCAGCCTAGGTGACAGAGTGAGACTCTATCTCTAAATAAATAAATAAAAATAACTGACTGTGACCTTTATAATTGAGAAAGGCTGGTTTGGAAGGCTGTGACAATTGTCTTCAAGTCTCTGAAGGTAGATATTCTCTCTGTAAGGTCCCCAGGGCACAGCCAGGACCCTTATGGATGGAGGGGCAGTTGCAGGACCACAGATCCAGCTTCCTGTCCGCAGTAAGAGGAGGCATTGCCTAAAAGTCAGAGCCATGCCACAGTGAGATGGACTGTCCTGCAGGATGCTTAGCATGTATCATTTATTTACTCACTCCTGCTCAGTGCCCAGCACTGGGGCTAGAACTGGATGCAGCAACTCCAGGACCTCCCAGTCTATTAGACAGAGGAGTCAATATACACCTGGAACACAGCACTGCTGAGGACAAGGATCAAAGGTGCTGGGGACTTGGGAAGGGGAGTCTAACCTAGAAAGGAGGCTAACAATCAGGGAAGGTGCCCTGGAGGATTTGGCACCTGAGTCGAAAGTTGAAGGATGAATTAAAAATTGCCCAGAGAAGCTGGGAGGAGCTGCAGAGGGGTGAGTCATGCAGGAGAGGTCAAGGGAGCAGCAAGAGAGAACAGTGAGTGAGGCCAGAGGGAGAAGCAGGGGCTTGGATCTTAGAATGAGACATCCGAGTTTTATGCTGGAGACAATGGGGAAACCAGTGAAGGGTTATGCCAGGAGAGGGACCTGGTCAGAAAGTATTTCAGAAGGCTGGGCGCTGTGGCTCATGCCTGTAATCCTAGCATTTTGGGAGGCTGTGGTGGGCGGATCACCTGAGGTCAGTAGTTCAAGACCAGCCTGGCCAACATGGTGAAACCCTGCCTCTACTAAAAATACAAAAATTAGCCAGGCGTGGTGGCTCGCGCCTGTAATCCCAGCTACTTGGGAGGCTGAGGCAGGAGAATCGCTTGAACCCAGGAAGCAGAGGTTGTAGTGAGTAGAGATTGTGCCATTGCACTCCAGCTTGGGCAACAAGAGAGAAACTCCATCTCAAAAAAAAAAAAAAAAAAAAGTATATGTCTGGGCTCAGTGAATTTATGATACCTTGGAGAGGAGATGGCAAGTAGGCACTTGGAGGTAGTCTTTGGCTCAGGGAAGTGGTCTGGTTCGGGATGGAGATTTAGCTGTGAGAGACAGAAGCCTGCCTCTGGAATAAGAAGAGAAGCTGTGGAACTCTGGGGATGGCGGCGAGGCGGGTGTGGGCACTAGAAAAGCGGGTGGAGGCAAGGTGGGGGGTCACGCCTGGGCTGAATGACAGGCGTCTGTGCTGGATGCTTCCCGTGCAGCCCTCCAGACCCACTCCCCACCCTTCCTGCCCTGCTGCGCTCCGGGAGGCTTCCTTGCCCTCAGCCTTCCACATGGAGCCGGCCCAGGGGAGCATCAGGCGGGGAGATGGGGAGGGAGAAGGGCAGGGCTGCGGCTTTATTCCCCAGTTCTCCTCCTATGGGGTCTCTTCAGTCAGCTGTGTCGCTTGACAGAAGGTCACAGCTCCGCTGAGGGCCCTGTCCACACACTCCAACAGACCCCTCGGGGTTCCTGGCCTGGGAAAACTGCACTCCGCTGTCCCTGGCAGTCTCCCTCCGCTCCTCCAGCACCTGGGCGAATGGTCCCTTTATTAAGCTCTCCACAAACCACCCAATCCGCTCCATCTCTCCCCCACCCCGGGTCACTGCCGATACATATTCTCAGACGCTGCGATGTCTGCCCTTCAGAAACAGGCCAGCTGGTACGACTTGTATCAACCCTCCCTCCTCCAGGTGCCGCAGACTCGCCCTTTAACCACCCGTTGAAGTCAAATGAGCCGTCTTCAGCAGAGATTTTCAGGCAAATAGCAGAGGACTGGGCAGGAACAGAAGTGGGGAAAAAATGAGCAGAGAGAGGGTGGGGGCGGCACAGGAACCGGACGGGCACTGAGCGCCTCAGCCATGCCCGCTGCACACCCAATTGTAGCTCATCCTCCCAAGATGCCTGTGTGTCTGCTCCGGTCCTCTAAGAAGCAAACAGGATTAGATGAGCAGGAAATGCACCTGGAGAAACCGTGAAGTATGAAGGGAAGGGAGCAGGGGCGCGCACAGTACAGCCTGACACCTGCGAGTGGAGACAGGGAGGGGAGGAAGGAGGGAGAGTGCAGCGAGGCCCGGGGAGCAGCTCAGCCAGCCTCTGGGGAGCCCTCGCGCAAAGCTTGCCCGTTGGAGGAGTCCTGTGTCTTGCAGGAATGGGCCAGCCCTGGTATCCCCACCACACGTAAGCATTGAGGGCAGCTCAGGGGCAGTTGCTTCAGCTCAGATGCCCAGGGGGGCAGCTGCTGGAACTGTCGGTCAACTGTGCTCCCCGCACCAGCTACTCTTCAAGAGCTGAGCAGTGCACCTCCGCAGCCACCACAGCTGGTGAAGTCACCCCGGATTTATAGCTAGGCAGGAGTGAACAGAGTGCCGGCTCTGAACTCTGGTCCGCCCTCAGAAACAGACCAGCTGATAAGACTTGTATTAATTCTCCCTCTTCCAGGTACCGCAGACTCGCCCTTAAGCACCACCCGTTGAAGTCAAATGAGCCGTCTTCAGCAGAGATTTTCAGGCAAATAGCAGAGGCCTACGACGTGCTGAGTGACCGTGAGTAGGTGTGGGGCTGAGCACCCCGCTTGATTAGGATCATTCCTTAAGTCTCTAGACTGTTGGGTTTTCTGAGGGGGCCCAATAACGAGGAAGCATCCTTCTTCCCTGCCTAGAATCTAGACACACAGAGAAGACAGAATACGGACCCGCCTTTCTCAGTAGAAGCAAGCTGAGGTGGAGGACGTGGGGTGTGGAGCCCAGGATTACACTGACTCGCTCATCCTGGCAGGCAGTGTGGGAGCTGGGGCACATTCCCCACGCATCCCTATGCCCTGCGGGGACGGGACCTTCCCCGGGAGAAACAGAGTAAGGGGCTTGCAGCTACGGGGAAGAAAGCTGAAGCTGGGCAGGCGTGCCCACCTGTCCCTCCCAGAGGTCCTTCCCAGTGGCTTAGTGTCCATTTCCCCAGGGCCAGCAACAGTAGGAAGAGGCAGAGAAAGGCCAGGAGTAATTAGGAAATCTGTCTCCTAGGGAAACCAGCAGAGTGAAGAAAGTGTGATCCCCGCCCCGGCACCCAGGGCCGTCCTGCGGGGCTTTCCCTGGGGGATTGTCCTGGAGACTAATCCTGGTTCCTGCGGAAGTGCAGCTAGAAGATCACTAAGGTTTCTACAGCCCCGAGTTTTCAGGACTTCAGGGTCCTTAGACTCTAGGATTTCGAAGTTTTAAAATTTGGAGGCTCTAGAATTCTTAGCTTCTAAAATGTCAAGGTTCTACGATTCCGTTTACCCCAGATAAGACAGTGGCTATGATGACTGAGTTAGGCCAAATCCCAGGGCCATTGCCTGAGCCTCAGTCTCTCAGTTATTCCCCCAGTCTCTCACCCTGCCCCCAGCAAACTCAAGGCTTTCCCGTCTCTCTTCTGGGCTACAGGAGCCATACCTAGGTCCTCCCAGAATGAAATGGAACGCCTGACTCCTAGGGTCTCATTCCAAAGACTGCCAGACAGCAGGCACTTTGGGATCAGGCTGCTTCTGCCCCTTCCCTTTCTCCATATCCGCCTGCTTCCCAGCCCCTCCACCTATCTCAGCCCCCAAAGTTGGACACCTCCTTAAGGTGATGCCCATCCACAGCCATGAAGAGAGGCATCTACGACAAGTTTGGAGAAGAGGGCCTGAAGGGTGGGATTCCTTTGGAGTTTGGATCCCAGACCCCATGGACAACTGGTTACGTCTTCCATGGCAAACCTGAAAAGGTGTTCCACGAGTTCTTTGGTGGAAACAACCCCTTCAGTGGTAAGAGGTCTTCCTCCCCCACCTTGCCTTATAGAGAAAGGACACTGCTATAAGTGATGTTTTCGTTGAGTAGTTTTGTTTTTATTTTTACTTTATTATTTTATTTTATTTACTTATTTTTTTTGGAGATGGAGACTCACTCTGTTTCCCAGGCTGGAGTGCAGTAGTGGGATCATGGCTTACTGCAACCTCTGCCTCCCGGGTTCAAATGATTCTCCTCCCTCAGCCTCCCAAGTAGCTGGGACTACAGGCGCACGCTGCCACACCCAGTTAATTTTTTTATATTTTTAGTAGAGACGAGGTTTCACCATGTTGCCCAGGCTGGTTTCGAACTCCTGAGCTCAGGCAATCTGCCTAAGGCCTTGGCCTCCCAAAGTGCTAGGATTACAGGCATGAGCCACCGTGCCCGGCCTATTTTTACTTTAATAAATATATATAAAACACATTGCAAAAGAAAAAGTAAAACAGAATTCATTGAAAAAGAAATACATTCCAGCCCTCCATTTTCTTTTTCTTTCTTTCTTTTTTATTTTTATTTTTTAGATGGAGTCCTGTTCTGTCACCCAGGCTGGAGTGCAGTGGCATGATCTCTGCTCACTGCAACCTCCGCCTCCGGGGTTCAAGCAGTTCTCCCTGCCTCAGCCTCCTGAGTAGCTGGGATTACAGGCACCCACCACCACACCCAGCTAATAATTTTATATTTTTTAGTAGAGACGTGGTTTCACCATGTCTGCCAGGCTGGTCTTGAACTCCTGACCTCAGCTGATCTGCCCACCTCTGCCTCCCAAAGTGCTGGGATTACAGGTGTGAGTCACCACGCCCAGCTAATTTTTGTATTTTTCATAGAGTAGAGACAGGGTTTCGCCATGTTGGCCAGGCTGGTCTTGAACTCCTGACCTCAGGTGATCTGCCCACCTCGGCCTCCCAAAGTGCTGGGATTACAGGCATGAGCCACCGTGTCTGGCCGAGCCCTCCATTTTCTTCCTCAGAAGCAGCTACTAGGGAAGCAGCTATTAGTAAACAGTTTATGTATCCTTCCAGAAACTTGCCATGCTTGTATGAGCTGTATTTATTTTTACAGAAGCCTTTTATTAAGGAAATAGGGCCAAATTTTACACAATGATTTTTTTTTTCACTTAATATATCTTGGAGATTATCTTATATGTTATACTATATATAGATCTACTTTATTCACTTACATGCAAATCTATATACTATGTACAGATCTGCATAAGATTTCATTGTACAGATGTCTATTAGGGATCCATTGCAGAAGCAAATACTGTTTTAGCCACGTGAAGCAGAAAGGGGTTCAAAACAGGGAATTAGGTGCTTTAAAAAATCACCGAGGCCAGGTGTGGTGGCTCACTCCTATAATCCCAGCACTTTGGGAGGCTGAGGTGGCTGGATTGCTTGAGTGTAGGAATTCGGTGCCAACCTGGGCAACATAGCCAAACCCCATCTCTACAAAAAAATGTGCCAGGAATGGTGGTGTGTATCTGTAGTTCCAGCTACTCAGGAGGCTGAGGTGGGAGAATCGCCTGAGCCCAGGAGGTTGAGGCTGCAGTGAGCCAAGATCGGGCCACTGCACTCCAGCCTGGGTGACAGATTGAGACCTTGTCTCAAAAAAATAAAATACATAAATAAAGAAATAATCATTGAAAGGCCTGGGTGAGAAGGCTGTAAGCTGGCCCTGTAGGAAATCTTCCAAGAACACCACCTCTAAACTGGCCCACAAGGAGAGCTGCTGTCTCTGCCACAGTCACAAAGAAGGAATCAGGAAATGTCACCGTTGCATTCCAGAGCACACCATGAATGTAGCTGCAACTGCTGCCTCACTTGCCTCTGACAGGCATGAAACTCGTGGGTGGACCCACAAAGGCTGCTGCAGAAAAACCTAGTGTCTCCACAACAGTGCCCACCAGCTCCAGACAGAGCCACGGAGAGATGCCTGCCGCCTTCTTCCTGCCTCCCAAGCAGCTCAGGAACTACCTGATGAACAGAATTCAAAGCCAGAACCTTAGCTGCAAGAGAGTCTGGGGGATGTTCCTTTTGGCTCTACAGATTCTCTAGCAGGGAAGGTATGCAAGAAGGAGGACAGAGCAGATGCCAAGTGCCAGCATGGCTACCATGGATGTTTTATAATTTATTATTATTAAAGTCTTGCTCTGTTGCCCAGGCTGGAGTGCAGTGGCACAATCTTGGCTCACTGCAACCTCTGCCTCCTGGGTTCAAGCGATTCTCCTGCCTCAGCCACCCGAGTAGCTGGGATTACAGGTGGGCACCAGAATGCCTGGCTAATTTTTGTATTTTGAGTAGAGATGGGGTTTCCACTCAAGACTGGCCAGGCTGGTTTTGAACTCCTGACCTCAGGTGATCCGCCTGCGTCATCCTCCCAAAGTGCTGGGATTATAGGCATGAGCCACCATGCCAGGTCTAATTTATTATTTTTAATTACTGTCTTATTGATGGGTAGTTTCTTCCCAGTCTTTTGCTAATATTGTATTTGTGGGAAGATACCTCTTGTCTCTTTTGCAGTTAAAACAGTTCTTGTGCTATTTATAGTTTCCCTAATATGCTTGTCTCCCTACCAGACTGGGAGATCCTCCAGGTCTGATTGATCTCAGCGTAGCCAAATCCCAGCCTAGCATCTGACAAGAGTGAGTGTGGATGGGTGGATGCATGAAATGAAGGAAGGACAGATGGATGAATGGATGAGTGGGTGTATGAATGAATAGACGAGCACATGGTGGGTGGGTGGGTGGGTAGGCGGACGGATGGCTGGGTAAATGAATGGATGGCTGGGTAGGCGGATGGATGGCTGGGTAGGCGGAAGGATGGCTGAGTAGGTGGATGGGTGCGTGATTCCAGGTCTGAGACAAACTGACCAAGAGTTGATTTCTGAGGCTCAGAATCATCTTGCAAAGGCAGTGAAAAGACCTTCACACCTGACTTCCTGGCTCCAGTTATACCCACATAAGGCCTAGATTTTTCACTGCCTGTTTTCTCCTACACCTCTTGCCCCTTCTCCCTGACTATACTTCAGCCTTTCTGAACTTCATAAGTTCTTTCCTTCTCTTTTCTGTGCCAATATGTGGGTTACAGCCCCTCTGCCTCAGAGATTGCTCCCACCTTGTGCCACCCTCACGTGTCTGCCAGAAGAAGCTGAGTTTATAAGCTCCACGTGAGACTGAAAACAGCAAGGGGCTTCGAGTAGCGGGCCTGTTTCCAATCCATGCGCTGCCATTTGTGAACCGTGTGATCCTGGGAAAATTTCTTCACCCCTCTGAAACCCCAGCTTCCTAACCATTACATAGCCAAAATAATCATTAAGGCTCAAGGGCTATTATCAGATGAGATAATGTTTATGAAAAGGGGCTTTGCAATCGGCCGGGCATGGTGGCTCACACCTGTAATCCCAGCACTTCAGGAGGCTGAGGCCGGCGGATCACTTGAGGTCGGCAGTTCAAGACCAGCCTGACCACCATGGAGAAAACCCATCTCTACTAAAAACAAACAAACAAACAAAAACAAAAAAACAAAGCCAGGCACAGTGGTGCATGCCTGCAATCCCAGCCACTTAGGAGGCTGAGGTAGGAGAATCGCTTGAACCGAGGAGGTGGAGGTTGTGGTGAGCCGAGATTGCGCCATTGCACTCCAGCCTGGGCAACAAGATTGAGACTCTGTCTCAAAAAAAAAAAAGAAAAAAGAAAAAAAATGAAAGGGGCTTTGCAGTCCAAAAATGCCATACAGTGGACCTTGCCTCCCTACCTGTCTCAGTTCAAAGGAGCCAAGTGAGTCTACAGGGCATCGCTCATTGGGAAAGGTCAGGCTCAGGGTCTGGGCTTCCTCAGGCAGTGCCCAGAAGCTATACTGCCATAGTGCTCCACCCCAAGGGTTCCTGAGTCCCATCTCCCTGCAGGGTTGAGGGGCTGGGCTTCCTGTGGACTGGCTATTGGGGTGTTTACTGCCTGGTACACTGTAGGTCTGGGTGAACAAGTGAATTCAGCAATGCAACAGGAGGACCAGAAGATTCAGGCCTCTTGATTGCCCATCGCATCTTAGAGGGACATAGTGTAGTCACCTCACCATCCCTGCCTAAGGTCATTTCACCATTCTAGCCTGTGAAGTTCATTCCATGGCATTAACCATGAGAGGCAGAATATGAAAACTCTTAACCATAGCGCCCCTCGAGTTTACAGCTTATGAGGGGCTTCCACATCTAGCGATGCGGCGTGGCACAGTGGTTAAGGACACAGGTTCCGTAGTCATATTGTCCTGTGGTTCAGATCCCAACTCTACTGCTTACTAGCTACGGGACCTTAAGCGTTTTGTTTGGGCTCCCTGGACCAATGAAATAATAATGTAAGGTTCCAAAAATAGCACCTGACGCATAGTAAGCTCTCAGCAAGTTTTAGCTCTTCATCTTAATGGTGGAAGGCAGGTCAGGCATTATTACCCCATCCCACAGACCAAGACACTGAAGCCCACGGATCACACAGCACATCAGGGGCAGAGCCAGGATGGGGCTGTCTTTGCACTGGGAGGAAGGATGGGGGCAGCAAGAGGGGTTATGGGTGCAGAGCTGGGCAGGGGCAAAAGAAATTGAGGAAAGAGGAGTTTGGGGAATGCCGGTGGCCTCTCAAATTGTTAGGGACCAACCCTTTCCCTCCCCCATCTCAGCTGACAGCTTTATAGAAACTTGAGTCTGGGGTCTTTAGCAATCTTGGGCTGGGCTGGACAGCGAAGGGTTATGGAGTCTGGGGAAGAGTAGAGAGGACTGGCAGGCTCTCACCTTCCTGCCGAGGACTACCAGCAGTCTCTTCTGGCACTCCTGAGCGCGGCCACCAGAGGGAGTGCCTCCCTTTCCTGAGACAGCCAGAGTTACGGTATCCGAGTTGTGAATAAGAGAGACGGGGAAGCGTTGGGCGGGGTGGGGGGGGAATGTCCCAAGGGGAGGTGAAGCAGTGGGAAATGGCAAAGGATGATAATCACTGCATCTGCAGTTGAAGACAGCTCCTTGGCTTGGCCAGTCTGAGAGGTGGTTATAGGATGCTGGGTGTTACACAGGACACTGAAGAGGTTGGGGAGCATATCTGGATAGGGAGGCTGTGTGTGTGTGTGTGTGTGTGTGTGTGTGTGTGTGTGTGTGTGTGTGCGCGCGCGCGCATGTCTGGGTCTCTGGATACAATTTCTCTTACTCCTCTCCCTACCTCCTGCAGAGTTTTTTGATGCAGAAGGAAGTGAGGTAGATTTGAACTTTGGGGGGCTCCAGGGCCGAGGGGTCAAGAAGCAGGACCCCCAAGTCGAACGGGATCTCTACCTGTCCCTGGAGGACTTATTCTTTGGCTGCACCAAAAAAATTAAGATCTCCAGAAGGGTGAGTACTCAGCTTGCTCCTCCCGGGAGCCACCTATCTCCTGCAGCCTAGCAGCTGCCTCCTCCCTTACCTGGGTGGGAGGACTCAGGGATGGTCTCTGATGGAATTATGGAACCTTAGATTCAGAGACCTAGGATGTTAGAATTCCGGAATCTGAAATTCGGAAGGGACAGTTGAAGACATTAGCCCGGTTCTTTCCTAGTGCAGGAGTGCCCTCTGCAGCCTTCCCAACTGGGACAGGCTCTTTCCCTTCCTTTCTTTCAGTTCAGCCCCATCCCCGTGGGAACTGGAAAGGCTCTGAATGGGAGGAGTCTCTTCTGAATTCTTCCTTCTGGGCTTTACCAGACCATATTCCCAGGATTTCATCAGGGTGCATGCCTCGTGCATAAGAAAGAACAGTGGGCATGGAGGGTGGGCTGGGAGATAGTCCCCAAGGTGACGGGTTGAGGAAGACCCTCAGTGCCTCATGTCTAGTCCTTGGCTTGGCCCTGTCCCATGGCCCAGCCCTGTGCCAGGCATAAGAGCAAGCCCCCTCCACCTTTGCCCAGCAGAGGAGATGCCGATGCGGCCATGCTTTCCACAGATGGAACCCATCTGGACATGCGACTGGGGAGTGGAAGGATCCCCAGTGGGGAATGCACTGGGGGAGGCTTAGATATGTTGACTTTCATTTCTCTCTTTGGGATTAAGAGACTTGCTGGAGGCTCAGGGCCGGGCCTCTGGGATTTGGAGAGAGGAATGGAGTACATTTTCACCATGTATCTGTTAGTGGCCAGGGCTGGAGCTGTGTGTTTGATCAACTAATGGTGACTGCTTGGCATCTCAGCCCCCAGCCCCAGTCTCATGGCATCCTCTGCCATACTGGAATCATAAGTTCTTGGTTGTCATGGCAACAGGATGGGAGTGGGAGTGGCTCAGGGCAGGCTCTCCCCATTGCTGGAGGCTCTTCCCATTGCTAGAGGATTGAGCCCAAGTACAAATCCCATAGAGCATCTTTCACGTGTGCAAAGGTCACCTGAGTGTTCATGAAAATCTGAGCAAATCTCGACTGTACTCATGGAAGTCCTAAGCAGACCTCCCCACACCTGATATGTTGCTATAGGTGCTGAACGAGGATGGGTACTCCTCCACCATCAAGGACAAGATCCTGACCATTGATGTGAAGCCCGGTTGGAGGCAGGGCACACGCATCACCTTTGAGAAGGAAGGGGACCAGGTGAGGGGGGAAGAAGCTGACTCAGGTCAGTCACTGAGCTCAGGCGGTGGGAAGACTGAGGAGGAAAGGAAGGGAAAGGAGGCAATACTTTTTCCTGCCCCTGTGAGCCTTGGTCTGTAGAGAGCCCAGTCTGCAGAGTGGGTGAGATGGGATCCCTAATGTTCCTTCCAAGGAACAGAGCCTTAGCCTTACAGTGCTTCTGTGAACAGGCAGCCCAGGGACTGTCCCCATTTTACAGAGTGGGAAATGGGGGCCCAGAGAAGAAAGGGACTTGCCCAGGGCAAGAACATGGGAGCTGAAAGGAGATCCCAGTCTGAACTCCAGTGTTTTCCTGATTTTCTTCAGTGCTTCTCAGAATAAAGCCCAATTACAGGAGCTACTCAGAAACCATTTAATCATAATAATTTTATTTATTTATGTATTTATTTATTTATTTATTTTTATTTTGAGATGGAGTCTCACTGTCGCCCAGGCTGGAGTGAGGTGGCATGATTTCAGCTCATTGCAGCCTCCACCTCCTGGATTCAAGCAATTATCCTGCCCCAGCCTCCTGAGTAGCTGGGACTACAGGCATGTGCCACCACGCCCAGCTAATTTTTTTTTTTTTTTTTTTTTTTTTGAGACAGAGTCTCGCTCTGTTACCCAGGCTGGAAGGCAGTGGTGCGATCTCAGCTCACTGCAAACTCCGCCTCCCGGGTTCAAGTTATTCTGCTGCCTCAGCTTCCCCAGTAGCTGGGATTGCAGGCATGCACCACCACACCCGACTAATTTTTGTATTTTTAGTAGAGACGGGGTTTCACCATGTTGGCCAGGCTGGTCTTGAACTCCTGACCTCAGGTGATCCACCTGTCTCGGCCTCCCAAAGTGCTGGGATTACAGGCGTGAGCCACTGCGCCCAGCCACCCAGCTAATTTTTGTATTTTTATAGAGATAGGGTTTCTCCGTGTTGGCCAGACTGGCCTCGAAATCCTGACCTCAGGTGATACGCCTGCCTCGGCCTCCCAAAGTGCCTGGGATTAAAGGTGTGAGCCACCGTGCCTGGCCTATTAATAATAATTTTAAATTAAATACTATTTAAATAAAAACATAAATTTATTGTCCAAGGCGTGCTGAATCCTTAAGTCCTGAGAAGAGGCATTCAGAGCCAGGGAAGACACATTCCTTTGCCTGCACTTTTTGCCCCCTTTCTCACCTATGAAACATCTACCTCCGGTCTGGCCTGGTGGCTCACACTTATAGCCTCAGCACTTTGGGAGGCCAAGGCAGGAGAATCACTTGAGCTCAGAAGTTTGAGACCAGTCTGGGCAACATAGCGAGACCTTGTCTCTACTAAAAATAAAAAATTTAGCTGGGCATGGTAGTGTGTGCCTGTGGTCCCAGATACTCAGGAGACTGAGGCAGGAGGATCTTTTGAGCCGAGGAGGTCAAGGCTGCAGTGAAGTATGATCATGCCACTGCACTTCAGCCTGGGCAACAGAGCGAGATCCTGTCTAAAAACAAAACAAACAGACAAAATACAAATAAAACATCTACTTCGAATAAACACGCTTCAAAACCCAGCTCCAGTGTTCCCCGCTCTGGGCAGCCTCCTCTGAGCCCCAGCCTCTGGGCCTCCCTTTATCATGTCTTGAGCGTGCTGAGGATTCACTGTCAGTGTTAGGGGCCAGTCTGATTCCTCTGTCCCCAGCGCCCAGAAGAGACCTCAGCAGAGTTTTGGTGACTTAATGAAGTTTGGGACAGGGGTGTCATGCCTGGAGTTACTAGCAAGACAGAGACATACGGGCAGTTGCCTGACGCCCAGCTTAGTGTTCCACCTGCCTGCCGTCTGAGGAAGCCTCTCCGCCCCTCCAGCTGAGTGTGTCTATTTTGGGCATGCTCAGTACAGAAGTAATTCTGGGGGGATTCATTTGGGTAAGCTTCTCGGGCTTCTAATCCATCTGGGCTATGGGGGCCAAACTGAAAAGGCCCTTCCAGAAAACCTGCTCTCATCTCCCCATTGTACAGATGAAGACATGGAGACAAGTAGAGGCAGGAACTTGGCCAAGGTCACACGGCCAACTAGTCCTTGTCACCTTTTGGCGTCCCCTGCCCAGGGCCCCAACATCATCCCAGCAGACATCATTTTCATCGTAAAGGAGAAGCTACACCCTCGCTTCCGCAGGGAGAATGACAACCTCTTCTTCGTGAACCCCATCCCTCTTGGCAAGGTGAGTGGGCAAAGTGCAGGAGCAGCGGGGAGGAGATCAGAGTGAGCCCTGCCTGCCCCGGCCTAGACTTGGCCTCCCCTCCCACAACCACCTGCCATCAGTCACTAAGCCCTGTGGATTCCACCCTCTAAATCACCATCCACTTGGTCCCGTCTGCTCATCTGCACCGCCTGGATCTGTACACCAGATCTGCGCAGCAGGCCTTCCTCCCCACTTCTCATCTCCTCCAGGCTCTTCTCCTTAGGGATCCTGCCACACACTCATCAGACCCTGCCACACTCCTGTCTAAACATCTTTGTGCCACTGGAGGCCCTCTGCGATCTGCTCCCTGCTTACTCCTTCCCCTGCACTCCCGCCCCTTCGCCGCATAGCACCCTGCCTGTGTGGCGCATTGTCACACCTCCGTTCTCATTTCTGCTGGGCCCTCTCCCTGGAATGCTGTCTATTCACCTGACCCTATAGGGTCCTCATCAATAGCTACCACCACTGCTACCACTTCCTGCCCCACTCCTGAATGGTTTAGGGGCCTCTCCTTGGCTCCCACAAACGCTTTTATTCTGTCTCCATCATTACATTTATACAACATCCATCTTACCTGCCAGATCCATCCATCTTTCCTGCCAGTGCAGAAAATTGCATGGGTCATTCACCTATTAGTTATTGAACAGCCTCGTCTCCCTTGTGCCCAACTCACAGTCTGGCACTGGACAGGTTCCTAAGGTGCCTTCTAAATAGGAGAGCCATGGTGACCCTCCTCAGCCCCACCTTTGGCCCTGACCCTCCCTAGGCTCTCACCTGCTGCACTGTGGAGGTGAGGACCCTAGATGACCGTCTGCTCAACATCCCCATCAATGACATCATCCAGTGAGTCCATCTGCCTTGGGCCCCAGTAGCCAAGAGAAGGGCTAGCCTGGGATTTAGGTGGTAGTGTGACAGGTCTGCCCAGTAGAGTTGTACAGGCTGCCCCCAGCAGAAGGGTTCCCTGCTGAGGGGATAGAGAGGACCAAAACTGAACCCACACTGGCCAAGCTGTGGGCTGCAATCACCTGGCAAAAGGAACATCTTTTTCTAATCCACACAAAGCCACTGCAGAGGCTAGAGGCCCCCATTGTTGGGCAACCCTGTAGCCTCCATGCCCTGCAAACTTCTCATTAGAGTTCTGAGTTGCATATCCTAAGTCCTTTTCCAAGAAAGGCCCTCTGCCCGTGAGGAGGTTTGCCTGGCAGCCCAGCACCCTCGCCCTCACCCCAGGGTTTGCTCACCTTTACTTCCCGTTTCCCATGTCTTAAACAAAGTTTCTGGAATCCTCCATCAGAGACTCAGTGTAAACAGGTTTTCAGGGAGCTCCTTTCCCAACCAGTTCTGGCTAAGAACCACTCCAGGTGAAGACTGCAGTGACTGTCCCCTTCCTGGGGTTATGTGAGTAGGGGTTATATGACAGGGACCTGCTGAGGTGCTGCTCTGGGATGCCCTCTATGCTCCTTTCTTTCATCCTATTTCAGCCCCAAATACTTCAAGAAGGTGCCAGGGGAGGGGATGCCATTGCCGGAGGACCCCACTAAGAAAGGGGATCTCTTCATCTTCTTCGACATCCAGTTCCCCACCCGCCTCACACCCCAGAAGAAGCAGATGCTGCGCCAGGCATTGCTGACATGACTGTGGTGGGCTGGAGCAGGGGTGAGAGGAGGCTAGCCGGGCCTCACCCCACCCCTACCCGCCACAGCCTCAGGGTGTGCAGGGGAGCCTGCTGCACAGATATGATACAAGGGTGGGATGGCGCAGGGCTTAAACTGACATAATAAAGATCTATTTCCTGTCCTCCAGCTACACCCACGAGAGTACATTGGAGAGGAGCTTCATATTAGCCCTTCTTGTGGGGCACAGGGAAGAAAGAGGCCTAAGGAGCTGAGTGCCTGAGTCCCTGTCCTGGCTTTGTGGGAAAGGGCAGGTAAGGGTTCAGATCCTCTGTGCTTCCACTTTGATAGAGTGGGGCAGGGCTGTGTGGCCTCTGAGGGTCTCTAGCTCTGCTCTGGCTTTTCATGACAGAAGAGACAATCTCTGGAGCATGATATGGTCACGTTAGAGACAGGAAAACTAAAGCACAAAAGAAAACATTCATTGCAGGTCACTCAGGCCTCAGTGGCAAAGCTGTCATCAGAACCTTGAAGGTGGCTGGGTGCGGTGGCTCATGCCTGGACTTTGGGAGGCCAAGGTGGGCGGATCACTTGAGGTCAGGAGTTCGAGACCAGCATGGCCAACATAGTGAAACCTCGTCTCTACTAAATACAAAAATTAGCCAGGTGTGATGGTGGGCACCTGTAATCCCAGCTACTCCAAAGGTTGAGGCAGGAGAATTGCTTGAACCTGGGAGGCAGAGTTACAGTGAGCTGAGATTGCACCACTGCACTCCAGCCTGGGCGAAAGTGAAATTCCATCTCAAAAAAACTAGAAAGGCCGGGTGTGGTGGCTTATGCTTGTAATCCCAGCACTTTGGGAGGCCGAGGCAGGTGGATCACCTGAGGTCAGGAGTTCAAGACTAGCCTGGCCAACATGGTGAAAACCCGTTTCTACTAAAAATACAAAAATTAGCTGGGCATGGTGGCGAGGGCCTGTAATCCCAGCTACTCGGCAGGCTGAGGCAGGCGAATCACTTGAATCCAGGAGGTGGAGGTTGCAGTGAGCCGAGACTGCGCCACTGCACTCCAGCCTGGGTGACAGAGCAAGACTCTGTCTCAAACAAAAAACAAAAAAAACCCCCAAAAACCTTGAAGGTCACTTCCCACAGACTCGCCCTGCGTAGAGAAGCAGCATAAAGAACACATGTGCACTGGAAACAGCTTTGGTTCTACCTCTCTGGCCTCAATCCCCTGGTCTGTGATAGGGTCCTGGGCAGGGTGATCTGGGAGGCAGGAAACCTGAGTTCTGACCCCAGCCCTGCCACTTTCTCCTGGGACCAGTCACCACACCTGTCTTGTCAGTAAAGCAGAGCCCATAACCCCCCTCACGGGCATGTTGTGAGGACAGAGAACATTGATGTGAAAGTGCTTGGTGAACTCACTGCTTAGATTCAGGAAGGGGTAACAGCACTGCTGCCCTCAAGGCCTGGAGTTCCAGCATCCAGGTCCAACTGGGCCTGCGTAGACCACACTTGCCTCCTCATAGTCAACACGTGTGTTATGCTCCCCTTCCATGCCAGGGAGGTTCCCTTCTAGAGTCTGAGCTTGGGTGAGGATAGATCCAGGCTTACGGGGAGTAGGTAGCCAATTCCATGGAATGCCTTCAGAGGTGCCAGAAAAGGCCCCATGTTCTCCAGATTGCTTGGGACTCCACCATTCAAATCACATCAGCTTAAGGTTTTTTTTTTAAAACGGGGGTTCAGTAGCACTTTTGTCATTAAAAAAATCACCATGGGCTGGGCGCGGTGGCTCATGCCTGTAATCCCAGCACTTTGGGAGGCCGAGGCGGGTGGATCACAAGGTCAGGAGTTCAAGACCAGCCTGGGCAACATGGTGAAACTTTGTCTCTACTAAAAATACAAAAATTAGCCGGGCATGGTGGCATGCACTTGTAATCCCAGCTACTTGGCAGGCTGAGGCAGGAGAATCACTTGAACCCAGGAGGCAGAGGTTGCAGTGAGCTGAGATCTTGCCACTGCACTCCAGCCTGCACGACAGAAGAGACGCCATCTTAAAATTAAAAAAAAAATCACCATGAAGTCAGCTACCCAAAGACCTTGAGGTGAAGACTCTGGGACCAGGGCTCCAGGAAGCATTTCAGCATAGTAGTTAAAAGCATGTGGGCTTTGGAGTCAGACACACCTGTTCTGGATCCCCAGTGTGCTACTAGCCAGCTGTGTGCCTTTGGGCAAATCACTTCACCTCTCTGAACCCGTTTCTTAAAGCTTACAGCCCCTACCTTGCAGGCCTTTCATGGAAACCAGATGGTGAGGCATGAAATGCTCTGGGGCAGGACTCAGGTGGAGTGGGATGGTGAGAGCTGCCCTGTTCTGAGGGCAAGCCCTGAATTGGAGTGCAGAGGCAGGGCTGTGAAATTCTTCAACTCTAGGTCTCCTGTAGGGCAGCAGGAAAGCCTACTCCTTATCTTGAAGGAAGCCTGGGTCTTGGGCCTGAAAGTCCCTTAGGAGATTCCTATTACCTTAGTGATCTTCAGTGTTACCTTGAATTAGGCAAAGCAGGGCTTATCATCTGCCCACTTAATAGGCATTAAAGGGTTGGGAACCAAAGAGAAGTGATCTACCTGTGATCAGAATGAATGAGACCCACTGGTATGTTTTCCAGTGGTTCCTACCACTGTTCCCAGCTCATTGTCCTAAGGCCACACCCAGAACCACAGTGAAGTTGGGTAGCCTCGTGTCTATTAAGGCTGCTGAATGAACCAGCTGACTTGCTCATGCCCACCCAGCCTGTTTAGCTTTGACACACACCTACCAAACTGCCCCTACTTCTTCCCGTCCAGAGCAGAGCTAACAAACAGCCTGCCTCACAGAATTAGTGTAAGAAGGTACATAAAGTAGTGGCCAGGTCCTCTGTATATGCCACCCCCTGCAGCCTGGCTGAGCTGCCTGTCACCTTTACCCTGGTTTGCCGACTTATGGCACTCAACCCTGTCCCTCCCGAGGACTATGGGGCCTCAGCTCAATTTGTCAAAAACTAAGAAGCTGAAGAATCCTGGGCCCTCGTTCCTTCTCCAAAAACCAATCTAACACCCTGGCCCTCAACCCAAGCACTGAAGGGTCTAGCCTCCAGCTCTGACCATTGGGCTTACGAGGCGGCGAAGCAGCAGTGGCTTCAGCGGCTTGAGGCTGAGGGAAGAGGGAGGGTGGTCGTGTTCTCAGGGCCTAGCTCCACAGCTGCCAAACAGGCTTCCCCAAGGACCCCAGCACTGGTCTCTGGGGGAGTCCACAAGGGGAAGGAGGACTGGGTCCCGGTCCCAGTTCAGTAGTGGACTTTCTGGGTGTTCTTGCCTGCATCACCTGTGTCAGGCCTCAGTTTCTTCAGACACCTACAAACTGGGTCTGAGTGACATAATTCTAAGGGCCCAGCCCTACAGGAGATGCCTTGGGATTCCAGGACCTCACAGTCTCCACTCCTTGAAATTGTAGTACCCCTGCCCACCTGCCTCTGAGTGCAGGTGATAAGAACAGGGACAGAGAAGCGGAGACCCCTGTGCAGCCAAGGCCCTGGCTTCTTGCGGCCTCCTTGGATGCCTAGCTGGGGCAGGGGCAGGTGGAGGGGGGTTGTGGTGGTGAGACTCCAAATGGAAAATATCCTGGCCAGGCACAGTGGCTCATGCCTGTAATCCCAGCACTTTGGGAGGCTGAGGTAGGTGGATCACTTGAGGTCAGGAGTTTGAGACCAGCCTGGCCAACATGGCAAAACCCCGTTTCTACCAAAAACACAAAAATTAGCCAGGTATGATGGTGTATGCCTGTAATCCCAGCTACTTGGGAGGCTGAGGCAGGAGAATCGCCTGAACCTGGGAGAGGTTGCAGTGAGCCAAGATTGCACCACTGCACTCCAGCCTGGGTGACAGCAAGTGAGACTCTGTCTCAAAACAACAAAAAACACAAATGGAAAGTATCCTCAGGCAGAGACCAGATGTTTGCCCTGCAGCCTCCACCCACCCTCTGTGGAGTCAGGGCCTGCTCCACCCAGTTCAGTAACATTTCCTCTGTGGGTGTGGCTGTGGCTGTGGAGGGTGGAAGGAGGCTGACTGACTTGTTCTCACAAGGTCTGGGACTTTGGGGGAGGTGGGTCTTCCTTCCATTTGTAAAATGGAATAAAATAAAGTCAACAGCATCTAAGAGTCTCATGTTCCTCTGGAACTGCAGGAGATGCAGGGCACACAGGAGCACTCTTGTTGTGCAGATAAACAGGCCTGCGGCTGGGGTGGGGGGTTGGGATGGCAGGCACTAGAGTACCAGATTCTGAGTAAGAGCTCAAGTGGCCCGGCAAAGGAAGGGGAGGCACTGCTGTCTCTCAGGTGGCTCCTGCACTCCCCATGTTAGTACAGGGCCTGGGTCTAGAGAGAAATGGACCAGATGACCTACACGGGCTTCAGATTGGATGCTGGAGGTGGAAGGTGGATCACACCCATTTTCAAAGTCAGGTGGTTCCTCCCCTGCCCACCAGGTACCAAAAAGGCCATTGGACCAAGACCTCTGGTAAGAGCTACAAGAGAGGGAGGAGACGCCAAGGTTGAGCTTGCTTTATGGATGACAAGTGGGCTAGGCTGGGCTGTCGGGGGCAGGACGAAGATTCTGGCTGAACTTTCCAAGGGACGGGACGCTTGGGATCCTGGCTGGTACGAGGCCTCCCACACTGTCAAATGTCAACTCCACCAGCACTGAGACAATGAGTAGATGAGAATGTAGAAAGAGGGAAGGTGGTAGGTAAAGGAGCGGAAGGAAGAGGTGGGGAAAGAGGGAAGGAGAGAAGGGAAGGAGGGAAGAGAAAGAAGGAAGAAAAGGAAAGCATGGCCCGGCTAGAGACAAAGCCAGAGGTGATCAGGTCAGCAGCAGGAGAGGCTCAGAAGGGAGCCTCTCGGGAAGTGCAGGCAGCCATGAGGGCTCGTTTCAGCTGCTCATAGGTGACGAACATCACCACGTTCCAGGAACCCAAGCGGAGAAAGGAGGGCATGAACCTAGAGGAGAAAAATCACAGGTCATGGGGGCACCTCCACCTCCCACTTCCCTCACTGGGCCTGGTATTCAATCCAACCCAGTTGCTCTGTCCCAAAGGAGGCTGGGAGGACTCAATGAACTGAGCTCACAGCTGCTTGGCTATAAGCATGAATTCCCTTTGAGTCTCCATTTAACACCTAATAAACAGTGATGGTAGCAATTCTGGGAGGAAGGAATTAAGGGGATAGGTGAATGCTGGTGAAATGCCAGGACCAGGATCAGAAATAGTCACACTTGGCTGCTACTCACTTCCAGGTGGTTCTCTCCCACCCACAATAGACATGCATAGCCAAGAGGCCTGAACTGGGTGGGGAGGACCAGAGGCTCACCCTTTGTAGAAGGCTCGGGGCCCCTCCTTCTGGAGCATGGTAAGGGCACAGTGGCCAGCGCTACTGTACTGGCCCAGGGCAGAGTTCATGTATCTCGTCTTGACCACGTCTACAGGGGAGGCGATGACAGTGGTGCAGAAGCCTGCCCCAAAGGCAGAAGTGAAGTGGCAAGGGAGGTCATCTGCCAAGGAGGAGCAGGCAAGGCAGTCAAGATCTTCACCCATCATTCCAGAAGGCAGGAGAATTACTTAAGTAGCTACGAGTTTTCATGATTTTAAAGAGACAGAGAGGCTGGGCACAATGTCTCATGCCTGTAATCCAGGACTTCTTTTGGAGGCCGAGGTGGGTGGATCACTTGAGCCCAGGAGTTCAAGACCAGACTGGGTAACATGGCAAAAACCCTGTCTCTACAAAATACAAAAATTAGCCAGGCACAGTGTGCATGCCTGTAGTCAGCCCCAGCTACTCAGGAGGCTGAGGTGGGAGGATTGCTTGAGTCAGGGAGGTCGAGGCTGCAATGAGCCATTAATCACCCCACTGCACTCCAGCCTGGGCAACCGAGCAAGACCCTGTCTCAAAAAACAAACAAGAGGATGGGGCGCAGAGGCTCACACCTGTAATCCCAGCACATTGGGAGGCCAAGGTGGGCAGATCACTTGAGGCCAGGAGTTCGAGACCAGCCTGGCTAACATGGTGAAACTCCATCTCTACTAAAAATACAAAAATTAGCCAGTGTGCTGGTGCACACCTGTCATCCCAGCTACTCGGGAGGCTGAGGCACAAGAATCGCTTGAACCCAGGAGGAGAAGGTTGCAGTGAGCTGAGATTACACGGGTAACAGAGTGAGACTCTATCTCAAAAAAAACAAAAAACAAACAAACAAAAAAACAAAAACAGACAGGGACTCCAGCTGAGACATCTTCTGAGGACCTGAAAGAGTCATTTTGCCAATCTAGCCTCAGTTCCTCAATGTGCAAAGTGGGAGCTTCATCCCAATTGGCTTCAATATGGCAAGTAAGAGATATCTTACTCTCCCTGCAAAGGGCAAATAGGATGAAAAGATGTGGTCTTCTGGTGTCAGCTAGACCCCCGCACCTGCTCCTGGCATGGGGGAAGGGTGAGACCCAGCACCGTCTACCTCATGACTCACCTGTCATGAGGTTGGCTTTCAGGAGGGCATCCTTGATGAGGTCATAGGTCACCAGCTCAGCACAGTTGACAATGGCATTACGAGCAACATTGGGAGAGGTCCCTGTAGGAGGAGGAAGATCCTGGGTGAGACCAGAGTATCGGGGAGGAGGAAAAGGGGAAGGGAAAACAACTGGTACACACCTTTCCAGAGGCCCCGGAACCCTTCCTCTCGGGCAATGGTCTTGTAGGCATTGACGGTGCTTTGGTATCTCCGACCACCTCCAGCCCGGGCCTGAGCTTGGAATCGGACCTTTACCACATCCGTGGGCTGGGCCACAGCCACAGCCAGGGCACCTGTGGTGCTGCCTGCTAGGAGGCGGCTCCCAATGCTGGCATCTGTGGGCGAGCCATGGGGTCAGTGGCCAGCGGGCTTGCACTCATTTTCTACCTCATCTCTCCTCACCAAAACCACCCTGTCACTGTCATCTCCTGCTTTTGGGAATAGAATCCAGAAGCTTTTGGCCTTCTACAAGCTCTTGCTGTAAGAACTCCTCACATCAAACAAAATATCCCTATGAATATCTACTTCTTGCTAGGGACATAGCAAGGGCTAAGACCAAAATGAAACTTGGTGCTTTCTTTCATAAAACATTTTCATTTACCTGCTCAACAGCCCTGAGAAATCACAATCATTTCCATCTGACAAATGTGAAAACCAAGGCTCAGAGAGAAGTGGCTTTCTGAGGACTGGGATTCCTAAGACTTGGGATCTCAGGTCAGCTTTACTTCTTCCTGCCATGTGATCTGGGAAAGACAACCTTTTGTCTGGGGCTCTGTTTCGTCATGTGTAAAATGGAGGGTTGGCATGGCATACTAAGGAGGTGAAAGGGAAGAACGCTGGCCTTAGAGACGAGTGTCCTGGCTCTCTACTGTGTGTTTTCTGGCTCTCTACTGTGTGCCCCTGGCCAAGTCCCCACTCTACCCACTGCCTTCCCACCTCAGTCTCTTCTTCTATAACACTGGGATGATACTACCTACTCCCAAGGTGGTGTTGAAGACTGTGATGGGATGACGCCCTGCTCAGAGCCTGGTATAGCCCAGGTGCTTAGGAACTATGTGGAGGACCAGGGCCCCTTCCAGTTCTCTGTTCCCCTGATCTTCCTAGGGATCGTGGGGCCTAAAAAACTATATGGCTGAATGAACTAAGATCAATCATCACTGAGAAAAAAGGGCCAAGGGGCCTACACCCTTGCTCCATACTCACGCTCAGAGCCCTTGGTGTAGAACTGTTTGACAGAATCATACAGGCCGATGCGGACAGAGGCAAAGCTCATTTGGCGCTGCAGGCCGGCAACCAGCCCATTGTAGAGGCTTCGGGGGCCCTCAGTACGCACCATGGTCAGAATGGTGCCCATCACACCGCGGTACTGGGCGCTGGCTGTAGCGCGCACTGGCCCCTGACTTTCTCCTTGGATCTGCAAGGCCAAGACAGGGTAGCTACAGGGATAAGCATGTTGCCCTTCCCACCTCCAGTCATCTCGATGCTCCAAACACTGGCCCTTGAGGGGTCTGTGTCTTTGGGGAGGGAACAGAGTAGACACCATCAAGACTCCCAGGCTTCATCCCCTCACCTGTAACCGGACTTTAGCAGTATCCAGAGGAAAGGTGATGAGATCTGCGATGCAGGCAGCTGTGCCAGCCCCAAGAAACTTCACAGTGGCAGTAGGGGGCACATCTGTGGCCTTGAACCCAACCATGATGCTGATTTCCTGCTACGTCCCAGGAGATGGAGAAAAACTGGAGACAGGGGCACCTTTAATCAGCAACAAGACGAGATAGAGGAACTCTGCCGGAATCTAAGCCAAGAGGAGAAAAGCCCCATTAGCCACAATGTCCCCAGGCCCTCCCTGCTCACCATCCCCAAACTCACCTTCCCTAATAGAACCAAGTCCCTCAGCAAGACTCCAAGTGGCCTCATGAGGGAAAACCGATGTGAGCTCGAGAGGCACTCAGTTAGGTGCTGGTGAAGCAATTCCTGCTCAAGCAGTCAATACTTCATGAAGGGCTCCCTCCCTTTCACTGCAGGGAGAGTCTGGATCAGAGCTCTCCTAGCGCTGCCTCATAAACAGCCACTGGACCAGCCCTTTGTCTGCTGTATGCAGAGATTTCACTGATGATGCCCACATTCCTGCTTCTGTGGTTCATCTGGAGAGCTGACAGAAGTAGAGAAAAGTTTCACCCAGACTAAGACCCAACAGGCACAGACCCATAGGCTTATGTTCTGGATGTCTAAGCAGGAATGGTTGCTACAGGTCTGGAACTTAAGTCAAGAAGAAAAGGTACAAGATGACTAATTCAATCCCTTCCCAGACCATCAGTCTAATTCTCTCCTCCAGCTCTCACACAGCTTAGGATCTCTAGAGTCATTGTTTTAGCAAGACTGCTTTGCTGGGCAGTGGTTCACTGAGATGCAGGAGATAGTATCTACTCTAGAGGAGGCTTACTGTTGGGCACAGGGGGTGGATGGGCAGATGATTCAAGCTGCATTTGGGGCTTACAGGACATACTCTCAAAATGCAAAGGAGGGAACAACTAATGCCATTGGGAGAGAAGGAAGAGTGGGTGATCAGAAAAGACTTCTTGGGCTGGGTGTGGTGGCTCACGCCTGTAAACCCAGCACTTTGGGAGGCTGAGGCGGGCGAATCACCTGAGGTCAGGAGTTTGAGACCAGCTTGGCCAACATGGCAAAACCCCATCTCCGCTAAAAATACAAAAATGAGCTGGGTGTGTTGGCACACGCCTGTATTCCCAACTACTTAGGAGGCTGAGGCAGGAGAATCACTTGAACCCAGGAGGTGGAGGTTGCAGTAGCTGAGATCGTGCCACTGCACTCCAGCCTAGGCGACAGAGCAAGACTCTGTTTCAAAAAACAGACAAACAAACAAAAAAAAACCTAGCACTTTGGGAGGCAGAGGTGGGAGGACTGCTTGAACCCAGGAGTTCAAGACCAGCCAGGGCAACATAATGAGACCCTGTCTAAAAAATATAAATAAAAATAAATTAGCTGGACATGGTGGTGCAGGCCTATAGTCCCAGCTACTTGGGACGATTGCTTGAGCCCAGGAGGTTGAGGCTGCAGTGAGCTGTGATTGTGCCACTGTGCTCCAGTCTGGGTGAGAGAGTGAGACCTTGTCTCAAAAAAAAAAAAAACAAACCCCAAAAAACCTAAGGACTTCTTAGATAAGGTAACATTTAGCTAGGTGATTTTGGGGGCTGAGAGTAAACTCTGGGGCATTAGACTCCTCCTGGCCTACCATGTGATGCAGAGAAAACTGCTCTCCTTTTTGTTTGGGCCAGTTTCCTTTCCTCCAACTTAGGGGGATCCGCACTTACACCACAAGACAGGCAGGGATGAGGGGTCCAGGTCAGAGCTGTGAAGAGTGATAAAGTAAACCAAAAGCCCCATTTTGTTCTGAGTTGGAACCACACCCTCCTCCACTGCCCCAGGAGGAAGTGAGCCCAGCACCCTAGTGGGGGAGGGTGACCTGCTTCTTCCCCTGAGCTTATTTCTTTGACTTCATTGGAGCAGCTGCTTTGAGCCCCGCCTGACTGCCTTTGTTGCTGGGGCTCAGGTGAAAGGGCTGGCTGGTGAAGGGAGTCAGCTGTGAACACAGAGACCCATGGAAACAAACAGCTCACCCAGCTTCCTCTTGGGCTTCTCACTCCAGGTGGCTGGGGCAAGCAGGGAAATGAAGATACTCACCATAGCAACTACACTGGGACCTATAGAACAGGGCCTGACCTTATTCCTGTTTCCCTCCAGCTTGCCCACGAGGCTCAGTGAAGACTGGTGCTCAAATGACAGATTGGGTTGATGAAGGTGCCCTCGGACTCCCCAGATTCCCTGCTCTGACACCCCCTTCCCCCAGGAGGTGCTCCACAACTTTCCCCACCCCAACGCCCAGGGCACTGTATTAGCTCAATCCTCAGAGCAGCCCTGCAAGGTGGCTGCCCTTATTTCCATGTGAGATGAGTAAGAGCCACACTTACAGGCACCAAAGCTGGTAGTATTTGCTTTGCACTGCTGCCCAGCTCCTCAGTTCGTTCTTGCTGTTTTATCAGCCCCAGGCACAGACAGGGCCTTTCACAAGGAAAGTTCTCACAGGCTGATTAAACAGTACTGAGAAGGCTCAGGCAAATGGTATCCCTTCTCTGGGCATCAGAGATATGATGACATGAGTCTGTCACATTCCTGACCTTGAGCTGGGTTGCAGGATGTTGTGAAGGCCAGAGAAGAATAAGACCCAGCTGCTGCCCAAAGACAAGTGCACAGAGGTTCAGCTGCCATATTCTGAATGTTGCCTTGGGCTTGCCAAGTCAGGTCCTTCAGAGGGTGGGTAAGATGGCCCTACTAACAGCAATTAAAATGCAGGACTAGAAATAGTTAATCCTATTTTACAGTCCCCAGCAAATAACCAGTTTCAGAGCCGGGCTGATTACCAATCTCGGTTTCAGGGATAGTCAAAAGCTAGCATCAATATGAAGTTAGAACAATAGGTTCCTGTCCTAGCTCTTCTGCTGGCTCCCGGGATGACTTGGGGCCAATCACTGTTACACGTGGGCCTCAGTTTTCTCCTTTATAAAATGGGGACCAAGATCCTTGGCTTGTCCGAGTCAGCTGAAGGGCCAGAATGAGAGCGGGGAGGTGTGAGAGTGCTCTGTGAACTGGAAAGAGCCACTTCACTGTCGGGGGTGGGGATGGTAATTATTTTTGTTAATGCCCTGCTGACTCCTGCCCCTAGACCACAGGGTTAGGAGGCAGCAAGAGACCTCTTCCTTGGACTGGACTCTTACCCGGCTTTGTAAGGTCTCACGGTGAGGCCTCCAAGATCAAGCTTCTCTAAAGGTGTCCCGTTCTTCAAAGCTGCCAGTGGCTATCATGGCCCGATCCCCTTGGTTTTCCATAGAAAATGGGTGGGAGACGAAACACCTAATGGTCATACTATGTGTCCTGTGGGTGAGCAAAGGCAGAGAGTTTAGAAAGGGCCACCTGCCCCAAGACACACAAGCCCACCCAATCCATGCCTTGGAGGGGGATGGGGAACAGGGCCCAGGGACTGGTTAAGTGCACACACTGGAAAGGGGAAAAGCAGGGCGGAAAATGAACCTAGGTACACTCCCCACCCCCACCCCACCTGCTTAATATCACAAATTGGTTCTCATCCAGACTTCTGCTTTTGTAACACTCAGTACTCTATATAAGCACCCCCTAGCACAGTCATCAGACTTTGGTGAGTGGGAGAGTTGTGAGGGGGTCACGATGGGACAGAGACTCTCCGGGAATTGGCTAGGTCCCAGGTCGGGCTGTGAGGAGGTTGGAAGGGCTGGGAGCCGGCCCTGCAGAGGCCAGATTGAGCAGCTCAAAGCCCACTAGAAAAAGCCCCCAAGCCCTGGGAAAGGCGGTGCAGGAACACTGCCTGGAGCTGCCTGGTAAGGGAGAGGTCATTGTGGTCATCGCTGATGGTCCCCATCCAAGGCAGGGCTCGGCATCGTGGTGGAAAGGAGGGAGTGAAAAGGTGGAGGCTCAAACGACAGCCAACTGAACGGGAGAGGGAAAGAACAAAAGGGACTAAGAAAAAGAGAGAAGAGAAATAAAGAACCAAGGACAGAAAGGATTAGCACAGGCCGGACCCGGAGGCTCATGCCTAAAATTCTAGGACTTTGTGAGGCCGAGGCGGGCGGATTGCTTGAGCTCAGCAGTTCGAGGCCAGCCTGGCCAACATGGCGAAACCCCATCTCTACAAAACACAAAAATTAGCCAGGCGTGGTGGCGGGCGCCTGTAATCCCAGCTACTCGGCAGGCGGATCGCTTGAACCTGGGAGGTGGAGGCTGCAGTGAGCCGAGATCGCGCCACTGCACTCCAGCCTGGGAGACAGAGCGAAAGCCTGTCTCAAACAAACAAACAAAAACAAAAAATAAAACCGAGAGAAAGAAAAGAGTACAAACTTGGGTGGGAGAGAAGGTAAATGGAAGAGCGGGCAGCGCACGCAGAACAAGCGTGGGGGGCGCAAAGGGCGCAGGGCTGGGGCCAGGCTCACCGAGCCGCAGGGAGAACACGGCAGTGCGTGCGGCTGTGTCTGTCGGCTGGCGGAGGGCGCGTCGGACGAGCCGGGCGAGCGTGGACAGTCAATCCCAAGGCGCGCGCAGCTGGGCTTCGCAGTGGGGCTCCGCGCAGGCGGCGGCGCGGCTTAAGCCTCGGGGGCGGGGCCCGGGGTGGGGCCTGCGGGGCGGGGCCGGGCCTGCCAGCTCCTACTTGGGTGCGGAGACCCTGGAGCAGCCGCCTTTCCGCGGGGACCGCCCCGCCTAGGGTTCTCTCCATGACTTTCTCCACTCCCGTTTCCGTGCGTCCCATCACCGCGTTTACTCCTTCGTTCCCCGAGATGGTCACTCCCTTGCCACTCCCCGCCTCTGCCTCACACTCTCTCGGGCCGCCAACCTCTGTGAGGATGGCAAGACTGACCGCCAGAAACAAGTCTTGTCCAGTCACACACCTCTTGCCTTCCCAGCCAGGACGGTTTCTAACAGCGTCCAGCGGGGCCGTGTCTTAAGTGCACTTCCTCTTTTATGGGCCCAGCCCCCCTACGCTGGGCAAACTACCCACCCTCCTGCGAGCGAGCGCGCGGCTGGCTCCTGCAGGGCGGGACTGGGGCCTCGCGACCGGCCTCGCTGTCGATTGGTTACAGCCGCCGCGTTGTCGGGGGAAGGAACCAATCAGAACTGCAGCAACAGGTGGCCCGGCAACCGACAACAGCCGTTGGGCTCGGCTGGGGTTCGCGCCTTCTCCCCCGGTGGAGCGGCCTGGCGTTTAGGGACCAGGACACTAAAGGCCCCGGCGGGGCGGGAGCACCCAGCGTGACCTCACGCTCCTACACACAGACAAGCAAACGGGCCGGCCCCCGCACGTGACAAGGCAGAGCCGGGCCCAGGCCAGCTGCCTGTCCAGCCCTGGGATGAGAAAAGGCGTCAGGAGATGGACCGGGCCTGGTTCGCCTTTAATTGGCTGACCCGTCCTGTGGGGGTAACTGACGCGTGAACAGCCAACAATTGGGCCCTCTGGCCGGGACAAACACGTGCGTTTGGGGAGTAGAAGAAGGCTGGTATTAACCTCCATTTTACAATGAGGAAACGGAGTCCCAAAGACGTTCAGTCATCTTCCTGATATTCACACACTTACACCCTGGTCAGGCCGGCGCCATATGTGTTTTCACCAGCAGAAGGGACTGCCAGGGAACAGCTGAGGGGACCAGAGCTGGGATGGGCCTGGATAATTATAGCGGAAAGAAAAACACGCCGAGCGCATGGTCCTGGCAGAAGCAGCGTGGAAACAGAAGTCAAGGCAGATTATTTCTGCCATGAGGAGATCTTGCCATGTAGGAAAAAAGAAAGAAAGAGAGGAAAGAAAGACAGAGAGAGAGAGAGGAAAGACAGAAAGACAAGAAAGAAAGAGAAAGAAAGAAAAGAAAAAAAAAAAGAAAAGATAAAGTTTTTTTGTGGCACTGTGAGTCTCCCTCCGCCAGGTTCTCTAGCTTTTGCGCTGAGCTCTGTCTGGCTGTGCATTCCGGAGAGGCTCGGCAAATTTGCTGTGAGATTGCTGAGCAACAGCAGAACAGATGCAAAGGCCTGCAGACCAAAAATTGTCCCCCTGGCTGTCCAAACAGGGAAGAATCTGGATTCCAGAAACTATATACTTATTATCCTTGGCAAAAGAGACTGTTAAAAGTGTGGACGCTGAAAAAGGGAAGTGGAGATCAACAGGACGCAGCATGAAGTCCTTAAGAAGTCCTCTTTGAAAAAGAAGATGTGTTTAGGGTTTAAACTATTTTTATTATTTATTTATTTAACTTATTTTTTGAGACAGGGTCTCTTTTTGTTGCCCAGGCTGGAATGCAGGTGGCTGGGTCTCAGCTCACTGCAGTCTTGACCTCCTGGGACAAGCAGTCCTACTTCTGCCTCCCTAGTAGCTGGGACCACAGGGATGAGCCACTAAGCCTGGCTAATTTATTTATTCTTTGTAGTGACAGGTCTCCCTATGTTGTCCAGGCTGCTCTTGAACTCCTGGCCTCAAGCAGTCCTCTGACCTCGGACTCTCACAGTACTGGAATTACAGGTGTGAGCCACTGTGCCTGGCCTCAAGAAATTCTCTTAAATTCTTTCAGGGTGGGGGCAGATCTGAGCAATCCTATAGACATACAAACGCTGCACCCTTGGATTTTTAGCAGCTTGCTCAAGTCATAAGATGTCCTGTGGACAAACTGGAGAATGTATGGGTACAGATAAATGTATTTTGAAAACTTGTAGCCAGGTGAGGTGGCTCACGCCTGCAATCCCAGCACTTTGGGAGGCTGAGGCGGGCAGATCACCTGAGGTCAGGAGTTGGAGACTAGCCTGGCTAACATGGTGAAACCCTGTCTCTACTAAAAACACAAAAATTAGCTGGGAGTGGTGGTAGGTGCCTGTAGTCCCAGCTACTCGGGAGGCTGAGGCAGGAGAATCGCTTGAACCCGGGAGGCAGAGGTTGCAGTGAGCTGAGACTGCGACATTGCACTCCAGCCTGGGCGACAGAGCAAGACTCTGTCTCAAAAAAAAAAAAAAGAAAACTTGTTTCACATCTATTTCATTGAATTGTGTGTACACGCACACACACACACGTTTATTTGTAAATATTTTGTATGTGCCAATAACCAAATTGACAAAGTTTCATATATTTTGTTGTATAATTTTAACATCATCCCAGGAAACAATCCACTGTGCTTACAGTTTTGGAACTTCTAAATCTTTAAATACAAACTGTATTTGAAACACTGAAAATGAAAAAAAGACACAAGAATGAAAGAGAAAACTGAAAACATTAGGTAATTAAAACCAACATGAGAAAAACTTAAACATTTCCTTAGTCTCTGATAATTTCTGCTAAAAATATTGAGTAGATTGGCTATATTAACTTTCCTCCCCTCATCAAACAAGCATACAGTTATCTGATTGCATTTTTAAAAAGAAGTCGAATTTGATAACCATACATTTTAAAAATTGACATGAAACTGAATTTCTTTAAACCCACTTAGCAGATGAGATGGGGCACGGTGGCTCACACCTGTAATCCTAGCAGTTTGGGAGGTTGAGACGGGTGGATCACTTGAGGCCAGGAGTTGAAGACCAGCCTGGCCAACATGGCAAATCCCTGTCTCTACAAAAAATACAAAAATTAGCTGGGCATGGTGTTGCACGCCTATAGTTCCAGCTACTTGGGAGGCTGACATGGAGGATCACCTGAGCCTGGGAGGTTGAGGCTGCAGTGAGCCATGATTGTGCCACTACACTCCAGCCTGGGTGACAGGGTGACCCTGTCTCAAAAAAAATAAAAAATACCTGTAATCCCAGCACTTTGGGAGGCCAAGGCGGGTGGATCATGAGGTCAAGAGATCGAGACCATCCTGGCCAACATGGTGAAACCCCATCTCTACCAAAAATACAAACATTAGCTGGGTGTGGTGGTGCTTGCCTGTAGTTCCAGCTACTTGGGAGGCTGAAGCAGGAGAATCGCTTGAACCTGGGAGATGGAGGTTGCAGTGAGCTGAGATCCTGCCACTGCACTCCAGCCTGGCGACAGAGCAAGACTCCGTCTCAAAATAAAATAATTTTAAAAAACCTCTTAGGAGATTAAATTGAATCATATATTTGTTAATTTCCATGTCCATTTTGATGTTTGTTCTTCTTCTTGGTTTTGGTTTCTGAAAAAAGGGTGGGGAAATGGTGACACAAAGCCAGATGGAATTACTTGACATGTTTGTCACATAATTAACCATTGTAAATGAATTTTCCTTGGTAACACATCCTGGTTTTTTTTTTTTTTTTTTTTTTTTTTTTTTTTTTTTTTTGAGATGGAGTCTTGCTCTGTCGCCAGGCTGGAGTGCAGTGGCGCGATCTCGGCTTACTGTAACCTCCATCTCCCAGGTTCAAGCGATTCTCCTGCCTCAGTCTCCCGAGTAGCTGGGATTACAGGTACGTGCCAACATGCCCAGCTAATTTTTGTATTTTTAGTGGAGATGGGGTTTCACCATGTTGGCCAGGATGGTGTCTATCTCTTGACCTTGTGGTCCACCTGCCTCGGCCTCCCAAAGTGATGAGATTACAGGTGTGAGCCACCGGGTCTGGCCCACTCCTGTATTTTAAAAGTTGAATTGAAAAACACCGAGTTAAAAGATGCATTTTTTCCCATGAATTGTGTGAATGAAATAAAGCTAAATTCACAAAGCATGAACATAGCAGTCGTTCTCATTTTGCTCACAGTTCTAAAAATGCAAATTCTCCCCAACTTCTTAGAGCATGACAGGTGTTCAGCTGGCAATCTTTCCATGTTTACATAAGAAGCTAGAATTGATCATATGGTTTTACAGTGCTTTCCCGAAAATCTGTGATTGTTATTAGATTCTGTTTTTCCTCTATTACCTCTCAAAGGAAATAAAGCAGCAAATTACTCCCATATTTTGAGCTCTAAATTCAAGAACTACTAAATTCACTGCCAGCCATTACAAATATTCAGTTCTTTATTAAGGTACACATCATTACAGTAGGCTCAGAGTGCTAATACATGAATAATAACTATAGTTAGTAAAACAATGCAAATGGAGATCAGTTTAAAGAGCCCTGATCAATGAAGTAATTTTCAGTTGAAAAATTGTAGAAGGTATGTATTAAAAAGCACTAGTAATATATGATAATTCAATAAGTCATTGAATGAATAAGTGAGTGAATCCAACTAACTAGAAATTATTTTGATATATTAGTTTTCTTTTGTTTTTTCTTTTTTTTTTTGAGATAGAGTTGTGCTGTGTCGCCCAGCCTGGAGTGCAGTGGCAAGATCTTGGCTCACTGCAACCTCTGCCCCCCAGGTTCAAGCGATTCCTGCCTCAGCCTTCCAAGTAGCTAGGATTACAGGCACACACACCACGCCGTGCTAATTTTTTGTATTTTTAGTAGAGGTGGGGTTTCGTCATGTTGGCAGGTTGATCTTGAACTCCTAGCCTCAATAGATCCACCCACCTCGGCCTCCCAAAGTGCTGGGATTATAGGTGCAAGCCACCACACTCCACCTAGTTTTCTTTCTTCTTCTTCTCTTTTTTTTTTTTTTGAGACCGAGTTTCACTCTTGTTGCCCAGGCTGGAGTGCAATGGCATGATCTGGGCTCATTGCAACCTCCACCTCCCGGGTTCAAGCGATTCTTCTGCCTCAGCCTCCCGAGCAGCTGGGATTACAGGTACCTGCCACCACGCCCAGCTAATTTTTGTATTTTTAGTAGAGACAGAGTTTCACCATGTTGGCTGGGCTGGTCTTGAACTCCTGACCTCAGGTGATCCACCCGCCTCGGCCTCCCAAAATGTTGGGATTACAGGCGTGAGCCACCATGCCTGACCCTAGTTTTCTTATATAGACAAATCTTTATAACATACTTTTAGTTTGTACCTCATGTAAGACAAAGTAGAAAACTATTATATTTACCCCAAACACAGCACTGACAATGCCAACCTGGTGAAAAATATTAAATCCTATATATAGGCCATAGTATTGAACACATGCTTATATTAACACTCTTAAGGAAGACATATATTTATAGAAGTTAAGCCACACATAGTCTGTTTTGTTATTTTATTTTTAGAGATAGGATCTCGCTCTGTTGCCGAGGCTGGCGTGCAGTGGTATGATCATAGCTCACTGCAGCCTTGAACTCCTGGACTCAAGCAGTCCTCCCACCTCACCCTCCTGAGTAGCTGGGATTAAGGCACGAACCGTGCCTGTAGCTACTATGTGTAGTGCCTGGCTACAACTAGTTTTATAAAGAAGAAAAAGTCAGCGAAAGTATTTACGTAATAACATTCTCAAATTCTTTGTTTGCCAGATATCTTATTTGGTCACTTAGGGTACAGTTTTAAACTAGTAAACAATTATACTATAGAAGAACTAAATTAAATTATAACATGGCACAGACTTCCTAAGGAAGGTAACTCAAAAAATCTAAAAAGTGATACCAATTATTCTAATTAACATTTGAGATACTAAACGAATTAATGACCGAAGACAACCTTTGAAACTTATTCAATTATTTTTTAAAAGTGTACTAGCATAATTTAAGATCAGTTTGCCTAAGATTACATCTTTTATTTTATTTTTATTTATTTATTTTTAGATAGGGTCCTGCTATATCACCCAGGCTGGAATGCAGTGGCACAATCAGAGATCAGAGTTCATTACAGTCTCAAACTCCTGAGTTCAAGTGATTCTTCCATCTCAGCCTCCAGAGTAGTTGAGACTACAGGCGGTCACCACCACACCCAGCTCATTTTAAAATTTTTTTGTAGAGATAGAGTCTCGCTATGTAGTTCAGGCTGATCTCAAGCAATACTTCCCACCTCAGCCTCCCAAAGGGCTGAGATTACAGGCATGAGCCGCCATGCCTGTCCAGAGTATGTCCCTATCGTAGGTTTATCACTAGAATGTTTTGATCTGAAGACATAGCCTTAATGATTCTAAGTGTAATTCTAACCTAAAACCAAAATCCTTGGTTTGTAAACATCAAATTCAATTTTATATTAATTCGTACGGCAACTAAGCAAAAAACAATTTTTTAAATGTCCATATTATTTATTACACTAAACAATTCTGACCACCAACAACCAAGAGGGGGCGGAAGGGAACAACACTATGAGACCATGAAAACATCTTGCTTCTCAACAAACTTTCCTCCCTCGCTTTAACATTTTTGAGGATTCTTTCCCAAACCTATTACATGTATATTATGATGGTTACGAATTTCCCAACTCCGCCACTCCTTTCAGTGCACTATTATTATTATTATTTTATTTATTTATTTTTTTGAGATGGAGTCTCGCTCTGTCGCCCAGGCTTGAGTGTAGTGGCGCGATCTCCGCTCACCACAACCTCCGCCTCCTGGGTTCAAGCGATTCTCCTGCCTCAGCCTCCCGAGCAGCTGGGATTACAGGCATGTGCCACTGCGCCCAGCTAATTTTTGCATTTTTAGTAGAGACAGGGTTTTGCCATGTTGGCCAGGCTGGTCTTGAACTCCTGATCTCAAGTGATCCACCCGCCTCAGCCTCCCAAAGTGCTGGGATTACAGACGTGAGCCACCATGCCTGGCCATCAGCACATTATTTTTAATATCTTAATTAAAGGGGAAAAAAATCACCTACTTGTAATAACAAAACAATGTTGGAAACTGCCATTAAAACACAAGTGAAAAACAGATCTCTTCCCAGACTCATGGGACTATACATTTAGGAAGTACAAAAAATATTAAAAATTAATTACACTCAATTGGATACATTAAATATATACAGCTTTTTGTACATCAATCATACCTAAATAAAGTGGTTTTAAAAACAAATGAGATGGGCCGGGTGTGGTGTCTCACATCTGTAATCCCAGCACTTTGGGAGGCTGAGGGAGGTGGATCACTTGAGGCCAGGAGTTAGAGACCAGCCTGGCCAACATGGTGAAACCCCATCTCTGCTAAAAACACAAAAATTAGCTTGGCATGGTGGCACACGCCTGTAATCCCAGCTACTCCAGGGGCTGAGGCATGAGAATCTCTTGAGCCTGGGAGGTGGAGGTTGCAGTGAGCTGAGATGGCGCCACTGCACTCCAGCTTGAGTGACTGTCTCAAAATAATAATAATAAATAAATAAAAACAAACGATCCAACCCATACCACCAACTGATAAAGAAACAAACAAATGAGTTATGCAAAAGAAAAGTCATGCTTTTTGGTTTAATCCTACTTTAAGAACACTAACAATAATTTGCATGCAATACATACAGTTCCCTAAATACAATAGATGAATTATTTTATAAACACATCTTATTTTTGTTTATGGAGAATCTGCTAATAAACACATTTTCTATTCAATGTATTATGTATGTATGAACGGGAAGTAACCTTAAACATTTTAAATACTGGAAATAAACAAAAGAATTATAAGCGAAGTAATACAAAGTGCCTCGTGTTTTTATCCTGGAGCCAACCTGTAGAAATCGCAGGTTATTAAGAGAACTTTGAAAAATATTGTTTTGAATATTGAAAATCACGTGTTTTGGGGAAGGAGAGAATTAACAGCCTTTCTTTGCCTTAAAATACTTTACATTTTATGTAATTGCAATTGGAATGAAGCAGCTCCTAAAGTAGTCAGCATTTGGGTCAGGGAAATTGAGCACAGGAGCAAACTGCTGTTTGTTTTCTCAACTCCTTCACAATGCTCAGCTGAAGAGGTTCCCACTTAAAAGAGCTGCTGAAGTCATTTCTATTTTAGAAGGGTAGTATGAATGAGTTTTTCTATGTGTTAACTAGAATTTATGGTAATTTGTAAAATGTTTTTCCATTTTTAAACTTAAGAGTCTTTTATGTCCACCCACGAAGCAGCAGTCACTGCTAGGGGTCTTAGGCTAACATCTGCCACCCCACCAGTCTGCATGGCCCATAAGCAGGTGTGGAGAGGACCAGAGTTCACCTGTCAGCAGCACCACGGAATCAACTGTCCAGCCTTTCTGCCATTAATTACCACAGATGTGGTCTTTTTCCTGATATTCTATTCCCACCGGAGGCTTTTTATTAAGACCTTGTACCTGTGAACGCATTTGGGGCACAACATATTGTCTTCAAGTTATGGGGTGGAAAATTGGAGGCAGGAAGCAAAAAGAGTGCACTCACTCTCCCTTCTTGCTTTTCTGGAACCCAGCCTTGTCCAGCATGAAACTGGAGGTGAAGCCAACCATCTGTGTCTGCAGGGAGTCTTCTCCCATGGACACTAGCCACCTGACACCATGGGCCTCATGTGGAGATCCCACTGCTTCTGGTGCCTTCTCCCTGGCTGCATTTCTGGCCCAGGAGGCCAGCGAAGCTTCTGGGGCAGAAGTTGTCACCACAACTGTATTAACTCCCTCAAGGAGAGCAGCAGACTCTTCTAGGTCAGGCAACCCCTCCCCAGGGGGAAGAGCTACTTTAGGAGGATGTGTCTCCTCAGGGCTTTTCGGGGTAATTTCCCCTTTGTCCACCTTTGATTGTTTTGGTAATGATTTCCGGATTCTGGCCTCTTTTGCTGTGCTAGGAAAATTCTTTTGATTTGGATAGGCAAAGGCACACAGGAGCTTATTTCTGGCACCAAAGGCCTGTGTGGCTTTGCCTTTAATTATAGACACCAGGCCCACAGAATGTCCCGGTGAAGCCGATTAACAGGTTGCGGTTTAGAGGGTAATGAAGGGATTAGTATCTTCTTCTGAGGTTTGGGGTTGTCCCTATACTCTGCTGCCTTCTTTGGGCAGAGCGCTTTTTCACCTTTAGCAGAAATTTGTCCTTTGGTTCCCTTTGCTGATGTTCCTGGCAAAGCAATTGTGTTTGGTTGATTAGAAGCCTGCTGATCCTCTTCCCTCGACTTCTCTGAGGAGGTCCACTCCCTGCCTTTTGCCTTCTCCATACTCAGAGAAGAAGCAGAGCTTGGTCCAAAAATTCTCAAATCAGAGTGAAGGTATGCAGTAACCATTGCTACCAAGATGGAAACAAATTCTATTTTTCCATAAAGAGTCTATGAAAAGAAGCCGGGCACAGTGGCTCACACCTATAGTCCCAGCTACTCAGGAGACTGAGGCAGGAGGATTACTTGAGCCCAGGAGTTTGAGTTTAGTCTGGACCACATAGTGAGACCCCACATCTCTAAAAAAGTTTTAAAAAATTCTGTGAAAAGAAAAACCCAAAGTGAGCAGCAGACTTACATATAAACATTGTTTAAAAAATACGTTTGCCAAAAAAATGGAAATAACCCAAACATCCATCAATTGCGGAACGGATATATGCTAATAAAATGTGGTATATCCAAGCAATGAAAAGAAATGAAGTGGCCGGGCATGGTGGCTCACGCCTGTAATCCCAGCACTTTGGGAGGCCGAGGCGGGCGGATCATGAGGTCAGGAGATTGAGACTATCCTGGCTAACACGATGAAACCCCGTCTCTACTAAAAATACAAAAAATTAGCCAGGCGTGGTGGTGGGCGCCTGTAGTCCCAGCTACTCGGGAGGCTGAGGCAGGAGAATGGCGTGAACCCAGGAGGCAGAGCTTGCAGTGAGCCGAGATTGTGCCACTGCACTCCAGCCTGGGTGACAAAAGCAAGACTTCATCTCAAAAAAAAAAAAAAAAAAAAAAAAAAAGAAGAAAAGGAATGAAGTACTGATCCATGCTATACCGTGGATGAACCTTGAAAACATTATGCTAAGTAAAAGAAGCCAGTCATGAAAGACCACACATTGTGTTTCCATGTATATAAAATGTCCAGAACAGGCAAATATATAAAGACAGATGGTAGGGCTTCAGGGAATGGGGAGATTGATCATGACAGCTAATGGGTATGGGGGCTTGTTTTTGAGGCAGTGAAAATGATCTAAAATTGATTGTGGTGGTGGTTGCACAACTCTGTGAATACACCAAAAATCACTGAATTGTACACTTTGAATGGATGAATTGTATGCTATTATGAATTATATTTCAATAAAACTGTTAACAAAAATGGGGAGAAAATGGCTAGGTGTGGTGGCTCATGCCTGTAATCCCAGTGGTTTGGGAGGGCAAGGAGGGAGTATCACTGGAGCCCAGGAATCAAAAACCAGCCTGGGTAACATAGGGAGATCCCCCATCTCTACAAACAATTAAAAAAAAATTAGCTGGGCATGGTGGTGTGTTCCTGTGGTCCCAACTACTCAGGAGGATGAGGTGGGAGGATCACCCAAACTACTCAGGAGGTTGAGCCTGGGAGGTTGAGGCTGCAGTGAGCTGTGATCACACCACTGCACTCCAGCCTGGGCAACAGAGCAAGACTCTGTCTCTAAAAAATAAAAGGAAAAAAACCAAAATGCAAATTAGACCATTTTAGCATTCTCTCTCTCTCTCTTTTTTTTTTTTTTTTTTGAGACAGAGTCTCACTCTGTTGCCCAGGCTGGAGTGCAGTGGCACAACCTTGGCTCACTGCAACCTCCACCTCCTGGGTTCAAGCGATTCTCCTGCCTCACCCTCTGGAGTAGCTGGGACTACAGGCACCTGCCACCCTGCCACCACACCTGACTAATTTTTGTATTTTTAGTAAAGGTGGGCCAGGCTGGTCTTGAACTCCTGACTTCAAATGATCCACCCACCTCGGCCTCCCAAAGTGCTGGGATTACAGGCGTGAGCCATCACGCCTGGCCCATTTTAGCATTCTCTTAAGGATGGCTTGTTGCACTTTGAATAAATTCGAAATGGGTTAAAAAGCAATGGCCAGGGGCAGTGGCTCATGCCTGTAATCCCAGCACTTTGGGAGGCCGAGGCAGGCAGATCACTAGGTCAGGAGTTCCAGAACAGCCTGGCCAACATGGCAAAACCCTGTCTCTACTAAAAATGCAAAAATTAGCTGGGCGCAGTGGCACATGCCTGTAGTCCCAGCTGCTGGGGAGGCTGAGGCAGGAGAATCGCTTGAACCCAGGAGGCAGAGGTTGCAGTGAGCCGAGAACATGCCACTGCGCTCCAGCCTGGGTGACAGAGTGAGACTCCGTCTCAGCAAAAAAAAAAAAGAGAATGTTTTCCAAGGCTTCTTATAAGATGTCAGTGAATCTTCATAGTCTGAGTTGAGACCTTCTAAAACAAGCTTAAGGTATGCTGATTTGCATACCTTTGACAAGGTTTAACTGACATATAATTTATAAATATCCACAGGAATTTTTAATGTTCCATCATATCATTTCTCAATACTGGATGTTCATTATTTTATACTTTTGCTACTTTAAATACCAAGAAGCCTTTTCACAGGAAGAATAAAATCTCCATTATCCTCCAGAGTGTAGGTAACAAAATATAAAATTAAACCAGATATACGTTTGACAAACTAACACTGAAAATCACCAATATTCATAATGACATTACATTAACAGTTATCATAAAGTCTATAAAGTTTATCCTTAGATTTATAAAAAAATGCAGATTGTCTCAAGGTAAAAAATATAGTAAGTGCTTTTTGCTAAAAAGCTCTTTGTTGAATTAGGATGTGTTATAATGATCAAGACACCAGACAATACTAAATGTTACCCAAACTACAACACAACACACTTTGAACATAATTTAAGCCTAAATTATTCTGCACCAGCAGGATTCTTTTTAGTGCCTGGCAGTATAAAGCTTTATAAAAGCTTTATAAAAGCTTTTTTCTTAAAGGTATTTAAGAAAAAAGACACAAAGTGTGAATAACAAGTTATGTGAAAAAATTAATACCAATGAAGATTAGCAGAGAGAAGTGAGGAAGGTGACCATCTCTCCATTCTGATAAGATGCCATCTCTACACATTACATTCTTTTCAAGAAGTAGAACTTAAGATTTAGGTAAAGAAAACTGGAAAAACCAGCCTGAATGTGAATATCTAGTGTTAAAGCAACTTCCTAGAATGAGTGAATAAAGTTAAGAACATATATAGTTTTCTACTGGAAAGTAAGAGTTTTTGAAGGCTTTCTTTTCTGCAAGGTTTGTAGTGTGACTGTTTTCCTACAAACTCATTGAATTCAGAGCTAAACAGTGGAATTACAAGCATAGCTCAAGAGGAACCCAGTCTGTTTCTGTTGTAGCAACCTAAGATTTCTGTTATGTTGTTGAATCTGTGGTTGCTTCCTCAATGACCATTTCAAATGACTCTGTCCTCTCATCTGCTCAAAGCAGGAAGTCAAATCAGGTTTTCCTTTTTCATCAGAAGCATCACCACACTTTCTGTTTGCGTTGATGAGATGGTACAGCATAGTGACATATCCACAGAAATCCTGCAAATCCACTTTGCTCCTTAATATTTTCAATGCTTTATGGGCACCCATACGACACAAGCAAACCCTCCTTGTGGTTTTATTTTATCAAATGGAAAAGATTTCTCTCATCCCATCATTCAACATTGTAAGCACATGTGAAGCATGAATTACTTCAAGGATCATAACTCCAAGACATAATAATAATATAGCAAGAATAACAATGGTGAAATATATCTTGACAGTTTTTGAGATCTTGTACCTTTGGAAAGTAAAAGAAACGGGGATATGACTTCTGGGGATGACTTCTGGATAACTGGTCTAATATGCTGAGGAGCTCTACTCTGATGGATTTGGATTCATTGGTGAGAGGAGCCATGAAACAAGCAATATACAATTCTTGTTTAGAACTCTGCTGCAAGTCACAGGTTCCAAATCAAGAAGGCTTTCACAGTGTAAGATACTGAGAAGAAAACCACAGTTGGGTTGTTTTGGTTGTGTGACCACATCACTGAGACACAGACACAGTGTTGTGCTTTTCAGAGTAAGTGCCTGATCAAAATTTCTCTCTATTCTGTACTTCTTTTTCACCAGTGTTTTGAACGTTTTGTAGGTCTTTAAAAAAGTTGTCCAGATGCTCATATGAAAATTTGCAAACTTTTGGTGAAAGATTTCCCATCATTAAACCAGCAAGAGTAGCCAGGCATGGTGGCTAGCACCTGTAATCCCAATGACTTGGGCAGCTGAGGTGGGAGGATCACTTGAGTCCAGAAATTCAAGACCAGCCTAGGCAACAAAGCGAGCCCCTGTCTCTATAAAAAATTTTAAAATTAGCTGGGCCTGGTGGCAGGTGCCTGTAGTCCCAGCTACTTGAGAGGCTGAGGCAGGAAAATTGCTTGGGCCCAGGAGTCTGGAGGCTGCAGTGAACCGTGATCACGCCACTGCACTCCAGCCTGGGTAACAGTGATACCCTGTCTTAAAAAAAAAATCTGTTTACAGACTGAAGCAACCCTCCCGCCTTAGCCTCCTAAAGTGCTGGGATTACAGGCATGAGCCACCACTCCCAGCCTAAAGTAAACTTTTATTGAAGTAAAACACATATAAAACAGTGCACAAATCCTAAGTATACAGCATGAATAACTTTTATAAAGCAAACATCCCTGTATAATGAGCACACATGAGGAAACATTACTAACACCCAGAAGTGATCCTTTGTGTCTACCATCAGTCACTATTCACCCAAAGAATAACCAGTATCCTGATTTTTAACACCAAATATTTGTTTTACCTGTTCTTAAACATTATATAAATGGAATGATACTATATGTACTATTTTGTATCTTTCACTCAACGCTATGTGAGATTCATCCAAGTTACATAAAATTGTAGTTCTTTAATTTTCATTCAAAAATAGGCAGAGGCCTTAAATAGACATTTCTCCAAAGAAGATATGCAGATGGCCAATAACCACACGAAAAGAGCCATAGCATCACTAATCATTAATCAAAATCACAATGAGAGACCACCTTACACCCATTAGGATGGCTACTATCAAAAACCAGAAAATAAGTGTTGAAGAGGATGTGGAGAAACAAACCCTTATACACTGCAGCTGGGAATGAGAATGGTCCAGCTGCTATGGAAAACAGTATGATGGTCCCTCAAAAAATTAAATATAGAATTACCCATACCAAGTGATTCCATGATTCCACTTTGCACTTTGGGTATATACCTAAAAAAATGGAAAGGAGGTTTCTTTTTTTTTTTTTTTTTTTTGAGACAGAGTCACGCTCTGTCGCCCAGCTGGAGTGCAGTGGTGCGATCTCAGCTCACTGTGAGCTCCACCTCCTGGGTTCAAGCAATCAAGCGATTTTCCTGCCTCAGTCTCCCCAGTAGATCTTTAAGTCTGCAACCCAGACATACTGACAGCTGACAATCCCTTGGATGTACCTTGAATGTTTTTATCTTGTTTCTGGGCCTTTGCACGAACCATTCCCTTTGCCTAGGATGACTTTCACTTCACTTTCTTTACCTGCATAACACCTACTTGACCTTTAGGTGTCTTCCTCCAAGAAGCTTCCTGGCCCCCCAACCACGTCAGATGTCCCTTATCTGTGTACCTGCTCTTGGGTGCTTTGTATACATCTCTATTTGTAGCTTTGATCACCCAGTATGGTGACTGATGGTTTGCAGTTTGTCTTTCCTGCCCCACCATCCTCCACCCCAGTGAGCTCCTTGAGGACAGGACTGGTCTTGTTCACCCCAGCACCTAACATAACATATGGCTTACAATGTATGTACAATGAATATTTTCATTCATGTAGCACACTGTGCTTTTCAAAGTGCCCTGAAACAAACTCATCTACAGAGCTATAATAATATTTCCTTACTTAACATTCATTCCTTCTGAATAAAATATTCTTTTAAAAAATATTACCATTACTTAGAACATTTATGTGAATTATCCATTATGTCACAAATGGGACTGAGTCAGGACTCTAACTATCTTATTTCTGCCTGACGTAGTAGAAGAGTTTGAGAAAAAGCAGATTTCTTTTGAATCACTTGACTGGAGGTGGTGTCTCTAGGAGTGTGGTGGGGAAATGGATGCACAGAACTTAGAAACTGGCCTCAGCTGGTAATCTGACCTTCTCATGAATTCACATCCCTGGTTTCCTGGAAGCATAAATTGAGGCCAGCGTTGAAAAGGTGTTCACACCGTAGCCTGGGAGAAACTGTCTCTCAGTCCTTGGAATCACAGAACTAAAGAGCTTCAGGTCATCTGGTTGAATCTCTGCCTTTAAGAAGTGGGGAAAGAGACTGGGAGCAGTGGCTCACGCCTGTAATCCCAGCACTTTGGGAGGCTGAGGTGGGTGGATCATCTGAGGTCAGGAGTTTGAGACCAGCCTGGTCAACACAGTGAAAACCCCATCTTTACTAAAAATACAAAAACTAGCCAGAGTGTGGTGGCACGCACCTGTAGTCCCAGCTACTCGAGAGTCTGAGGCAGGAGAATTACTTGAACCTGGGAGGTGGATGTTGCTGTGAGCCAAGATTGTGTTAGCCTGGGCACAGAGCAAGACTTTGACTCAAAAAAAAAAAAAAAAAAAAAAAAAACAGTGGAGAAAGAGATCTAGTATTTTGGCCTAGAAACCTCACAAGACTCACCAATCTCGTTTTTCTTTCTCCAAAAGGCTAGACTTGGCAGTTAGTAGGCTCCTGATCCCAGTCAAAATATCTCTTAGAATATTTTATCCTCCCTTTCTCAGAATCATCACCTGAATAGCATCCTCTGGGTAGGTGGTGTGTTAATATTGCCATATGGAAATTCATGGAAGATATAGTTCCTGGCCCTAGAAACTTACAAACTGAGACCAGGAGTTTGAGAGTGATTTGCACATGTCAGTCAAGTCAAAAGAAAGAGAAACTCTTTTTTCTTTTTTCGTTTTTGTTTTTTGAGATGGGGTCTCACTCTGTCACCTAGGCTAGGGTGCAGTGGTGTAAGCTCGGCTCACTGCAACCTCCGCCTCCTGGGCTCAAGTGATCCTCCCACCTGAGCCCCCCGAGTAGCTGGGACCGCAGGCACATGTCACCATGCCTGGCTAAAAAGGGAAACTTTTAATTTAATTCAATTCAATTTAATTTTTTTTTTTGAGACAGAGTCTCGCCTAGGCTGGAGTGCAGTGGTGTGGTTTTGGCTCACTGCAACCTCAGTCTCCTGGGTTCGAGTGATTCTCTTGCCTCAGCCTCCCGAGTAGCTAGGATTACAGGCACCCACCACCATGCCTGGGTAATTTTTTTTTTTTTTTTTGGTATTTTTAGTAGAGACAGAGTTTCACCATGTTGGCCAGGCTGGTCTCAAACTCTTGACCTCAAGTGATCCGCCCGCCTCGGCCTCCCAAAGGCGTGAGCCACTGCACCAACCGGAAACTTTTCAAAATATGGGTTTTATTTGAAAACCAAGCCAGACATTAAATCAAAATAATTTTTTTTTGCTTTTGTATGAACTCTCCAGTTTGTATACATAGATGATCTCAAGTTATAATTTAAATTTAGGAAAGTGCTGAGGATGAATAGATATTTGCTTTTTCCCAGGGTCTGGAGGGGTAGGAGCAGGGAAGCAGGGAAATGACATTACCGAGTGCCTCCTGTATGCCAACGATTTTTTGTTTGTTTTGTTTCAGAGAAGGAGTTATGCTCTGTTGCCAAGGCTGGAGTGCAGTCATTATTCACAGGTGCAGTCATGGCTCACTGCAGCCCTGAACTCCTGGGCTCAAGCAGTCCTCTCGCTTAAGCCTCCCAGGTAGCAGGTGCACACCACATGTCTGCTTTCCAAGGAGTTTTAGGTCAACCCTCACAACAAGCCTGTGAAGCAGCGATTGTTATTCCCACTTCTCTGGTAGCACACCAAGGTGCAAGGATTCCCTGTGGCTAGGTGGTTAGTAAGGTAGAATGGGGTGAGGTTTGAACCCAGTCCTGACAATCATCAGAGCTACGCAAGGCTGCCAAGAAGTAGAAAAAGATAGTGGCATTTTGGGTCCCCATTATCAATTCGAAAAATGTACAGTCTTAAGCTTGGAAGTCGGTCGTCTGGTTCAACCCTGCCTTTTGCAGAAGCAGGAGCTGGAACCCTAAAAAAATAAAGCTACTTGCCTGCAATTAAACAGGGTGAGAGGGGGCAGATGAAGTGTAGGCATGTGGGGCTGGATCTGGCCCTGCCCTGACACATAGAAAGCCTGAAATAGAAGTGAGAAAGGAAAATTCCAAGAAAGAAAAGGCAGAGAAGTGGCTGTTCTTACTCCCACACCTAAGGTGTGAATTCTTTTATTGAGTCATAATAATTTCCCGAGAATTCCGAGTCCTGCTACTTTAGGTTCTTGCCCAGGAATCCACCTCTTTTCCCCCAAGCCCAACAATCCTTTGAGGTACTCATGATTGAGCACGTGGTGGGGGGGGTGGGGAAGAGGCTGCATGGGGGTGGGGCTCCTGTGGCTTCACGTCATCCACTGTCACCTCTGGTCCCCAAGTCTCTGGATCCTTTGGTCTCACCTCTAGACAACCGTATCTTTCAAACCTTCTTCCCTGGCAACTCCTCTCTGTCCCGACAAAATCTCTCCCAAGGCATTGTCCTTGTAGTTAGATTTACACAGAGCTTTTGCTTTTATAAAGTGCGTTCATGCCCAGCTTCTCACTTGCATGTCATAGCACCCCTGGTGAGGTGGACAGGGAAGGGATGGCTCCCTCCATTTTGTAGGAAAGTGGGGGCTGCCCTCTTGATTCTTCAGTGTCGTCAGGGAATATTTACGAGCCCCAGCCTCACATGGGCCCAGCAGGGCTTCTTTAGCACAGGCTCTAGTTTTTTCTCTTGTTCCTTGGGTTTCCTAGAATCCCAAAGGACTCTCTGTGGCAGACATATTACAAATAGGCTGATGATGCATGTGTGATGGTGCAGCTGCAGTCGCCAGCTCTGTGTTGCTGGGTGGCATCCCTCCAGGCTCCGTGGCTGATCTCCCACTCCATTGTGGGCCCCTCCTGTCCCGTGCTTGCCATCCTTCCTGCTTATCATTCATTATCTAACCAGATTTCACGGGGATACACGTCTCCAACCTTCCATTTTGTCCAAATGGATCTATCTTGGTTTATTTTCTCTTGCCTAAATATTAGGCATGCCTAATGGGTTTCAAAAATTAATATAATTTATTTTCCATCTTGTCAGTGCAAAACAAAGGTGTTCTTGAGGCATGGCAGTGAAGACCAGAATCCCTCCTCCTCTTCTACTTCTGTTTCTTGAATCAGCAACAAGTAAACAACAGTTCTGTAAACATGTGTGGGTCTGTGTCCATGTGTGCGTGGATGCACCGTTTTCTTCCATTCTTAACTGGTTTCGGACACGTTAGCTACCAGTGGCCTTCTTGTCTTGTTCAAAACGGTGATTCCCGTAACATCTGGACTTTCATCAGGGCCCGTTTCAGCTGCTCATAGGTTACGAACATCACCACGTTCCAGGATCCCAAACGCAAAAAGGAGGGTGTAAATCTGATAAGAAAAACAACCAACACATCAGGTGGAGTGCTAGGGGACCACAACAGATGCGTGTGCTCTCCCGGGACACAGTGGTAGTGCCAGAGGATCCAGACTTCTGTTCATCACAAGCATTTTCTGAATCCTTTCAGTCTCTCTCTCTCTTTTTTTTTTCTGCTAAGGGGATTTAGGCAGAAGTCGGAGTAAGGAAAAGAAAAAAAAACTCACGTTTTGAGACGGGTTACTGTGTTAGGCAGCGAATTCTCACAGTTCTATAAGGCAGCCATGTTGCTGCCAGGCTCTTTTTCACAAACTGAGGCCCAGGGAGGTTAAGAGCTCAACCAAAGACCCGCGGCTAGTAAGTGTCAGAGGTGCGGTTCTAACTCCACCCTGCTGCTGGGTGTTTCTGGGCTCAGTTACACCCCGGGTGGCCAGCCCTAACATGGCCCCCTGCCAGGACATGGAGAAGCTTGGGCTTTGCAGGGTGAATACAGTGTGGCACCAGATTTAGCTCTTCTCCAGAGAGGCTGGCTGTGCTGTGATGGCATAGCACAGTGTCCCCACCTCAGCTGTGGCTCACCAACTCAGGGAGAAGCCCACGAGCTGGCCCCTGCCCCTCTCTCAGCCTGTCCCTCCACTAACCACCTCCTGGGCCCGTTTGCTCCCACCAGACTCAGCTAGTCACATTCCCTGACGATGCCAGGCCCTCTTCCCTCCATGCCTTTGCTCCTCTTGCTCCCTCTGCCTGGACTGTCCCCTCCTCTCCTCCTTCCCTGGCTGGTTGCTCTTTGCTCTGGAGGACTCAGTTTGGGCACTGTGACCTCATGCCATGGGTTTTCTTGACTCTTGTGGGGACGATAGTACTGTGACAACAAATGTAAACTCTGGAGTCAGACCTGGGTTCAAATCCAAGCTCTCCCAGTTTCTAGCTTTACAATCTGGACACATCACTTAATCTTTCTAAGCCTCAGTTTCCTTATCTGTAAAATGAGGAAAATAACAGTATCTGCCTTGTGGAGTTAGTCGTGCAGATTAGGTGAGTTAATGTTGGACAGCACTCAGCACAGGGCCCAGCATCAATACATGCTCAGTAAATACCACCAACTTATCTGCTGCTCTTTGAGGGAGGCATAACCCAGGGCCTGGCACCTACAAGATGCTCCAGAAATGTTGGACAAGTGAAAGCAGTAACTGAGACAAGTGGCTACAGCTGAAGACTGTAATGATAGAGGCACTTTTTGGAAGAACAGTCTGTCAATTGCAGTATAGTTTTATTACGTCATTCCCAGGCTTGAGAACCTATAGCAGCTCTTGTTCACTTGTTGGGTCCATTCTAACACTGGGCACCAAAAAACTCTCTGTTGAAGACATCAGCAGTGGGAGGTGAAAGGGCCAAGCTAAGAGCTTACCAGTAGGATAAACAACATTGTTGGGTGTGGTGTCTGACGGTCAGGGTTTGAGCCATGGCTCCACCATTTTAACCTGTGATCTTGGATAAGTTACTTAACTTTTCTGACACTCAGTCTTTTCCTTAGTTAATGTGGACAATACTACCCAGTTCAAGGGGCTGTTGGGATAACGTGTGTAAAGTGCTCAGCACGAGGCCTAATATAGAGTGACTTAGCTATTGTGATAATCATAAACAACCTGCATTATCGAGTGCTCACTTTGTGTGAGGGACTGTGGGAGATAAAAGATGTCTGAGCCACTTTTGCTGTCAGGAACTTGCTCTTTGCATGAGGAATAATTTAAGCTTACAAATACTATAATACAAGGCAGGAGGTGATAAATACCATAAAAATGGTATCAAATGGCATTGCAGAAGTTCCCAGGGAGGAGGAAAAATTTACACCTGAGAGTGTTAGGGAGGAGGTGGCATTTGAACTCGTCTTGAAGGATGGCTAAAATTGACAGCCTGTAGATGATGAGGCATTCCACGCAGAGGGAGCAGTAAGTGCAAGAAAACGTGGAGCGTGTGGAGACAGTGAGGAAGGCACTGGCCATGGTCAGTGTGGTGCTCAATGGCCATGGCAGGAGGTCCAGGAGGTCTCAGGATTGCTAACTTCCTCTGGAGACAGGCAGTACTTTTACCTATTCCTGGAGTGTTTGTTCTCAGTCAGGCTTCCCTAACCCTCCCCATCAGGTATGGTTCACTTTTTTTCTTTTACTTGCATGGTTTTTTAAACTTCTTCTTTGTGGCATTTACATCTGTACTCTTCACCGCTACATCCCAGGTTGACCCACGGTAGCCACATTCGAAAAGAAAGAAGCCCCTGTTCTCTGGGAGGGAGTGCTGGAGGCAGGAGGAGGCTCACCCCTTGTAGAAGGCTGTGGGGCCCTCCTGGGCCACCATCTTTATCATACAGTCGAGGGGGCTGAAGTACTGGCCTGGAGGTGAGTTCATATACCGGGTCTTCACCACGTCCACCGGGGAGGCCACCACTGTGGCACAGAAGCCGGCTCCAAAGGCAGAGACAAAGTGGCAGGGGAAGTTGTCTGCAGAGGAAGGACAAGCAAATATCAAGGAGTGCATTTGTGTTCTGTCCATATGTATGCACTGTTTGTCCCCAACTCAACCGTGAACTCCCTGAGCATAGGACAGTATTTTCCATATCTCTCACAGTGCCCTGGGCTAAGCTCTTGGTAAGTACTGGCAAACTAGGCCTGGGCTGACCCAGAGGTGGGAGGTCATGCAGGCTGTTTGAGGAAACTGAAGTCGGAGAAGGTGAGAGACCCCTGCTTAAAGCTATATAGTGAGAGGTGGTGCTGGGACTGGAACCCAAGTCTCCAGCCTCCCAGCCCAGGGGTCTTTCCTGCTTGTCACCACAATGTACCTGGCACTTTTTACTAGGCACTGCTTCTCTCTCTGCTCCTTCTAAAACCCAGTTGCCTCTGGGTGGTGCCCACTCCACGGAGTTCTGGGTTCCCTCCCTGCTGAGGGAGAGCTGCCTGCCTGGAGCCCAGGGCCTCACCAGTGAGCAGGTGGTAGTCCAGCAGCTTCTCCTTGAGGATGTCGTAGGTCACCACCTCAGCACAGTTGACGATAGCATTCCTCATGATGTTGGGCAAAGTTCCTGTTAGGAAGGCGGTGGGGAGGGATGTGAAATGGGTGGGGAGGGAGGAATGGGAAATGGGAGAAATGGATGCCCTGGCTGCAAGGCCACAGGCCCCAGTTTTGGGGCCATAGTGCCCCATTCCAATGGTCTCAGCCAGAGGATCCCACCCCAGCTGAGCAGATTCCACATTTTCCTTTCTAGGGTTAACAACTCTCAGATTATCCATGTTTTCCTCAGAGACAGAGAACAGAGAGGCCCACTTGTGTTCATTTGGCCACATTTGGAGGGTGATCTGCAATAGCTGTCAAAATTAAAATATGCTTCCTGGAGACCCAGCTGCAGCCAGAAAAGAAAGTCATTCAGCGAGAGGCTGAGCTCTTGGAACAGTGACAGAATGTGGTGCCAGCAGGGCCCTAGGAAACTGTCAGGATCAAACCCCTGGTTTCACAGGTAAGGGGACAAGCTCTGAAGGGTGCCCAACAAGTGAGTGAAGAGCCCCAACTTAAGAGGTGTCCTGCCCTTAAACTTCACTGGGTCAGTTTCTTCTGCAAACGTTCCTGCAACCTCTGGTTCACATGCGGAGAGAGTCCTGCATTCATCGCAGTGGCTGCCATGTGGACACATAGGGAGCCCTCCAGCTTTGCTCCCAAGGAAGCGCTTCCTCGTTGCATCTCCCTGCGCCCACTCCTCACAGCTGTGCTTTTCTGATGCTCCTCTTTTTCCTCCGGACCCTGCTTGAGGGCCCCTCCCCTTCCGTCTCCACACACCTAGAGCCTGTTCAGTCTTCCAGGCCCAGCTTAGGTGTCACCTTCTCTGCAGAGCCCGCCTCTGGAGCTCCACCTCTGGGGCAACCCCTACCACATCCTGCCTGTGGTGTAGCTGCATCTTATCTCCTCTGCTGTCCTCATGCCCTGGGCGTGTGAAGGTGTCTTAAGTTCATTTCTGGCTCCCTCACATCAACCTGCACATGGCAAAGGGCTGGTAAAATGAACTGAGTTTGAGGGGCTGTGGCAGGTCAGTGAAGTATCTTTGGTTGTGATGTTCTTTCAGAATCACTGGAACACGCCATGCTGGGAGTCCCCTCCTTACTGGGGTCCCTGCCCCAGCCTGAGGGGAGGGAAAGCTCTGCCTAAGACCGCCTGCGTCCAGAGTCCAGACCTACCTTTCCACAGGCCCCTGACTCCTTCCTCCCTGGCGATGGTTCTGTAGGCGTCCATAGTCCCGCTGTATTTTCTGTCGCTCCTGGATGGCCCGAGGTGTATGCTGGCCTGAAATCGGACCTTCACCACATCTGTGGGCTGGGCACAGGTCACCGCCATGGCTCCTGTGGTGCAGCCGGCCAAAATCCGGGTAGTGAGGCTGGAGTCTGGGAGGGGCAGAGAGAGTGGGCCAGTGTCCCCTACTAAGCAGCATTCTGGGACATGCTGTTCTCTGCGGGGCTGCCCCTGCAGCTTCCTTGATGTCCACTCAGAGCCTCCTCATAAGCGTCCGGTACCAGCTTCCCCCCGCCCCTGGCTCTGCCTCTGAGTCTAGACTTCCCTGGTCTCTTGACCCACACACTTTCAGCCACCCCTTTGGTGTTCAGGGACCTGGTCACTCACTGTCCGCGCCTTTGGGGGTGTACACCTGCTTGACGGAGTCATAGAGGCCGATGCGGATGGAGGCGAAGCTCATCTGGCGCTGCAGGCCGGCCACCAGCCCATTGTAGGGGCTGCAGGGACCCTCAGTCCGCACCATGGTCAGGATGGTGCCCAGCACGCCACGGTACTGCACGAGCCGGGCCGTCTGGACCGCCTGGTTCTCCCCCTGGATCTGAGGGACAATAGCAGGGGGTGAGGACTCAGATGGGAAGGCAAGAAGGGGCTGCGTGCACAGGAACCCTGCTGGGGCTGGGCCTGCCTGGGCTGGGCCTGAGAACAACCATGCTGGTCACAGTAGAAATCACTGGTGTCTGCGCAGCATTTTACCATTCACAAAGCAGTATTATACACATGGCTTGGTGTTTGATCCTCAGAGTAAATCAGAGGGACAGATTGTTTTTCCCATTTTATAAGTGCTTCGTGGCTTGCCCAAGGTCACACAGTTAATTCCTTACTTTTACCTCACACTGCATGCTTTACAAAGTAGGGCCTAGCCCATAAAGGGCCCTGTCACATCATGCAAAGAATTTAGATTTTTTTGTCCTGGTGGATGGTGATGGGAGGAGGCAAGGAAGGGTCCTAAGCAGTGGAGTGAGAGTCTTTGTCAGGGTTCTGAGGAAGGGCATGTGGGCACACGTCATGGGGGATATGGGAGAGAACTAGCCCCTCCTTCCATGTGATCAATGACCCTTGGCCAAAGGGCACCTACCTGCAGGCGGACCTTGGCTGTGTCCAGTGGAAAGGTAACGAGGTCAGCAAAACAGGCTGCTGTGCCTGCCCCCAGGAACTTCACAGCCATGGTGGGAGGCACGTCTGAAGGCTTCAGTCCAACCATAGTCCTGGAAGGCTCTGCCCAGTCCCTTTAGGGCCGAGAGGAGGTCCAAGGAGAGAGGCTGCTCCACAGCCCTGGGCTTCAGTGCAGCGGTGGGGCTGCAGGAGACAGGCCAGAGAAGGCTGATGGAGTGATGTCTGGCCTGGCTCCCAGGAACTCTTCCTTACCCAGGAGGGGCTTTAGAAAGGGAGAAGCCTGGGTGGTGCCATACTTAAGCTGCATGAATTTGGCCTATAAAAACAGGTCACGTTCCTATCCCTTGAATTTTGCAATCCTCCTCCTGACCCTCTCCCTCCCCTCCTTACCAGGGGTAGGCAGAGCTGATAGTGGTACCTGCACTGTATACATGAGGAAACCGAGGCTCAGGCATCTGTTCTCCCCAATATCAAACTGCCTCCTTTTTTTTTTTGAGACAGGGTCTCACTCTGTTACCTGGGCTGGAGTGCAGTGGTGCAATCCAGGCTCACTGCAGCCTTGACCTCTTGGACTCAAGTGACCCTCCCACCTTCAGCCTCCCGAGTAGCTGGGACTACAGGTGTGCATCACCATACCCAGCTAATTTTTTATTTTTTGTAGAGATGGGGGTCTCTCTATGTTGCCTATTCTGGTCTTGAACTCTTGGCCTCAGCGTGATCACTTGACAAGAGGGGCAGTTCTTAGCCACTCATGGAAAATGGAATGGATGGACACAGACTCAGGTCAAAAGCCCACCTTGGGGCTCTAGAACTTTCAGTAGTCAAGCTGCGGGAGGAGGGAAAGCCACAGTGGTGGGCACAGGTAGGAGGTGCCTTGAGGCCAGCACTCCCCAATCTTCTTCCCAATTCACTCCAGACTCTCCTAGACCCCTAGCAGCCGGCAGCCTTTTGCCACTGGCCAGTGGAGGAAGAAGTCAAAAGTGGAACCCTCATTACTGTAGCTCTGCTGGGGCTCCTGAGGGATGGGATGTTCTAGTCAGCATGGTCCATTAATGTTTGCTGGTTGCTTCTTGCACCAGATACCGTGCTGAGGGCTTTACAGACACTGACTGATTTGATCCCTTCATAAGGCTACAAGTAGTTGCTATTATTATTCTCATTTCGTAAACCAGGGACCTGAGGCTTCCAGGGCTTTTGCTAGTCATACAGCTGAAGTGCTGGAGCTGAGATTGGTGCCCACGTTTGTCTGACATCTGAAGCTGCGCCTGTTTCACTGCCCAGAGAGTCTCAGACTTCAGGGAGAGCCAAGGATCCCTTGAGCTGCTTGTTTACAGAGCAGATTCTCAGCTCTCAGCCCCAGAGATCCTGATTTAGGTCTGGGGTGGGGCCTAGGAATCTGCATTAGGAAAACTCCCTGTGGTAGCTCTGAAGCAGGGGAAGAGGACCCCATTTTGAGACATCCTACCCAACACCAGTTGCCTCCCCAACTCCAACCCACCCTCCCGGCAAAGCCTTCACAGCAGCCCACTGAAGAAGCCGTCTGGGCAGAGACCATGGGCTCTGTAAAGCTCCCAGCAAATGACCTGGACCACGCCTCAGGTCAGAAGTGCCCCTGTCATCCCTACTCAGGAAGAGGGCCCCAGGGTCCTCATGGAAAGAGAGGGATTTATGCTCTGGAGGAATCGCAGAGATTCTGGGGCAGGCAAAGAAGAAAGCCACTTCCTGTCTATGGGGATTTGCAAAATCCCACCAGAGGCAGCCAGCAAGGCAAAGGGGGTGTGAGTCTTGAGTGAGTGACACGGGTGTTGGGTTCAAGCCCCAGCCCTGCCACAGTACCCTCATCAAGGCCACAGCTCCCTTTTCATAAGGTGGCGGCTGGACTGAATCTCTATCAGGTCTGACAAGCTGCAGCTAGTGAGCCCTGACTGCTCGGGGCTGCTCTCTGAAAGCCTCCAATGAAAGGGAGAACAAGGAGAAGGGAGAGGGAGAGGGGAAGGGATGAGGGAGGAGAAAGGGGTCTTACCTGTGAGTCCTGCCACGGCAGGGGCAGCACAGGGGCTCCCTAGGGCTCCATCCCAGGAGGTGGCAGCAGGGATTGGATGGCCCCTCCTTGTCATTCACTGTTGTCTCTGCTGCTTCTGGCTTGGCACTGGTCTTATACACACGGGCTGACCTGAAACCTTATCCTAGAGAAGTTGGTTGACAGCCTGATCACTTGACAAGAGGCTGGCTGGTGAGGGCAGTGAGGTGAGAGGGGAGGTGAGTGAGTTCCAGATCTGGTTCAGTCCTCTTGACTTGGGGTGCTTTAATATAGCTCCTTTAAGCTGTGGACGCTTCCTTGGTGACAAGGGTGTATGGGGGGGTGGACCTGCTGCCACTTTTGAGTCCAAAGGTCAAGGCCTCCCACGATAGGCTGGGCACAGCTCTCCCAGGTCTCTTAATAATAATGTCATTTCTTTGTGCCTACTATGTGCTAAATATTTTACATACATTACTACTATTTTCCACAATCCTATGAGATAGGTACTATTAGGATTCTATTTTTTTTACTTTTTTTTTTTGTAATTTAAAATTTTTTAGTAGAGACGAGGTCTTGCTGTGTTCCCCAGGCTGGTCTTGAACTCCTGGGCTTAAGTGATCCTCCTGCCTCAGTCTGGCAAAGTGCTGGGATTATAGGTGTGAGCCACTGCACCCGACCTAATTTTTTTTTTTTAAATTACAGATTTATTGATATAGAATTCACATACCGTACAATTCATCTGTTTCAAGTGCACAATTCAAATGGTTTTTAGTATATTCTGAGTGGCACAACCATCAACACAATCTATTTTAGAACATTTTCATCACCCTCTCACCCTGGAAAAACTCCATACACATTGGTAGTCACCTCCCTTCCCCCGCTCCCCAGCCTCAGGCAACCACTAATCAATCTACTTTCTGTCTCTATAAATTTGCCTGTTCTGAACACTTCCTAGAAATGGAATCATCCAATATGTGCTTGTTTGTGACTGGCTTCTTTCACTTAGTATAGTAATGCTTTCAAAATTCATCCATGTTGGAGCCTGTATCAGTATTTCGTTTCTTTTTAGTGCTGGGGATCCTAAAATCTTACCACTTATTTTACTGAGGAGGAAATGGAATCTCAGGGAAGTCATGTAGCCAGCACGTGGCGGGGCCTGACTCCAGCCTGTAAACTGTAAGGCATTTTGGGCTTATCTACTGTGACCACCATTCTCTCCAACATGACACTTGGAGGCTTTAGCATGGACACTGCTGGAGCCAAGGGAGCTGGGACCTGGTGGAAGGGTGCCCCACAGAAGCTACTGGAGGCTCCATCTGTGGGCACTCAGAGTAAGGGCTGGGCACAGCTGAATCGGGCCCCAGGTGATGGGGGAAGGGGAGAAGAAGAAGAGAAGGGAGGGGAGGAGTGAGAAGCAGAAGGGAGGGAAGGAAAGGGAGTTAACTGGGTAGGGCAGAGGAGGAGTAGGCAGAAGTCTTTTCTGGACTGGGGCACAGAGCCAGCGTCACAGGGCAGGTGGTCAGAAGCATGGATGTTCAAGTGCAAAGCTTGGGCTGTACCTGTCCTCTTCCTTGGACCAGGCCCTGACCTTAATGTCAGCAGAATAAGCAGCTGCATTAGTGTTAAGAGGGAAGTGGCTGTCAGGGCTGCTGAGATTAGGAAGGCTCAGGAAGTAGGTTCTGAGCTCCATCTGTAATTGCTAGTCTAGAGGTGATGCAGTAAATTGCAGGGAGTCTGTGGGGGAAGAATAGAGTAGAAGCCCAAACCAGGAGGCAGCAGGCTCTGGAGAAACCTAGTGGGAGGGAGGGCCAGGCTCTCTTTAGCTTGGGAGCTTGAGGGCAGGGCCAGGTCTGCCTGCTTTGGCTCCATGTCCTGAGGCCAGCCCATGCTAGAAGTCCGAAGGCTGCCTGCTCTGGGTTGGGATGCAACCAGCCTAGGGATCAGAAACACCTATTCACAGGTCTCTGTGGAGGGAGGGCTCAAAGGGAAGAGAGGCAGCCACTGGCTCGTTCTGGTGGTGGGAACACCTATCTCATGCCTTAATCCATGCCACACGCCTGGTCAAGTCATTTATCTCGGAGTTGGCACTGGGAGATAGATTCAACTTCCGGGGATAAGATATTGATAAATAACACACTGTTTTGAAGTGGAGGTGGGAGGTCTCCACCCTCAGGGTCCTTTTGTGTTATCAGAGGCTGCTCTCAGCCTGGGGTAGGAGTGTGTCCTCCTGACCCCGATCAGGTTGTCTGCGGGAGCTGGAGTGGGATTTGGAGGAATATTCTTTACCTGGGGCTTTCCCCCTCAGGCCTGGGCCCTGACTGCCCCTCTTTAGGTCCCCTGGGCCCCAAGGGAAGTGGGGCCCTGGGCCTTGAATGCTCTGTGCTGGTGACTTGAGAGGGAGGCTGGCCTCTGTGGTGCTGGGGAGGGGTGGGCTGGCAGGCGTCGGAGCAGAGATAAATAGAAGCGGGAGGGCTTGTCACCAAGAAGGCAGCACCCACTCCTTCCTTGAGGTTCCCGCATCATTTTGCACCCTCTGAGGCCCAGGAGTGCTCTGCCTGCCCCAGTGGCTGCATGCTTGCCTCTCTACTGGTTTGCTCCCGAAAGTCAGGAGAGTGGGTGGGGCTGACATTTCCTAAGCTTCCACCATGTGCCAAAAGTAGGCGAAGCACTTTCACAAATGTCATCTCATTTGATCTTCCTCACAACCCCATGAAGCTGGGGTGATTATCTCTGTTTTACAGACGAGGCCACAGAGGCTCAGACGCAGTGAGACTGGTCTCTATCTCCAGCTGCACACTGCTCACAGGCTTTCCTGGCTCTCTCTCTATAGCTGTCCACAGCCTGGGCCAATTCTCTGTGCTCACCCCAAGACCTGTCTCTTCTAGGAAGCCTTCCCTGACTGCCCCAGCCCACATGGTCTTTCTCCATGAAGTCCCTAAATTCAGAGCACTTATTGGCTGTACCTTGTTTTGATTACTGAAAGCAGTAGCCTTGCAATACCTCTGGGATTTCTTGTGTGGTTAATCACTTCCTAACTACACAAACAGAGGCAAAACACTGAACTTACAGAAACTCTAGATATCATAATATCTAGAGTTAGAGAGCTGTTTTGAGGACTGAGTGAAGTGACATGTACTTGGGGGTGAAAGCCTGTTGCCCAGCCACACTGCTCACTCTGCACATTTGGCTCCCGCGACCCCATTTTTTTTTTTTTTTTTTGTGATACGGAGTCTTGCTCTGTTGTCCAGGCTGGAGTGCAGTGGCGTGGTCTCGGTTCACTGCAACCTCCACCTCTTGGGTTCAAGTGATTCTCCTGCCTCAGCCTCCTGAGTAGCTAGGACTACAGGCGTGCACCACGCCCAGCTAATTTTTGTATTTTTTTTTTTTTTAGTAGAGACGGGGTTTTGCCAGGTTGGCCAGGGTAGTCTCAAACTCCTGACCTCAGGTGATCTGCCTGCCTCGGCTTCCCAAAGTGTTTGGATTACAGGTGTGAGCCACTGCACCCATCCATGGCCCTTTTCTTGTCCTCCCCACGGGGCTTTGTCTGATGGATTTCAAGCATCAGCAAAGGAAATACTGGGTGTCACTGTCATCTGGACCAACCTGATTCTGGAGGAGCCAGAAGTCTCATGGTGATTGATCTTCGTCTGCGTGGGGTGTATGGTTGTTAATCTTTCTCTCTGGCAGTTAGGGCACACACGAATTCCTAGCATCCCCACTCCAGCGAAACACTTGTGCACAGATTACAAACACCAATATGATTTTATTCAAACACAGGCAAGAACAATGACCTTCAGAGCTGGGTAAAAATAATAAGTTAAAAGCATGGTTAGAATTTTAGACAATCAGATAAAAAGTTTGAAGGAAGTGATTTCCCCTTCCTCTCCTAATTGATTAATTCAACACAGCATAAAAATAATTTGTATCTATAAAATATCCTTGTTCCCACACAAATGAACTGGAGGTGGCCCTAGGATTTCCTTGACTATGCACAATGCACACAATCTACATGTCCCTCCTCCCCAACTTTTAAGGCAAAAATGGTCCTGCATCTTCAGGCAGAGGGTGGGCTCATGCCAGCAGTCAGCTGTGTCAAGGACACTGGGGGGCGTTTCTCCACCGAAAGATGCCTGCTTGGGTCCCACTTGGGCGCGGATTCCATTTTATTTCTAGCCTTTGCCTCACCACAGAAAAAAGGAGCTGAAATTCTGGCAAGTGGACACTGGACTGGTTTGGGGCACTCCTCCAGTCTGGGCTGACCGGGTCTCTTGAGGCATCCGTGGCCTAGGCAAGTGGTGGTTTCAGGACTGTGACAGCCCTGAAGGAGCCAGACCTGGTGCCTCCTGCAAGCTGGACAAAGCTGACGGAGGGTGGGCAGGTGTCTCCTTCCCCCCAGCCCCTCAGGCTGCGTCAGTCTTTCTGGGAGTACTGAGAAGAAAATATCCGTGCAATCCTGAGAGTTTCTTCCTCAGGCAGGTTGAGGGGGAGCGAGTTAGGTCTGGGGCGACAAGGCCTTTGGGAGAGAGCTCCCCTGGTGGCTTCGCTCTTGTCCTGGAGAGGAAGAAGTCAGCTAGGTTACCACTGAGGATATGGCACCACCAATGGATGACGCTGGTTTCTCTCATCTTTTGGTCCTTTGGTTAATATTTATGTAGAGCTGCCTGGTTTACAAAGCGCTTTACGTACCTTATCTTGCTTGACCCTTACCTCAACCCCATATGGGGGGTATATCATTCTCCCCATGTCGTGGATAAGGAAACTACATTCAGGTGGAATAAACTCAAGGTCCCACAGCTCTGAGTAGCAGAGCTGGGACGTGAACCCCAGCCCTGACTCTTTCTGTGCCTCTGGAGAAGGAGGCAGCGTCACCTCCAGGATAGGTTTGAATCCTCATCCCTTCTCCTGTTGCATGGCTTTAGACAAGTCATTTGTCCTCTGGGTTTAGTCCCATGTGTGATGCTGGGAACATATCCAACTCTCAGGGAGATGGCGGTGAATAATACACTCTCTGTTTGGCCCTTTGGAGCTCCTGGAGTTGCCAGGTGACATAAAGCACCTACCTACTGCTTGGCTACCAAACTTTGATCTCTCTGACTCTGGCTGACAGGGCATCACTAATTCCGCCTTTAAGGTACTTAAACCTGTGGGCTATGGTATCATGGTCCTCTGGACTCCTCTAACTCATTTTTCTTTCTTTTTTCTTACTCCATGTCAGGCTCCTGTGCTGAAGGAGCTCAAAGCTATACAGGAAAGCCATCCCAGACAGCTGGCTGAGAGCAAGGCCCTGGGGAAGAAGTGGGGGCCTGATAGGGGAGGGGGCAGTTCTGAAAGGAGATGGGAGCAGCCTCCACAGGCAAACCTGGCTGACTTCATGGCATGCAGCTTGCTCTTCCCTGTCATCAAGTCCCATGAGCTGAGGCTGTCATAAGCTGAAGGACTATTGAGAGCACACTGTACCACTTCCTGGGCACTGAGAAGAAGCTTGGTGGAGACCCTAGAGACTGGGACCACCTACCCCCTGCAGTTCTGCTCATGAGAAACTGAGGCCCAGCGAGAGTTGCGCCCAGCGAGAGTTGCGCCCAGCGAGAGTTGCTTCTGGCATCAGTAACATTCAGTTATTCTTTCTTTCATGTCTTCAATCTTTTTTAATACCTACTTGAGAGGGGCGCAGAAATAAACAGAACTCCGTTTTAGGCTTTCTCAGCTCAGAGTTAAGCCCTGGAGGCAGAGAGATCTGCCTAAAGAATTAGAATTGCCAGAATGAGATAAGGGGAGTGGAGTCAGGCATCCCTGATCTACTGCCTGGATGTCAGTTTCCCACCCATGAAATAGAAGTGTGGATGGGAAACCTTGAGGGTCCCTGCCAGTCTAGAATTCTAAGTGCCAAGGGAATGTCTACAATCTGGGAAGCTCTCAGTGCTATGAGCCCACAGGCAGCCTTTCCTTATAACCAAGAGCAAAGTGATACTAGGGCTGGGCTGCACAGCAGAGACTAGAAGATCTATCTCCCTGCCTTCTAGGCAGGTCTAGGCTAGAAGGGAAGAAGGAAACCCACTTTTTGCTGGTGTTTGCAGTTCTTCCTTCCAAAATACAGGAAGCACCTGCACTGCATGATGCCTCAGACCAGGGGAGGCCAGTGGCCAGCCTCTGCCTGTTGCTCTCCCACTTCCACACTGGGTGCTCCTGCAGGGCACGGCCTGGGTCTGAGGCTTGGGATCCCAGCGAGGCCAGTTCCAAGACAGGAGCCTGGGAGCTGCTAGACCAGTGTGGGTGGGACCAGGCCAGGGTAACCACAGGTTTAAATTGGGTGGGGAGGAGACTCTTTGTAGTAAGCTTCTCATTCATTCATTCTAGAACCAGTGGTTGTTGTCCTACCATATGCCAGGTCTTTAGTTAAGTTAAACTCTCTCAGGCTCTATGTAGCACTTTAAGCTTGTGTATATCTTTCTCTACTCCCAAGATCCAAGATGGCTGTTTCCTGAGCTATTTGGGATTTAGGATGACACAAGTCCCATTCCTGACCCCCAGCTGTACTGCAGGTAGATTTTCTGGGTCATCAGTTGTATCTTACCTTCCATTTCTTTCTCTGCTACTCTGAAGGGGAAGTAGGGAGATGTTTGTTTTATGAGCCAGATGGGAAAACAGGCCTTAGAGCATAGTATTCTATCTCAAATCCTAAAACCAGGCATTTGTTTCCCCATTTTCTAGAAGAGATGTCTTCTCTGTTTTAGAGAGACTTAGATGAGTCTTGTTCTCCATGGCTGGAAGGGCCAACTACCTCAGTTCATGAAATGACCATAAAAAGACCTCTGTTGGGCTGGGTAGCTCACGTCTGTAACCCCAGCACTTTGGGAGGCCAAGGCAGGGGGATCGCATGAGTCTAGGAGTTTGTGACCAGCTTGGTCAACATAGGGAAACCCTGTCTCAAAAAAAAAAAAAAAGGAAAAAAAAAATTAGCAGGGTGTAGTGGTGCACACCTGTGGTCCCAGCTACTCAGGAGGCTGTGGTGGGAGGATCGCTTGAGCCCAAGAATTCAAGGCTGCAGTAAGCCATGATCATGCTACTGCACTCCAACCTGGGTGACAGAGGAAGACCCTGTCTCAAAACAAAACACCTCTGTTGGTGACTCATCAAACTTTTCAGGAGCCTAAGATCTAATCAACTTGATCAACTCTTATGGACAACAGGCAGACGTGGTTCCTGTTGTCATAGGGCTGCTCAGCTAGAGAGAAGACAGACAATGAGCTACCCAACAATCACAGAGATGAAGCTTAGAGCTTGTGAGCACTGAGAAAATAGCAATTAGTAACAGCTGAGAAAGTCTGGGGCGGCTTCACAGGAGGTGGGCTCCAAGATGGGCAAGGTCTCAACAGAAGCTGGCTGTCAGGTGAGGTCTTTCATTAGAGGGAACAGCATGAGCACAGACCTACACCTACTGGCTGGGCCATATCTGCCCTGGAGCTGAATCGTGTGTGGCACCAACCTTCCAGCACTGATACCCTAACCCAATGACCTAGGGGGCCTTATCTGCAAGGCCCAGGCCCAGGAATCAGAACAAGGACAAGGACAGGGCTTGGCTCTGTGTACAGGGCAGGGGCGGGGTGTGGAAGGACAGAGAACTCACACTCAGCAGCATTTTGCTTTTGTTGACCTCAATAGGGTTTAGAAACCATCTTGACTAGTAGTGAAGATTCTTCCTTCATCAGGACTGCTACCCTAACACACAACCCTGGTGGGGTTGGCCAGAGGCGAAATTGGCCAGAGCAGGGATACCCTCAAATGTATCATCCATTCCTCTGAAATACTCCTACACTTCTGGCTGTAGACCTGAGGGCACAAGAAAGTTGTCAGCAGAACATGGGCTTTGTGGGAGGCATCAACCTTCCTGGGGAGGCAGGAGGAACACACATGGAAGCAGGATCGTCGTAGCTGGAGGGGCTGCAGGTGCCTTGGAGTCTAGACAGCGGGTGTCATCCATGGGGTGAAGTCCCTGGAGCGGGAACTTAAACATGAAGGTGGAATGTGAACAGACAATGAAGAGAGAGGGTATGCCACGTGGAGGTGCAGGTTTTGTGAGGAAGGAATTTTCTTTGCTAGGAAAGTGGTGGGGGTGGATAGGCTGAGCTGCAGGTATGGAGAACAGCCAAGACAAACCTATTACTAGAAGAGGGGTTGATGCTGGTTGAGGAAGTTCCAGAATGTCTGGGGGGAATTTGATCTTATTCTTCTTGGACTTCAGCGAGCTGATCTGTAAGGGCCTTCCCAGGGAACAGGGATGGGGTATTTGACGACTGTACTAGGCTGAAGGACAGAACTGGCTTTCCTGTGGACCGGGTGTCAAGCACGGCAGTAGGCCAGGGGCTTTCAGGCTGCCCCATTAAATCCTACCTCATCCATACATGGGACCTGTTCCTTTCTGAGTACCTGGACACCCAGGTCATGAACATGATAGGCCTCTCTGATAATAGATGTGTCTTAAAAGAGCCTTCAATGCTAAAGATCAGACTTTGCTGGGGAGAAAATGGAGCACGTGGAAGGTGTAAGGAGTGGTTTGGAAAGAAAATGTGGGGCTTCCTGAGGCTCTTCAAATTGAGTGGCTAACCCTGCATAAGGAGCTGGTTCTAGTCCTGGCTCTACCACTTCTTAGCCAAGCGGTGTTGGGCAACCCACCTTCTCTTTGGGCCTTGGTTTGTGCATCTGAATGGGATCAGGATGAGCAGATAATGCAAGAGGAGGCACTCTATAAACCACGGGCTTATCCCGGCCCTTGGCTCCTTCTCTGGTCTGCTCCCTGTGATGCAGACTCTTCTCCAAAAGCTCTCTCAGGAGGGCCTGGCCCTCTTCTTTGGCCTGGAACATGATCTGATCCCAGCCACTGTGTTCTAGGTTCTCTTCACTCCAGCCCCCAGATGGATTCCTCGAACAGGCCACATGCTCCCAGGGGTTGGTGGGTACAGGTGCCCCCACTTACCCCTGCTTCCAAGTATCTGAGGGACTTTCTCAGAGGACAGGCAATGGAGTGCAGTGGAAGGGACACTGGTCTGTGGCCCAACCTAACTGTCTCACTCACTCAAGACCAAGATGCTTTCTCACTCTGGGTCTCTCTGGGTCTTAGCTTCACTGTCAAGTGGATCTAAGAACTTCTGTTTGGTCTTCTTATCCAGGTCTATGCTGGGTTCAAATAAAATTCAGATATGGCCGAGGTTCTGACCAGGTATAATATCTTACAAAACACAGAGGCTAAGATGGAGCTAGAGCCAATACCAGCTGCAGACCCAAGAGCAAAATGAAGCCTTGCTGTTCTCAGACCCCATCCCTGGCAAAGGGTCAGGCCCCAAAAGTCCTGAGTAGAGCTGGGGTACAGGATCTCCTGTACTGAGGTAAGCAGTGCTAGACCAGGCAAGTTCTCCCCGCCCCACTGTCTTCCCCCCTTCTTTGGTAACAGTGAGCCTCTGGTCTGGGATGAGGGCTAAAGTTCTGTTCTTTTCCACAGTAGCCCCTTTAAGTGACATAAACATTGACTCAGGAGCTGAAAACTGAAAGTAAACAGCCGCCTGGGTCTGGCTGGCTAGGTGGACCTGCCAATGGATTGCTGCATCAGAGGCCGAGTGAGGGCTCAATATAGCTGCCTGCCTTGCTCAACTTTCACCCCTTTGGCTGGCTGCCTTTCCCTGGGGTGGCTCTCAGAGTCTGGCCTGGACTAGAACTTCCTTGATACTACAGAGAGCAGCAAACTCAGCAGCCACAAGTAGGAGCAGAGGGGAAGTGAGGACAAGGCACTTAGACTAGAGGCCCAGCCCTGAGAGGCAAATCCCAAATCTGACCTGCTCAGCCCGGCTGCCGCATGGCTCTGGTCTCATGCTCTGAGCTCACCCTCCATGCCTAAATTAGAGGTCTGGTCATGTGGTTCTTATTACCGATATGCTCCCTCCGTGCCACACCCCACCTGATGCCACCCTCTCCTTACTCCAAGAAGCCTTCCCGGACAGGCCCATTCTACAGGGCCTACGTCACTCCCTCACCCTGGGCCTTAGTCTATGCTACGAAGGGGCCTGACTAGGGCAAGACTCCTCAACCCTTTTTTTTGTTTGTTTTTTTAAACAGGGCCTGGTTCAAAAGATGATCCTCAATCTTCTGAACCCAAGCTCTGCCAGAGAGAGGGCTCCAAAGTCCAGGTTTTGAGAGGGAAGGGTTAAAAGTTATACTCTTACAAGAAGAGCTCCTGGCTCCTCCTGGACTCTGGCCTCAGAGTGGCTCAGGCAACCTGAGACTAGCACCTGCCCAGCAGACCTATGAGCCCCTTCCTAAAAAGTGTCTGCCAACTTGCAGTCTGGGCCAGGGTGGCGCCAGCCAATTTTGGCTGTTTCTCCTGACCTCTATACACCCGTGGCCAAGTTGCTTATCTTCTAAAAGCTCTGTATGGCCTTTATCAGAGATACTTTGACCTTTAGGTCTCTCTTAGGCTCTGCAGAAAGCTAGGGACTTGGTGGTTTAATGAAATGAGGCAATAGGTCAGGACCTCTTGCCCCAAGAGGGGCAGCTCAGCCGTCAGGCCTGGACCACAGGCTGAGAAGAAACCCAGGATCAGTAAGTTCCCTCAGGCCCCCTACTGATCTGATCTGGTGGCTTTGTGGAGAGCTGGGATTCTCTACCAGGACTATTTATCTTTCAGCTGCTTCTGGTTTGTGGAAAGGAAACCAAAGGATAGATTTTTTTTTTTCAGACACAGTTTCACTCTGTCGCCCAGGCTGAAGTGCAGTGGCACCATCTTGACTCACTGCAACCTCTGCCTCCCAGGTTCAAGTGATTCTCATGCCTCAGCCTCCCAAGTAGCTGGGATTAGAGGTGCCAGGATAGAAAAATTCTATCCCTTGGTTTAGACATGTTGCTGAGGACCTCAGAAAGTCATAAGCAGAGACAGGACAAAAAAATCAGGCTTGCTGGCACCTCGATCCTTAGTGATGTCTGAAGTGCTGTGGTCTGGCTGAGTACAAGTGAGAACATCGGGTGGGAGTGGGTGGAAAACTCAAGGTTTTAAGGGTACCCTCATGCCTGGCCTTGTCTCATACTTTCTGCCTCCTACACTCACTCCTTATGAATAACAGTGTCTGGCCCGATGCCTGTGGTTAATCCAGGGGCCCATTCATGATGTGGGCAGAGCGTGGGCTTAACACAGGAAGGCACAGAGCAAGACAAGGCTCACCTCATGGTAAAGAAGTGCCATGTGGACAGGGCAGGGAGGCCAAGGCTCAGAAGACAGGCTGCTTCTTGTCCTTTGCTTCTAATTCCTATCTTGTTTCAGTCCAGGCCCATCTCTTCCCATTTCTGACCATGTCTCTAGCACACAGTGCTTGTACCTTCTGCTGTCCAACTTCTGTTGATTCTAAGGTTTCTTCTTTTCAAATCCACAGCATGAAAAGCCTTTCCTTTATCTTTGTTGAATTCAACTTAAGCCACCCCACATGGCTCTGTCTTTCTTTTCCTATACTCATTCCCTTTGCTTTACTTCAGTGCTAATATAGGCAAATGTCATTTGAGGAAATGAGTGGTTTGGAGTCCAGTGCGTTTCCAAGAACTGCGAGCTCCCTAAAGGCAGGGTCCACAGCATGAGGGTCCTAGCTCTTTCAGCATGACAGGCAGTTGGCAGGAGTTGGAGGAACTTAGATATAAGGCTGGCTCCCCAGGGAACTGTGAGTTCCCCGAGGGAAGCTCCTGTCTTCTGCACCTAGCTCAGGACTGTGGCTTTGCACATTTGTTAAAAGATGCAAATTTCAAGTCTGAGGTCAAAACTATCTTCCTACTTTCTGGCCTGCCTATCCTCAGGCCCAGCTCTAGTTCTCCTATTCAATGACGGGAAGTTATTGGAAGGTTCTGAGCAGAGAAGTCACATGATTGAGTTGATGACTGATTTAACGTCTTAAAAAGTTAACAGGATGCTGTATGGGGAATGGGTTGTGAGGAGCAAGGGAAGCAGCAGAAAGGCAAGTTAGGAGGTTACTGCAATAATCTAGGCCAGAAATAATGATGGTTGAGACCAGGGTGGTGAGAAGCACATTTCTGTATATTTTAAAGATAGAGCTGCCAGAATTTCCTGTTTAATTGAAAACTGGCATCAGGGAGGATTCCAAGAGTTTTGGTCTGAACAACTCAACTAGAGTCCCAGCTACTCAGGAGGCTGAGGCAGGAGATCACTTGAGCCCAGGAGTTTGCAGTGAGCCGAGATCATGCCACTGCACTCCAGTCTGGGCAACAGAGGGAGACCCTGTCTCAAAAAACAAACAAACAAACAAACAAACAAAAAACACCACCCCCCTCCAGAGTTCAGCTGTACCCTTTAATCGAAATTGAGAAGACTGAAGGGGAAATGGATTTGGGAATAAAATCTGGAGCTCAATTTTGGACATGTTAAATTTGAGACATCTATTAGATATTCAAGTGAAGATGCTGGGTAGGCAGTTGTAGAGTTACAGTTGTAGAGTTAGGTCTGGGCCAAGTTAACCATCGGGAGTCTTCAGCATATAGAAGAAGAAGTAGGGGAAATGAGGGAGACCCAGCAAACAAGGCAGAGCGGGAGCAGCCAGTGAGGGAGGAGAACCAAGAAGAAGTGATGCCTTAGAAATAAGTGAAGAAAGTGTTCAAAGGAGAGAGATCAACTGTGTCACATGCAATCAGGCACTGAGATTTGATAATTGACTTAGGAATATGGAAGTTTTTTGGGGTTTTGACAGGCTTAAAGAGTGTTCCCCCTGCCAGTGGTAAAGTGAGGTAAGATCTGATTAGAGTGTGATATTACACTGGCTACAGTGTGGAGAATAAATGGTGGTGGAAAAGTGCAAGTATAAGTGAGACTGGTTAGAAATAGTCGGGGGGGCTGGGCGCAGTGGCTTACGCTTGTAATCACAGCATTTTGGGAAGCTGAGGCGGGCAGATCACTTGAGGTCAGGAGTTCGAGACCAGCCTGGCCAACATGGTGAAACCCCATCTCTACTAAAAATACAAAAATTAGCTGGGCGTGATGGCACGCGCCTATAATCCCAGCTACTGGGGAGGCTGAGGCAGGAGAATTGCTTGCACTCGGGAGGCAGAGGTTGCAGTGAGCTGAGATCGCACCACCACACTCCGACCTGGGCAAGAGTGAGATTCCGTCTCGGGGAAAAAAAAAAGAAATAGTGGGGAGATGATTGGGCTAGACAGGGCAGGGTGAGAAGTAAGTGATTCAAAAGATGCTTAGGTGGCAGAATTAACAGGCCTTGGTGATGTGGATCTTGGCTGTGGGTCATGGGGGATAAAGGAGCAGGGGTGAGAGATACTTGTGCTTCTGGCAGGAGTAACTACATGGATGGTGGCTGAATTTCCTGAGATATGGATGCAGGTGGCAGAGGAAGTATGCAAAGGAAGATGACAAGCTCAAGTTTTGGACAGAGTGAATTGTTTGTGACACATCGGACAAGACGTCTAGGATGCAGGTGGGTCCGTACGTGTCTGCGGCATGAGAGAGAAGACTAGACTGAAGATAAGGATTTGAGAGTCATTCAAAGTCATATTTGAAGTCATCAGAGTGATTGAGATATTCCCAAGAGTGAAAATCTACAGAGCAGAAGACACAGTCTGAGGAAGACAACATGTAAAGCAAATTACTGCCGTTCTCATCGTCAACCTCTCTCCTCCCCTGTATGGAAGTTGATAAAACTAGTTTGTCCATCAGCAGCTGAGCAAGCAGAATCACAAAAAACTTTTAACAAAATCAGGAAGCTGTCCCAGTAAAGAGTTACTTCATCACAAGAGGGAAGAGAAAGCAGGGGCAGCGGAACTTGATTGATTTATAATGAATTTGGAACTGCAAATGGATCGCTGTGCTGCAGTCCTGCTAAACCAGCCATCGTTCTCACCCCTTTTCTTTTTGCAGAGGCGACAGCCAGAAGTTGAAGTAGCATGGGGTGGGAATTATGGGCTGGCCCCTATACTCTACCTGTGTGGCACTCGTTATTCTACAGTACAACCACCCTGTGAGGCCTGATAACCCCATTTGACAGATGAGAAAGCAGACTCAGAAAAGTCCAAAGATCTGACGAATGTCATACAGGCTCCTGTATCCACTCTACTGTGGGAGGAGGGAGGGGAAATCTGTTTCACAGATGCTTCCAGTGGAGACTGGGAGGTTCCTTGGCTCAGGTATATCATTTCAGTGTGGAGTGAAAGATCAGGTCTTGTCTTCGATCATGTGGGGAAACCAGGGCAATCAATCCAGCAATTACGAGCCCTCTCCTGTTTCAGGGATGGGCTGTTAGCCCTGACCCGGAAGCAGATCAGCTTTAGTATAGCAGTCCTAGGACAGTGGTTGAGAAGAGCCCTGCAGCCTCTCAAAGTGCTCCTCTTCAGTTGTGAGGGCCAAGGCTGGCCTTAGGAGGAGGCAGAAGAGGTGGAATTCTCAAATGTGGATACAGGACAGGGCTCCTGCCCTTGCCTCACTCCCTCTCACTTAGAGCTGCTGACTGTGCCTGAAGCATCACTGAGAAAACAGGAACTTCCATCAACTTGAAACCCTACCACCAATCTCTAATCCTGTCTGCTTTAGCACCCATCTTCTCTGCCTTCCTTCATGATATTGGGTGAGTTTTCTTTTTCCTCTCAAAAGGCCAATACCTCCATGTGTGCTCTAAATCCCACACCCTTTCTTTTCCCCCTCTCCTTTTTCTCTCCCACTCCTGTGTCTTCCCCTTCTCCCTTTCTCTATGGGATCATTGCATTAGCACATAGAAAGCTGCAGCCTTCCCATATTAAAAAACAAAAACAACCTCCCTTGGTCTCGCATGCCACTCCAGCCACTGTCCTATTTCTCTGCTCCATATTCACAGCCTAATTTGTGGAAGGAGTTGGTGTCTCCATCTTGTTATCATTCAATCACTGTATAATTTTAATGACATATGATTATGTGATTTCATACCAATGAATACCAATGAATCTATGTAACAACAGTAAATCATGAAGCACAAGAAAATGAACATCTGTAAACCCACAACCCAATCTAAGAATCGAAACATCTCTAATACTGTTGAACAGATCTTTATGTTCCTCCTCCCCTATCCCATTCCCCTGCTTCTATCCCATTCCCTACCTCCACAACTATGAACACTGTAATCAAACTGTTGAAAACTAGAGATAAAGAGAAAATCAAACAAGAAGTGAATAAAGGTCATGTTACATCCAGTGCAAGAACAATCAGAACAATGCTTCTTATAAGAAACAATGGAGGACAGAAGACAGTGGAAAGGTATCTCTAAAATGCTAAAAGAAACAACAAAAATTCAAGTTAGAATTCTATATCCAGTAGAAAAAAAATCTTTCAAAAATAAAGATATTTTCAGACAATTGAAGCTGGATAACCAGTTACCAGTAGGTCCACACTATGTGAAATTCCAAAGAAGTTTTTCAGGCTGAAGGGAAATGGTCCCAGCCAGAAATCAGGATGTGAAGAAGAAATGCAGAACAACAGCAATAGTAAGTATGTGGGTAAACAGAAAAGACTATTTTTGTCTCAAGTTCTTCAAAGTGAGGCCTTTTTAATAAAGGCCACAAGATGATGGTGCTCCTGCTCAAATAATATTTCAAAATTAAATCTAAAATAAGTATAAGAAAATCAGTTGATGTTGTGATTTATCCCATGGTAATGATTTCAATCTTTTTAAAAAATGTAATTCTTAAAAATGTTTTCCTCTTAAATTTTGGTATCTCTACTTGCTAGTGTCCTAAATACATACATGATCTTATTTCTTAGGCCATCCAGTGCTGGCTGGCAGCCAGCCAGGAGCGTAAGATTCTGAGAAAATGTGCTGCAATAACCCATCAAGTAGTGAGAGAGGCCCATCACTAGCCAGGATGACTAACCTCCCTGGGTTTCCTGGATCCTGGGTTCCAGTGCTAAAACTGCATCAGTTCTGGGCTAACCATGATGACTGGTCATCCGAACCAGGACCCAGAATAAGGTTCTAAGGACATAAGTGGCTCTGAGAGCAGCAAACAATGGAATGTTGTTAAGGGCAACAAAGAAAAAAGGCTGAAAAGTATTATCTTCTCAAAAGTAGACTTGCTCTTTAATTGAAGTAGAAATTCTTATTTCTCCCTCTCCCATACTTTGTATCTAGTATTTAATAGACCAAAGACATACATCAGGATACTTCTGGACTGGCCCCATTTTTCATTAATGTGGCCTCTGGGAAAGCATATAAAATGTATACATGTTAAAATCCAACTGGCTAGAAAAATGTACCATAAGTCAAATGTCATGATTTTCAGGTGGTGTAACAGAAGAGCATAGAGTTGTGAGTGCGAAGTTTAGATTCAGGCTGGGCGTGGTGGCTCACGCCTGTAATCCCAGCACTTTGGGAGGCTGAGGCAGGCGGATCACAAGGTCAAGAGATTGAGACCATCCTGGCCAACATGGTGAAACCCTGTCTGTCTACTAAAAATACAAAAATGCTCCTGGGAGTAAAAATATTTAGTATTTTTACTAAAAATACTAAAAATGCCCCTAGGAGTTGGCATATTTCAAAGGCAAAAACACAAAAGCAGGAACAGCAATTCTGCTTGGAAGGTGAGGGATGGCCATTCAAAGCGGCCCAGAGACCTTTCCTGTGGGGCATGACTCGCTGACAGTTCATCCAAGACTCAGAGAGGCCTGAAGGCTTGTCTAATGTCACACAGGGACTTGTATCCACTATACTGTGGGAGTAGGGAGGATACGAGGGCTGGAGGGAAAGGGAGCTAAGAGGGCCTGCTTTTTTCCTCTAGGGTAATTCTCACCATCATCCTATTAGGTATGAATTATTAGCCTGACATTACTTTTAAGGAAAGTGTGTCTCGGGAAGGTTGAGTCACTTGCCTAAGATCACTTACTAGCAGATTCAGTATTTCACTCCATGGATGTCTTGCTCCAAAGCCTGGACACAGCCCTATGACCCCAGCATAAATGTGATGGGTGTGTGTGGGAAATGCAAGGGAAAGCACAGAGAGGAAGGAGATGAGCTGGTGACCACAAACCGGAGTAGTAAGAAAGGCCACAAAACTGCAGATCTTCCTGGACAGGACTGACACTTCTCCTCCCCTACGAGAGGATTTACAAACCTGATAAAAACTGAGATGTAGCCTGGGCAACACAGTGAGACCCCGTCTCTAAGAAGAAAAAAATTAGCTGGTTGTGGTGGTGCACACCTGTGGTCCTAGCTACTCGAGAGGCTGAGGCAGAGGATCACTTGAACCCAGGAGTTTGCGGGTGCAGGGAGCTGTGATCACGCCACTGCACTCCAGTCTGGGCAACAGTGTGAGACCCTGTCTCAAGGAAAAAAAAAAACAACCAACAGAGATATGTGGGAACTTAAGATTAATTCCTGTGCCAAATAAAATGAGACATCTTGAAATGGTGCTGAGGAGGTTGGAAGAGGATGGGGAAAGGAAACTAGTAAGAGGATCAGGCATCTGATGCTTCTCTTTAGGATTGTATCCCAGGACTATAACTTTAGGACTACAACTCTCAGGATACTTCTGTACTGACCCCATTTTTCATTAATGTGGCCTCTGGGAAAGCATATAAAATGTATACATGTTAACTGCTAAGTAAAATCTAACTGGCTAGGAAAATGTACCATAAGTCAAATGTCATGATTTTCAGGTGGTGTAATAGAAGAACAGAGAGTTGTGAGTCAGAAGTTTAGATTCAGGCCGGGCGCAGTGGCTCACGCCTGTAATCCCAGCACTTTGGGAGGCTGAGGCAGGCAGATCATGAGGTCAAGAGATTGAGACCATCCTGGCCAACATGGTGAAACCCTGTCTCTACTAAAAATACAAAAAGTAGCTGGGCATGGTAGTGGTGCACGCCTATAGTCCCAGCTACTTGGGAGGCTGAGGCAGGAGAATTGCTTGAACCCGGGAGGCAGAGGTTGCAGTGAGCCGAGATCACACCACTACATTCCAGCTGGCGACAGAATAAGCCTCAAAAAAAAAAAAAAAAAAAAATTTAGATTCACTTACTGGTTGGGTGACCCTGGGTAAGTGACTCAGCCTTTAGGCATCTCAGTTTCTTTATATATACACAGAAATAATCATAGCTTGTAGGTCAGTATGTGAAGCTCTGAGCCTCAGTTTCCTCATTTATTTTTTATATAGTCTCGCTGTGTCATCCAGGCTGGAGTGCAGTGGCGCCATCTTAGCTTACTGCAACCTCCACCTCCTGGGCTCAAGCGATTTTTGTGACTCAGCCTCCCAAGTAGCAGGGACTATAGGCACGTGCCACCACGCCTGCCTAATTTTTGTAATTTTTAGTAGAGATGGGGTTTTGCCATGTTGGCCAGGCTGGTCTTGAACTTCCTAGCTCAAGTGATCCTGCCACCTTGTCCTCCCAAAGTGCTGGGATTACAGGTATGAGCCACCATGCCTGGCCTAGTTTCCTCATTTTAAATAGGCATAATGATAGTATATTCCTCATCAGATTGCTAAATTTAATTAGTTAATACAAAGTACTTGGAACAGTGCCTGGTACATGCTAAGCACCACCATAACTACCATCTTTAACACAGCCTCCTCAGAGAGACCCTGTTCTTTATCACAGCACCTGGTACTCATCTCATCAGTCTATAAATATTTTATTTTTTGCTCATTATTTGTGCTCCATGAAGATAGGGAATTTGTCTGTCTTATTTACTACTATATGCTCAGTATCCAGCATGACACCTGATACAGGGTAGGTACTCAAAAGCAGTTATTATTAAGCAGTTATTATTATTGTTTATTTTCTTGGTACTTGCAAGAAAGTTCAGGTGCTCTGCCAAGGCAGAAAAGAGGAGATGTGGGATTTGTACCAGAGTTCCAACCACCTACTTCAGCTGAATGAATAGTTATGAGGTGTTTTGTAAATGGCAAATAGTTGTACGACTGATATTATTCTCCTCATCCAGATCTTACTGTTGTACTCCCGTAAGGTTGCATCTCCGCTCCTATCTACCTGCTTGGTGGGGACTCCCACAGCACTCAATACACATTTCTTAGCTGCCTCTTGCTTTCATGCTTCTGCACAGCTTTTTTCTTCCCCATGTCAGTCTTGGCTGACAATGCCCTGCTCTTGCATATTTGCTCTTCCTCACTTTTCCTGAGCTCCCTGCCCACTGCTGGGCCCACAGAATATGCTCAGTACAAACTTGAGGAGTGACCCCTGCTGCAGCCTTTCCAGGAAGATGACCTGGGGCAGCTCTGCATTCTGTGCACACTTCTGTGGAAGAGATGATGACTCTATAGAAGAAAGGTCAGTTGGCCATTCTCTTACCTGATCTGTTGTGGCTGCTGGTGGCAAAGTTGCTGAGAGTGAAAGCATCCGCAGGGAAGCCTCCAACTGCTGGGGAGGCAAAAAGAAGTTGGGCACCACAATGGGCCCTGGGCTACAATGGTAGTTAAGGGACAAAAATACCTAGAAGTCCACCCCTCTTGCAGTGGAGGCCAGCATCTCCACTGACCATTCACTCTGCCCCCACTCATGTTTTTCCCTCAACTATTCTTGTCCATAAATTCTTTGCTCAGCTGGCTCCCTCTGACTGGAAGGCTTGCCCACTCCTAACACATATAAGTTTTTTATGGATCAGTTCAAATCCGGCCTCCTCTAGGAAGCTTTCTCTTAATCTTAGCCCCACAGTGATCCCTCCTTCCTCACATCCTAGAGCAGTCTGCAACACAGGAGAATGCTTAATTATTTAGTCTGATATGATTATTTTCCTCAATCTTCCCTAAATTTCTCAATGGCACAGACAGTTTCCTTCTGTTACCTCTACTTCCTGAAAGCCCCTCAGGAGGCTGGCAGGTAGCAGGCGTTGAATGATTCTTGCCTAAGGGCCTGCTAGTTAGAAAAAGACCTATTAGAAGTCAGTCAGGGGATGTGGGGATTGGGATGTGGCTCCAGGGGGCAGTGCCTTAGGCTGCATTTAGGTGCCCTGCACTGAAGGAGGGCCTGCTTGCCTATTTTCTCTGCTCACATTCAGAAATGAGAGCTCTGCATCAGGGGCTGTCCATGACGGGACATGTCCTCATGTCAGGGACCAGTACAGCTGGTCCAATCTGGATGTGAGCCCTAGAAGGCAGGTACTGTTATCTTGCACTTCTCCTCCGTATCTTCTTGAGGTGCTCAGTGCTGTGTTGAGAATATGGTGTTCTACAGGTATTTTTTGAATCAAATCACTGATTCAGTTTAGTTGAACTCTGAAGGGGGTAAAGAGGGGACTATTTTGATGTTCCAATTTTTTGTTTCTGTTTAATAAGTATGGTTCTCACTCCAATTTGCTTACCACATTTCCTATTTTATCGTCGTTCTTCTACATTAGACTCTAAACTTCAAGAAGGCAGAGATGATCTGTCTTTCATAACCATATTCCTGTCACCTAGCATAGTACCTGGGAGACAGTAAGTACTCAATAAATATCTTGTGAATGAATGAAATGCATTGATTTCTTGCTTTGGTTCAAGTCCCTGATTTTTCTGTAGAGAGGTGGGGGAGGAATGGAGATCCCGAAGGGAAAGACCCTTTGACTCCAGGCCTTCTGCAGAGGCCCAGGTGAGGTAGGATCTATTTGCTGTTGCTGAAACTGCTGGGGACTGCCAGACAGCCAGCTGATGCTGTGGGGAAGAAAGAACTTTGCTGTGAGGTGTCAGGGCTGGCTCTGAAGCATGGAAGTCTCTTTCCCAGCCCATTGCCTCATGTGTGCTTTAGGGTCCTGCTCCAACAGGCACTTTCTCCCACCAACTTTTATTTTGTTATGTTTTTTGAAACAGGGTCTCACTCCCATTGTTCAGGCTGGAGTGCAGTGGCGTGATCATGGCACACTGCAGCCTTGACCTTCTGGGCTCAGGTAATTCTTCCACTTCAGCCTGCAGAGTAGCTGGGATTACAGGCACATGCCACCATGCCTGGCTAATTTTTGTATTTTTAGTAGAGATGGAATTTTGCCATGTTACCCAGGCTGGTCTTGAACTCCTGACCTCAAGTGATCCTCCCACCTTGGCCTCCCAAAATGCTGGGATTACAGGTGTGAACCACTATGTCTGGCCTCATGAACTTTAAATTCCTGTTCCTCAGTTCATAAAAATGTTCAAGTTTCCCATTTAGGGAAACAAACAAACAACCCCCTGACCTTGCATTGTCTTCTAGTTACCACCCAGCTCTCTGTCACTTACTAGATGGATAACTTCAGGAAAGTTCACTTTTTGTGCCGCAATTTCTCCATTTTTAAATGTATTAGTACTTATTGTTTTAAGGATTAAATGAATTTATATATGTAAAGTGCCTAGAATGGTGCCTCGATAAATGTCAGCTATTCTTATCTCCTCAGTTTATGTGAAAAAGTTGTCTGTTCTCACTGTCCTCACCATTAGCTGCTTTGACTAATGAAGTCTGGCTTCCATTCCCACCACTGTAAGGTCCTCCTTAACACTAAAACCAGTGATACATGTCAGCCACATTCTCCCGGACCTGTGTGCAGCGTCAGTGCTGACCACGACGTCCTGAAACTCTGCAGCATCTGCTCCTACGGCACCTCTCTCTCCGCTGCTTCTCCCACCTCCTGACCAGCTCTCCTCATCTCCTTTGTGGGCATGCCCTGTCCTGCTTCTCTTTGCACACTGGAGATGCTCAGAGTCTGCCTCTGTGTGTTTGGTTCCCCCTTCCCAGGCTCTTCTTGCTGCCCTCATCGACTCCCAGAGATGCCTACCTTTATGGCTGAGCTCAGCCCTCAACTTCACTCCTCCTGCATCTCCTCCTGGATGTCCTACAGGCACATGCCCCAAACGGCAATCTGCATCGTCTCCCAAACCTGTCTATGTGCTGTTTCCTATCCAGTAAATGATATCACCTGCCGGGTAACTTGTGACAGAAACCTCTAATTACACTTTCTATTTCCTTTGTCTCATCCCCTGCCCCTCTATCTAATCCTCTCAGATCTGTTCCCCTCGTCTTCATCATAAAGCAGTCTATACTTCAGGTCAGACTTTCTTCATCTCTTGTTATTATTGCAAGTGTCCTAACTAGCCTCCTTGTTTCTAGTCTTCCCTTACTTAACCTGCTCTCTACAAGGCACTGGGTGACTTCTTTTCTCATATGTACATCTGACCATACCACACTCTTGCTTAACAGTGAACACTATTCATGTACCAGGTATTGTGCTAGGCAGTTTACATGATTATTTTCATTTTCATTTTCACAACAACCCAGTAAGTACTATTATCACCTCCATTTTACAGATGAGGAAAGTGAAGTTTCTTTGCTTTAGAATAGAGTCCAAGTACCTCAGCCAGGTATAGAAGTCCTTTAAGATCCAGGCCTTGCCTCACCTCGCACCATCCCCTCATCCCTGGACTCTAGCCACAGTGAACTACTGCCCACAGGCAGCCTCCTTCACCCAGCGAGGCCTCTGCACACACAGTTTGTCCTGACTAGAACTTTTCCTTGTCTCTATTGCACAATGCCTATTCATCTTTAAGGCCTGGCTCTCCTGTCTCTCTTACTGGGATGGCTCCAAGTAGAGTTAGGGCAGCTCCCTCCTCATGGTCCCTCGCGTTCTGTCCACATCTCATCACAGTACTTGGCACAATAAACTGTCAGTATCTATCTACTTGACTGTCTCCTATCTCATAATGGGAACTTCTCGAGGTAAGGTCTCATTCAAATCTGTCCTTGGCACCCAGCACAGGGCCTGGCACGATTTATTTTTGAAAGAATAGTCAGGAAGGCCTAAGTTAAAGCAGCACTTAGGGTCTGGGCACATGTGGCATCTCCTCCATCGGCCATATTCTGAGCACAATTAATACTGACTGCAAAGGCAGCAACATTAGGGGCCAGGATCCAGGATGGGCAAGGCCAGGGAGAACTGCACACAAGGAGGTCTATTTTCAAAGCTCAGCCTCCAGCCATTGCATGCTTTAATCCTTTCCTGAGCCCACTCTCCCACCCCTAGGTTTTTCTCTGATCTGCATCAAGAATCATACTGTGTGGTGTGTACAAATGTTTCCACTCATTTGGTTTTCTCAACAATGTTGTGAAACTGTGATAGTTCAATCCAATCTACATTTACCAATCCCTTCTCTGTGTAGTGCTAGGTCCTGAGGATGCAGAAAAAGACAAGGTCCCTGACCTGGGGAGCTTATAATTTGGTGGGTAAGGGATTTCCGCCTCCATTTTACAGGTGAAGAAACGTGCACATAAAGATTAAACTATATGTCTATAATCACAAAAATAATTTTGTGGGTCTAGAAGGGTCAAAGTCAGGCTCCCTGACTTCTAGTAGAGGAAGATCTCTAGTCTAGTAAAGCAGCCTGCTTCACCTGCCAGCCGTACAATATTCCCTGCTTGTTGGGATAGCAGGTGAGCTGATCTGATCAGCTGGTTAGGCTACAGGTGTGAAGGCTGTAGATGGTCCTAAGTGGTTTCCTTTCCCCATAACATGCCAGTCTGTGTTTAAAAGGAAGGAGTGGGGAATGTCAGGTGCCCCCTGTTCCCATCAACAGTACCTTACTGGGGACTTGGGAAAGTCCATCTCCATGGTGCCTGTTTAGCTCCATCACTTCCTTTTTTAAAAAAATTTAATCTGGCCAGGCGTGGTGGCTCAAATGCTCTAACTGCAGCATTTTGGGAGGGTGAGGCAGGAGGATTGCTTGAGGCCAGGAGTTTGAGACCAGCCTGGGTGACACAGCAAGACCCCAACTCTTAAAAAAAATTAGCTGGGTGTGATGCTGCATACCTGTAGTTCTAGCTACTTGCAAGGCTGAGGTGGGAGGATCACCTGAGTATAAGAATCTGAGGCTGCAGTGAGGTATGGTAATAACCTTGTACTCCAGCTTGGGTGACAGAATAACCTGTCTCTTAAAAAAAAAAAAAGGCAAGTCACAATAACTGAGCATCAGTTTCCTTATATATGCAAAATAGGGATGATACCTACCTAAAAGACTTGTGATGACTGAATGAAAAATGTACATAAAGTGCTCAATGGCAGTGATTTTCTTTCCTCTTTCTCTAGACCCTCTGCTTCTCTTTCAACTGATAAATAGTCTCATTCCTTAGATCCCAAGCCTTGCCTTCAGGTGGTAAAATACCCAACAGATGAATTGGATAAATCAGGGTAGGCTAGGCTAATGTGCTACGAATGCCTAAACCCAGTTCAAGGCATTATGTTTCTGAGGGCTGGTGTTAATGGTAAAACTGTAGCACCTGTCATGCAGGTGGGGTCTTCTGAAGGAATGGTCTTTCCATGCCCCCTAGTGCATTCCATGAGGGTGGCCACTTGCTCACACTCACACTAGGCTAGTCTAAGTACCTGCATCCAAACCACTTGTGGGAAATGCCAAAGGATACAGCAGGAGGCTCTGCTTTGTGGACGTCTCTGATCCAGTTGTCACCTGCCTCTGCCTGATGTCAGAGGAGTCGATGGGTGGTCCCTTATGGTTTTCCCTTCTGCTCTGGGAGGCTAGATTTAGCGGCAACTTCTTGAAGCTATCAGCAGAGTCACCGAGCTCACTGGTGGCAGCTTCATTCTCAGCTGGGGCCTCTGACTTGGGCTCCTTGTTCTGATCTGTCTGTGGTGAGCTCCATCCAACAAACGTGCTGCTCTGTTGAGCTCCTGAGAGTGTTGGGCATGGGATGGGCTGAGGGTTGGCTGAGGCAGACTCGCCACCAACCCTGGCCTTAGAGGCCTCACACTCACAAGCAACAAGACTTTGGCTAGGAGAACCCTGCCTAGGCAGGTGGGGGTTGACAGCCCTTTCTGGGCTGGAGAGAAAGCTACTTTTGACCATAAGCTCCTCTCTGCAGAAAGGCCCTGGAGAAGGACAAGAGGGGCCTTCCCTCTGCACCTCGTCAGGCTGAGGGCTGATGACCTCACTTGTGTCTGATATGACACTAGACCAAGGGCTAGTTTTGTCTGTCACCGTGGTGATCTCATTTAAGGTCCTGGGCTCAATGATGTCTTCTTCATAGTCCTCATCACTGTAGGCTGGGCCTGCCTCAGTGTCTTCACTGCTCTGCATCCTTGTAATGGGTACTGCATGCCTCAGGGACTCATGGAGCATTCTTCCTCCATTTGAAGTCTCTTCGAGAGGAGGGGGTGATGGGGAATCTGTGCCTTTATCTGGAGCTCTTACCAATGGCTCATCTGGCATTGTGCATCGTTCTTGCAGTGCTTCTGTGTCCTGAGCATCTGGGAGGGTGGTGGCCTTGTTGCTTCTACTCCTGGCTCGGTGAGAACTCAAAGCTGCTTGCGAATCCCTGGTGATAGTCTGCAGATCTGAACAGCAACACATATCACTCTTATTACAAGGTAGGGCCACAGACCCCTCAAATTTCCCACACTAGCCTTTAGCTTCAGAAGCACTATGGCAATCAGACTCTGAACAAACCATAAAGAAAATTAGTCCACCCAAGATTCAGTGAGACTATATTCAAGGCGGTACAATTTTTAGTACTTTATTCTAATATCAGAGGACCAGAATCTAATCTATAGTTGTGGATACATCTGTGGAAATGCTTTCAGAGACTATCTGCTCATGCTCAGGAATCGTTGGGAGCTGGGAGTCCTGGTGGGCATGTTCATGCTTCCAGTTACTTCAGTAACTACCTATATTAAAAATCAAAATGAGAATCCACTTATTTACCTATTTGATGACAGTTATTAAAACTACCTATTTTACTTCGAAAATAAAAGCAAGGAAATATCTATCACCCATATGATAAGGCAGGGAAGATTTACACAGAAAATAGAAGCAGCAAGGTATGTTGGAAAGAGCATAGGCTTTGGAGCCGGTCAATCTTGGGTTCGAATCTCTGTTGTCACTTGTTAACTTTGTGATCATAAGCAAACCATCCTCTCTGAGCCTATTGATCTGTACAGTGTAATCAACACCACCCACTTCATAAGGTTACAGTAGAGAATACACGAAAGAAATGGGCATACACTGTGTGGTGAATATATAACCACTTAATAAACAGAAGCTACTAGTCATCTCAAATTATTTTTGGGATGGAATGGGAGTGAATCAATTAATAAATAGACCCAGTAAATGATACATGTTTGCAAGATTATTTGAGAGGAGAAAATTAGGAACTGAAGGCAAATTTGATTCCTGGGGAATAGGGGTCACATCTCCCTCACAGCACCTAACAGAGGGCTCACTCTACAGGAGGTGCTGGCTGTTTAATATTATACACTGATGATTTTCAGGCCTCAAAGGAATGGGTAGATAGACGAAAATGAAACATTACTACCTGTAAATAGGAATAGGCATGGGGAAGCATGTTTAGTTAATCCTAATCCTTTGGCCTGAACATGCTTTCTGTCTCAGAGCAGTCTTCTTGCTTTTTATAAACTTGCCCAGCCTTCAAGGCCATGTTCTATTGGATCTCCTCCAGGAGGCCTTCCCAGATTCACGAGTTAAATAAGATTGCTACATGGCTTTGTTCTATAAGGAAGCACTTAAGAATATGACACTGTGTAATTGTATGTTTACCCCATCAGACTGTGAGCTTCTCAGGGCATGAACCATATGTCTGAATCATGTTGTATCTCTAGGGCCTAGCCTAGCATATAGCTCTGGCTTAAAAAAAACCCCACTCAGTAACTCTCTCAAGTTTCACTCATATCCATTTGTCTGATGGCTTTGTAAAAACAGCATACTGAGGCATAATGGAGCATAATGGAGGCAGGGGCAGGCTTTTGCTGTTTTTTTTTTTTGAATGGTTTCCCTGATCTAATCATCTTTCTCTTTTTAAATTCATTCTCCTTGTGAAAACCAGTTCTCATTCAGTTGTCTGCTTGCTGAGAACTTTCCATTTCTTCCAGGATAAACATTAGGCCCCACAGCTTCAATTCTTTTTTTTTTGTTTGTTTTGAGTCAGAGTCTTACTCTGTTGTCCAGGCCGGGGTGCAGTGGAACAATCTCGGCTCACTGCAACCTCTGCCCCTGCATTCAAGCGATTCTCGTGTCTCAGACTCCCAAGTAGCTGGGATTATAGGTGCGCACCACCTCGTCCAGCTAAATTTTGTGTTTTTAGTAGAGATGGGGTTTTGCCATGTTGGCCAGGCTGGTTTTGAACTCCTAACCTTAAGTGATCCACTCACCCTGGCCTCCCAAAGTGCTGGGATTACAGGTGTGAGCCACCGTGCCTGGCCACAATTCCCTTCTCTCTCCTCTTTTAATATGCCCCTTTAGAAAGATTCCCCTATTTGTTTCCACCTCTACTCCAAACAAGCCTTCATCTGTTTTGCTGTCATACTTTCTTTGTGAGAGGATTTTTCTTTGGTTGACTATAGAATATAAGCTTGATGAAGGGAGATAATGCCTGTCATATCCACCACTGTATCTTCCTGGGACAAATAACAGAATAGTGCCTGGCACAGATGGTGCTCAATAAACACTTGACTGAAAATATCCAAGCAAGTGGAAGTCAAACACAGAGCATTTATCTGAGGCCATGGATACCAACAGGTTAGGTATCTGGAAGAAGAAGACAGAAAGAAGGTTTGTACTTAGTGTTAATCAAGGTGTTTTTCTCTCCTGTTAGACAAAGAAAATTGAACTTCTTCATCCCTGTGTAGAATCTACACATTTCGCTCAAGCAAAAACAAGTGAGGGCTGAAGATGCTGATCTAGTTGATTTCCCAGTGTTCCCTGAAGCTTGCTTGATAAAGATTTCTAGGTCATGACCCTGGATCCTGATTCAGAAGGATGGAGTAGGACCCAGGAATCTCTATTTCACAGTAAGTGCCCCGGGTGATTCTTATGCTCAGGCAGGTTTGCCAATATTTGCTCTAGAGCAGTCTCAGTCTTGTCTACACACTAGAATTACCTGGGGAGTTAGAAACAATACTGATGCCTGGGTTCCACCTCAGAGATTCTGTTGACCTACAGTACAGCCTGGGCATGGGGTTTTTTAAAAGTCCCTCAATAATTCCAATATGCAGCTAAAGTGAGAACCACTGCTCCAAAGGGGTTTTTCAAAGGGTGGACTATGAATCGCTAACATCCAGAATCATCTAGGGTGCTTGTTAAAAGTGCAGACTTCTGGGCTTTCATAATTAGAATTTTAAATATGTTTATTGTTCATTATTTTCTCAGAGAGTGGCACAAGTTCAAGAATTGCTATTGAGGAACCACTCATCTAATCTACCCCACTCTTTTCTTGGCTGGGGAAACTGAAGTCTAAGAAGGGAAAGGACACGTTCAGAGTCAGACTCTAAGTCTGTACCAGAAGCCCATCAAGGACCTGGGTCAGTCCAGTGCTCTTTCCATTGCCCCATGTTGCTGTGCCATACTATTATGTCCCTCCTTTTCAAACGCAAGATGGTTAAAAAAAAAAAAAAAGGAAGAGGGTGAAAACAATTGGTCTCTATTTGTCATAGGGGCTTGTCCGAAGGAACACATTCAAATGCTTTTTGAATTAGCACCTAGTGACCATAACATCTCAACAAGAAAGGATCTGAGTCATACCTGTGATTAAGGAGCTGACTTGCAACACCAGGTTACTGGATTTCTCCAGGATACACTGGCTCCCAGGGTCTAGGCTGCTGGCACCTGGCCCAAGATGGTCCCTACAGCTCTCCTGGTGCTGTGAGATGGCCGTTTGAGTCTGAGGGCTGAGGGGTAGGAAAGGCTTGGTGAGCTTCTGGCGGAAGTACCTCTGAATCTGATCAAGCTCACTCAGATTCTTCCTATAAACAAAAGGGGGAGAAGAAGACAAAGGGGTAATTCATGGAGATTATGAACATCTCTTATGTCCCCTGGACACTACCGCTTGAGCCAAAGCCTTAATACCTCTCACTTGGTCTATTAATATACTAAGTCCCTCTCTCTCCAATCCACCAACTCATCCTTCACTCCTCTGACTACAATCCTGCTGCTGGGGGCAACTTTCTCCCCCTTTTGTCTGTCTAATGCGATTCCTCATCTGATGTCCAGCAAAAATGCCACTTCCTCAGAAAGGAACCATTCTTGACCACCATTCCAGTCCTTATTTCTGTTTACTTTGACAGAATAAAGCCCTACTCTGCGCTAACACTGTCCTTTGCTACCTCATAACCATTCCTGATCCTTCAGGCAAGCAACTTCTAAAAAGCCTTCCCTAAATTGGTTTAGGGGCTCCTCTTCTGTGCTCCATAGTTCTTTCTGCACTCTTCCATCACATCACTCATTTATTTAACACCTATTTCCCCTGATGTACGGTCAGCTCTGGGCTGATTCCTTTACATCTACTGCACCCAGCATAGTGCTTGGCACAAAACAAAAGAATGCTGGATGGATAAAAGGACATAAATAAGTGATTTTAAAAATCTGTTTAAAAGCCTTTAATAGGGCCACATTCTCACCATTCTCCAATAAGAAATCACACCAACCTTCACTTGCATAGGATTTTATGTTTATGCTTTTAAACATATTATCTTGTTTAATTTTCAGCTAATCATATGAGATCAGTAATTATAAATAAGCAACTTGAGTTTCAGAGAAGTTAAGTGACTTGTCCAGAGCAGGGAGCAGTATGTAGCTACTCAGAATCTGGGACTCCAAGTCATGCTTTTTCCATATGAGATGGACTCTGTTCCAGCTGGGTTCGTTCCTTCCTCATACTTCTGCTGATACTGGAACCCCAGTTCAAGCAACTCCCTGCTCTGTTTCTATTCCAGTCAGCTTTTAAGGTTGCAGCTCACATTTCTTCTTTTCAAAGTCCATTATCCCAAATCTTTGCACCACCTGTCCCTTAAACACCTTCACACTCATCATTTCACACATCAAACTTTTTCTTAGATTTTCCCTTAATTGTCTCATTATATGTTAGTTCAGTTTCCCTAAGTAGGCCATGGGCGTCTCAGAATAGAAGATATATCTCACACTTCTCTATTTCCTTAGTACACTCAATGTGCCTGGTATAATCAACACAGCATGGACACCAAATACCTGTGACATGAACTGAAAGTCTTTCTATCCTTTTGTTAGAAACAGTCTGCGTATCTTAGAGGAAAATCCAAATGAGAGGACAAAGTTGATCCTTATTCTATCACTAGAGGCCAAGACTCAAGTCACGGTGGTGTGTACCAAATCACTTAGGTGTCTATATCGTGGTATATGCCACATGGATAAACATCTGCAGGAGGAACATGCAAACAAATGTAACTTGGGGTAGCTTTGGGAAATAAGCAAATCTACTGGTCTTGTTAGACCAGTGTAGAACCATGTAGAACCATGGCATGTCAACCTATGAACACCAAGCTGTACTTTGCTCATCTGTGAAACACAGGTTTATTAATACTTGCTCTGCAGGCCTGAAATGATAGCTGTGATTCAAATGCAGCACTGTTTAAGGGCTCTCTGAATCCAAGGAGGTTATGCAAATTGATCTCACCTTGTTTCGCGCCCATTTGGTAAAGAATTCCTCTAGATAGTAGTTCTGAAAGCCTAGTTCTAGGACCAGCTGCAGCAGCATCACCTGAGCTTGTTAGAAATGCAGAGTCTCAGGCCTTATCCTAGACCTACTGAATCAGGCACTGTGTGGATGGGTCCTAGCAATCAGTGCTGTAATAAGCCCTTCATGGGATTCTGATATACACTAAATTTTGCGAACTACTGTCCTAGGGCAGTGGTTTTCAACCTGGCAATATTGTCCCTCAGGATACACTTGGCAATGTCTGGAGACATTTTGGGTTGTCACAAGTGGGAGAGGGGTGCTACTGGTATGTAGTTGGTAGAGGCCAGGGATGCAGCTAAACAACCTACAATGCGCAGAACTGACCCTCAAAACAAAATATCTGACCAGAATGTCAATAGTGCCAAAGTTGAGAGAAACTACTCGAAGGTGAAGGAGTTTCTTTTTTTAAGTGGGTTCCAAATAGGTTATGTGAATGACCCAAAAAAATACAACCAAATTATCAATGGTTTCACTTAAACAGCCTACAATCTCTAGCACCTTACTAATATGAAGATAAGAATCTGAACATATTACTTCTTCGTAAAATAACTTTGGGCAGTTTCCTATAGTCTATAGCAGAAGTCCCCAACCTCTGGGCTGTGTTCGTGGCCTATTAGGAACTGGGCCGCACAGCAGGAGGTGAGTGGGGGCAAGTGAGCTTTACTTCTGAGCTCCGCCTCCTGTCAGATCAGCAGCAGCATTAGATTCTCATAGGAGCACAAACCCTATTGTGAACTGCTCATGTGAGGGATCTAGGTTGTGCGCTCCTTATGAGAATCTAAATAATGCCTGATGATGGGAGGTGGAACAGTTTCATCTGGAAACCACCCCCCACCCCCAACCCCACCCTTGTGGAAGAAAAATGGTCTTCCACAAAACCAGTGTCTGGTGCCAAAAAGGTTGGGGCTGCTGGTCTATAGCACTATTGATCAATTTTTAACTTGTCTCATTAACCAAAAAGATTTTGTTGATGTTTCTTTTCTGACTTTGCATTATGAATCAAAGAATAGGTTAGTTTTTTTTTTTTCAAATATAAAGTCTTTTGGCCGGGTGCAATGGCTCACGCCTGTAATCCCAGCACTTTGGGGTCACGAGGTCAGGAGTTTGAGACCAGCCTGGCCAACATAGTGAAACCCTGTCTCTACTAAAAATACAAAAAACTAGCTGGGTGTGGTTATGGGCACCTGTAATCCCAGCTACTTGGGAGTTTGAGGCAGAAGAATCGCTTGAACCCAGGAGGCAGAGGCTGCAGTGAGCCGAGATTGCGCCACTGCACTCCAGCCGGGGCAACAGTGCGAGACCCCATCTCAAGAAAAACAAAAACAAAAACAAACAAACAAAAAAGCCGGAAGCCGCAGTGGCTCAGGCCTGTTGTCCTGGAGAATAAGGAGGGAAGCAAGGCCAGGTGTTCGAGCCCAGCCTGGGCAGCATAGGAAGCCTTTATCTATCACACACACACACGCACACACACACACACACGCACACACACACACCCCTTTTAAACATTTTTTCCTTAAATTTTTTTTTTTTTTTTTTGGTGCTATAACAGATTTTACTCATGTCAATAAAAACTGACAAACATGATTATCTGAAATCTGTATGGGTAACTTTTTAAAGATGGAGTACATTTTGATTGTAGCAACCTCCATATTGTTCTTTTAAGTGGTTACATAATGTTGATACTTTCATTTTTCCTTAAATTTTACATACTCTCCTCCTTTCCTTCCTCCAACACCTTTCACTTAAGAATAATTGTTCTAAGGGTAATAATTCTTAGTCTGACATTCAAGGACCTTCATGATGTGACTCTTAAAAAATTCACCCTGCTTCTTGCATCTTATGCTCAGCTTTTTCCTACATGCACTGCTGGCATTTCCCCAAACTTGACTTGCCCCTGAGCCTTGGCGTAAGTTCTTTCTGCACAAAATGTCCTCCAAAGACCAGTTCAAATGTGACTTCTTTAAATCTTTCCAGGAACAATCCAGAATATTAGGCATTCCCCTGTCTACTCTTGGCCAGGGAAATTGCAGCTCTTACTACCCTGCATTATAATTATTTGGCAACATGGCTATCTCCTCCACTGAGATGGGCAGAGCAAGGATTGGAGGTCAAGTCTATCTGACCCTGAAGCCATGTCCTTTCCACTGTGCCACACTTTTCATTAGATAAGCTAGGGGCTGATCTAGCTGATCTATCATCACCCTTTCAATTCTCACAGCGATTCTCTGGCTCAGGTGCTAACTAAACTAAGAAAGGAACAGAAAAGAGTTAACAGGACAGAGGCTGGTCTGGACGAAGTAAATGGTTGTGAGGTTGTGAGGCTGGTTATTATTAAGTTTTGGTGAACAATCTGAAGCTCCTACATTTACAGGTGCATCAGTAACAGAGCCCCCTGAAGGAATGGAAGGTCCCAAGCTGATACAGATTCATCTATGAGGAATCCCATGAGGCTCCAGGGTCCAACCTGATACTAACATGCAAAAGAGCCCTCTACTAATGTTCCTAGGGCGGTGGCAGGTGATGGAAAAGCAGTAATGCACATTGCCATTTCTCATTCACCTTGTGCCCCACTATGGTTTCCTGTGTCTTTTCTCAGTAGAGCCTCACCTGAGAGAAGTCAGAATGGAGGTTTGGGAGGACAAAGGTGATGTGGTCAGTTTGTCATCACATGGCAAGGGTGCCTCTCCCTGAAGATGCAGGGATTCATGAAACCGGCGAATGTTCTGCACATGCTCTTCATGGCGTGATGCTTGGCTTCTTGTGGTATCACTTCTGTCAAAAAAAAAAAAAAAAAAAGTAGGAGCAAAATAAATTCCCAATCAATGAGAACACTGCTAGTGTGACAATAAACAAATCACTATCCTGAAATGGAATGCAAATCTATCCCCACTATCACAGTTCTGGCCTTATCATCTCTTGCTTGGATTATAAATGTCTCCAAAATAATCCTGTCTTCAATCTTGCCTACCCCCTTTTAACTCATTCTTCACAACAAGCAGAGTGATTTTTCTAAAACATAAATCTGGCCGGGGGTGGTGACTCACGCCTGTAATCCCAGCACTTTGGGGGGCTGAGGTGGGTGGTTCACTTGAGGCCAGAAGTTCGAGACCAGCCTGGTCAATATGGCGAAACCCTGTCCCTACTAAAAGCACAAAAATTAGCTGGGTGTGGTGGCAGGCGCCTGTAATCCCAGCTACGCCAGAGGCCATGGCAGGAGAATCACTTGAACCTGGGAAGTGGAGGCTGCAGTGAGCAGAAATCATGCCACTGCACTCCAGCCTGGGAGACAGAGTGAGACTCTGTCTTAAAAAAAAAAAAGCCCCCCAAAACCAAAAACCATAAATCTGAAGTAATAATAACAAGAGCAACAATAACAACAATATATTTGGCGTCCTTATTATATGCCAAGCCCTGCTGTAAGCATTCAACATATATTACGCCATGTGATTATCACCATTCCTTTCTGGCTTTGGCTTTTAAACAAATCTCAAATTCCTGAGCATGATATTCAAGATCATGACTCCAACAATCTCTTTTTAATTCACCGCTTTATTGAGATATAATTCACATGCCATACAATTCACCTATTTAAAGTGTATTATTCAATGGTTTTTAGTATATGCAGTTACGTAACTGTTACCACAATCAGTTTTAGAACATTTTTACCACTCACAAAACAACCTCATACCCATTAGAACCATTCTACATTTCCTGGTCCTAGGCAACTACTAATTTATTTTCTGCCTCAATAGGTTTGCCCATTCTGGATATTTCATATAAATGGAATCATATAATATGTGTTTTTTGGTGACTGGCTTCTTTCATTTAGCATAATGTTTTCAAGCTTCATCTGTAGTACAGCATGTATCAGTCCTTCATTCCTTTTTACAGCTGAATAATATTCTGTTGGATAGATATACCACATTTTGTTTATCTACTCAGTTGACGGGCATGAGTTGCTTCTACTTTTTGGTTATTAGGAATAATGCTACAAACATACGTGTACAAGTTTTTGTGTGGACATTTGTTTTCATTTCTTTTGGGCATAAAACTAGAAGCAGAATTACTGGGTCATATGGTTACTCCATGTTTAAGGAACTTCCAGATTATTTTCCAATGCACCTGCAGTGTTTTACTATCCCACCGGCAATGTATAAGGGTTCCAATTTATCTACCCCTTCCTAAGGCTTGAGATATCTTTTTTTTTTTTTAAATACAGTCACCCTAGTGGATATAAAGTGGTACCTCATTGTGGTTTTGATTTGCATCTTTTACTGTGATTATTGGCCATTTGTATATCTTTTTTTGAAGAAATGTCTATTCAGATCCTTTGCCCATTTTTAAACTGGTTATTTGCTTTTTATTATTGAGTTGTAAGAGTTCTTTATATATTCTATATATTATTTTGAGACAGGGTCTCACTTTGTCTTCCAGGCTGGAGTGCATGGCTCAATGCAGCCCTGACCTCCTGGGCTCAAGTGATCTTCCCACCTCAGCCTCCTAAGTAGCTGAGACCACAGATGTGCACCACCAAGTCTGAGTAGTTTTTTAATTTTTTGTGGAGATGGGCTCTCACCATGTTGCCCATCTCTATAAAAAATAATAACATGGTCTTGACCTCCTGAGTTCAAGCGATCCTCCCACCGCAGCCTCCCCAAGTGCTGGGATTACAGGTGTGAGCCACTGCACCCAGTCCCCTTTATATGTTCTAGATATAAGATCTATAACTGGCCGGGCACAGTGGCTCACGCCTGTAATCCCAGCACTTTGGGAGGCCGAGGCAGGTGGATCACAAGGTCAAGAGATCGAGACCATAGTGACCAATATGGTGAAACCCTGTCTCTACTAAAAATACAAAAATTAGCTGGTGTGGTGGCGTGCACCTGTAGTCCCAGCTACTAGGGAGGCTGAGGCAGGAGAATCGCTTGAACCCGGGAGGTGGAGGTTGCAGTGGGCCAAGATCGTGCCACTGCACTCCAGCCTGGCAACACAGCAAGACTGTCTCAAAAAAAAAAAAAAGAGCTATAATTTGCAAATATTTTCTCCCATTCTATGGGTTGTCTTTTCACTTTCTTGATGGTATCACTTGCAGTGTAAAAATTCCAGTTTTAAAATTTTTATTTATTTTTATAATTTCAATTTGTATTTTAGATCTGAGGGTGTATGTGCAGGATGCTGAGGTTTGGGGTTTGAATGATCCCATCACCCAGGTACTAAGCATATTACCTAACAGTCAGTTTTTCAACTTTTGTCCTCCTCCCTTTCTCCTTCCTTTAGTAGTCCCTAGTTTCTTTTGTTGACTTTTTTATGTCTATGAATACCCAATGCTTAGCTGCCACTTATAAGAGAGAACATGTGGTATTTGGTTTTCTGTTCTTGTGTTAATTCGCTTAGGATAATGGCCTCCAGCTGCATCCACGTTGCTGCAAAGAACATGATTTTGTTCTTTTTTTTTTTTAATGGCTGTGAGAGTTTTTAATTTTGATGAATCTAATTTTTTTCTTTTGTTATTTGTGCTTTTGGTGTCATTTCCTAAGGAATCATTGTCTAATCCAAGCTCATGAAGATTTACTCCTCTGCTTCCTAGGAAGAGTTTTATAGTTTTAGTTTTTACATTTAGATATGTGACCCATTTGAAGTTAATTTTTGTGTATGGTTTGAGGAAGGGGTCCAACTTCAATCACTTGCATGTGGATACCTAGTTGTTCCAGCACCATTTATAGAAAAGACTAGTCTTTCCTCATTAGTCTTGGCATCCTTGTTGAAAATTAGTTGACCACAGACACATGGGTTTATTTTGAGATTATCAATTCAATTCCACTGATTTATATTTCTATCCTCATTCCAGTACTGTTTTGCTTACAGTAGCATTGTAGTAAGCTTTGGAATTAGGGACTCTGTTCTTTTTCAAGGTTGTTTTGCCTATTCCATGTGCCTTGAATTTCCATACTAATTTTAAGATCAGCTTGTCCATTTCCACAAAGCCAGCAGGAATTTTGATAGGGATTGTGTTGAATCTGTAGATCAACGTGGAGAATATTGCCATCGTAAAAATATTAAGTCTGTTAATCCATAGATATGGGATGTCTTTGATTTTATTTAGACCTTTTTCAATTTTCTTTTTTCTTTCCTTTTTTTTTTGGCAGACAGGGTCTTACTCTGTTGCCTAGGCTGGAGTGCAATGGCATGAACATGGCTCACTGTAGCCTCGACCTCCTGGGCTCAAGCAATTCTCCTGCTTCAGTCTCCCGAGTAGCTGGGACTGCAGGCATGCACCACTATGCCTGGCTAATTTTTTTGATTTTTTGTAGAGATAGGGTTTCACTTTGTTGCCCAGGCTGGTCTCGAACTCCTGAGCTCAAGCAATCCTCTCACCTTGGTCTCCCAAAGTGCTGGAATTACAGGCATGAGAGACCACGCCCAGCCTCAATTTCATTTTTGGTTATTCATTGTTGGTATATAGAAATACAATTGATTTTGCTTATTATGTTTTAAAAGTTTCTGTTTCAATTTCTAATATGGTAAAAATTGATAGATATAACCCACATAAACCCGTTTGGGTCATCACTAATTTTTAATAGTATAAAAGGGTTTTGAAGTGAAAATGTTTAAGAACCACTGCTTTATTAATGTGTAACTGACATAAAATAAACTTTACATATTTAAAGAATACAATTTGATGAATTTTAACACATGTATACATCCAAATAAACCATTACCATGAAATAATGAATATATCTACCATCTCCAAAAGTTTCTTCTTGTCTTTTGCAATTCCTTCCTCCTTTCCTCCTTATCCACCCTGCCTTGTCCCTAGGCAACCACTGATTTGCTTTCTGTCACTATAGGTTAGGATGCATTTTCTAGGATTTTATATAAATGGAATCATATACAAGGTACTTTTTATTATTTTAAGAGACAGGTTCTCACTCTGTCACTCAGGCTGAAGTGCAGTGGTGTGATCATAGCTCACTGCACCCTTAAGTACCTGGGCTCAAGTGAGCCTCCTGCCTCAACCTCCTGAGTAGCTAGGACTACAGGCAGGCAAATTTTTAATTTTTTTGTGGAGATGGGGTCTCACTATGTTGTCCAGGATCATCTTGAACTCCTGGCCTCAAGCGATCCTCCCATCTCAGCCTCCTAAAGCACTGAGATTAAAGGCCTGAGTCACCATGGCTGGCCCAATGTACTCTTTTTCGTCTAGCTTCTCTTCCTCAGCATAATTATTTTTATATTCATTTTGTTGTCTATCAGTAATGCATTTCTTCTTGTTTTTGAGTAGTATTAATATTTCATTGTATGGATATACGACAATTTTGTTATTTGTTCACCTCTTTGTTGATGGACACCTGAGTTGTTTATAGTTTTTGGTTATTACAAATAAAGCACAAAGACCAGAAAGTTTGGAAACTGCTGTTCTACGCATTTCACAAGTATTATTAGTAATAAAACCTCTCTCTTAAGGCTGCTGTGAAAACCCAGTGAGCTAATGTATATAAAGTCCATATAAAAGTGAGTTATTTCTATTCTCATTTACTCTTTGTAACAGCCCTTGAGGTACTATATTATTTTCATCCTACAAATTAGAAAGCTAAAGCTCAGAAAACTAAAGTAATTAGCCTCAGGTCACATGTAACTAGTAAGTGGTAAAGCCAGGATAGGATTCCAGATCTGTCTGACCTCACAGCCCACTTTACCACCCTGTCCCTTGAGCAGGGCAGGGTCAGGAAGAGCTGGATCTCTGTTAAGATGGTTAGAGAGTGAATTATAGCCTAGCCTTAAATGGCTGTCTGTATATAATATGACACTTCGATGTGGCCCTTCTGAAGTGGTAACAGGGACATCTTTATGTGGACAAAAGGCAAGCCATTAACCTTTTAGCTTTTAAAATTACTAAAGGGTGGGCATTAGAGATATCCTCATCCTACCCATGTGTCCCACTGTGGGTATGGTCAAAGTGACACTTTTATAAAAGAGATAACAAAGGAATTATCTAAAATCTGGGATCTAGGAATTGACAGATACATAGCTCTCTTTGTACAGAGGACCAAGGATCTCTTCATGTGGTGATCAAGTAGAAAACTATGTAGCCCTGAATTGGGCCTTAGAATGTTACATGATATTAGTGTCTTCTTGGAATAAAAGGGTCTGCTCAGTAACTGCTCTTGTAGGAAGGGCTGCTGTAGGGCAAGATTCCTTGCCCTTTCCCTGAGCTGAAGAGAAAGACATAGGAAAGACTCTGGTGTAGGCAGCGGGGTGCTTCAGATGGTTCTAGGGCCTGTAAAGAGGTAGAATGGAAAGCAGCAACCTTATTCTTAGACCCTGTCCTTGTATAGGATGGAACATGCTCTAGCCCTGAGAGCCATATGCATGTTCAAGGCTGGCTTGGTGAAAAGGATGGACCAGTTGCTTTTTGTAAAATAAACTGGCACATAGTTTTAGCAGGGGAAAGAAGATGTATTTCTCACATAGTTGATGACTGAATTTAGGGATAAAGGTTAAAGGCCTTTGAGGATAACAGAAACTTGTCCCTTGTACTGAAGTGACCCTTCTGATAGCAGTACAAATTCTAGCTCCTATCTTATAAAAACTTTGTTTTCATACGATCTTGGGGTTTTTGGAGTTGTGACAGAAGATCAACAAAGCTCTTACCCTGTCTTGTTTTTTCCTCTAATAAAGGAAAGAGAGAAATGATAAGCCAGTTCACACACTTCCATTTTTTAACCCCATTTCTTCTCATCATCAAGAATTCACTCACCTCCCAGGAGAGGAGAAATCAAGCTCCTTTGAGGAGGCATGAGCAAGTTGGTCTAGGGTCTGCCTTGCCATGTGGCTGGAGAATGCAGCATACGTATCAGAGGCAGGGAAGGAAAAGGGACTGTATATTGGGATCTGTAAACACAACAAGAAAAATGGTACACTTGTCACCATAAACCCATTCGTAACAAAGCAGTATATAAATAAGTTTGTAAAATTTATTGTGTGCATTTAATTTACTGAATACTTTGTGTTAAACACTGTGCTAAACAATTTACATACATTTTCTCATTTATAATCTTATGAGGCAACTATTATTATTATACTCATTTTACAGACTATGCTATCAGATTTGTTTTCAGTTGCTTTATCTATATTTATGCTCTTGTTCCTCCAGCTATTAATACACTGTAAATGCCTGAATGGATATCATTTTACATTTACCTTACATATGAGGATAATCTGGCTGTGAAATTTCTTGTCTTAGGACTACCAGGGTTGGGCCGAAGAAATGACCTTCCTATATTGGGACCAATGAACTCTGTTTTCTTATGCATGCTTTCATCCAGTATTTATGGATGACCACTCTGTGCCAGACCCTGGGCCAGGCACGAGAGACAGAGAGATGAATAGAAAACATAGTCTTTGCCTTGATAGAGGTCCCGTATTTTTGATAGTCTGGGAAATTCTTTCTTTTACAGTTAAACTCCTTGAAAGAGTTGTCTACGCTTACCGTGATCAATTCCCCTCTTCATATTCTTTCAATTATTTTTTTAAATGAAAGACTAATGATATCAATGTAACAGAGTTGAAAAACAAGTCAGTTGATAGAGTTTCAGATTCTATATGACAACCTTGTTTTATTTGGAAACTGCGATATAATTAATGTATTATACAATTCATCCTTTTAAAAAGCTCAATTCACTGGTTTTCAGTGTATTCAAAGTTGTGCAACCATCACTACTAACTAATTCCAGAACATTTTCATCACCCCAAAAGGTCAGGAGGTTGTTATGAGACACATATAGTATATAACGTATTCTATAAGCCGGAGAGTGCCAAACATGAGTAAAGGATGTTCTTATAGGTCAGTACAATTCGTATTGGTTAGGGATGTGAATCTCCATACATACCAGTGATTTTGAGGTCTCCACTCCACGCCTTGCTTGCCTTTCTTCTTTGAAGTGTATCAAACTCTCCAAAGGGGAGACAGCAACTTTTATCTGCCCCTGGCACTCTCCACTGAAGTCTGTGATGTTGTACCAGCCACAGACAAACTGGAAGCCAGAGAGAAGTGGGGAGAGGTCCACCGAGGCAAAGCCAATCACCCTCTCCTCATCTGTAGAGGAAAGAGAAGAGCTGGGCAATGTGGCTAGGCATGTCCTGCCACTGAGATTAGAGGGTGCACACAGAGAAGCTGATTCAGGGGATGGAGGAATTTAGTGATCCCAAAGCCATCAGAGAAGACAGATAATGAAGTTGAGAGGGACTGGCAACCAAAGCCTGCCTTCCCTGTTAGGAATTCCCTTTCTGTATGGTGGGAAAAAGCTGACAGGCTTGCACTTCATTCTCTCTCTCTCTCTCTCATTTTGAAAGAGATGGGGTCTCACTCTGATGTCTAGGTTGCAGTGCAGTAGCATGATCATAGTTCACTGCGGCCTCGAACTCGCAAACTCAAGCAATCCTCCCTCTTCAGTCTCCCAAGTAGCTAGGACTATAGGCACACACCACCATGCCCAGCTAATTTTTAATTTTTTTGTTGAGATGGGGTCTTACTATGTTGCCTAGGTGGTCTTGAACCCCCAGCCTCAAGTGATCCTCCTGCATTGGCCTCCCAAAGTGTTGGGATTACACATGTAAGCCACCCCACCTAGCTGGTCCTCTTGATATAGGCAATTAGAAAATAACACTAAATTTAAGAACTTATTTTTCCTAGGCTATCATGTCTCAGTGATTTTTCTCAGGGCAGTATGTCTTGCAATTATGGAATTATGAGAGATTTGCATTTTCCTATTTATACTTCTCTATATTTTCCAAATTTTCTACATATGCATTATATTTAATTAAGAACAAAGTGATGCAAATTAAAAAGGAAAAACAACTCCCTGGAGAACAGTTTAGGGTGCAAAATGAGTCTGGGCTCAGGCTCTTCTCTACATGGTAAGGGGGCTGCCTTTAATGACTGAGAAGATTCTCTTTTTATTGGACAAGCTACCATGCAATGACCTTCATTCTCATATTCTTTGCTACTTATTCCTCATTTCTGACATGACGTAGCTGGGGACACACAGGTCTCTGTCACTCCATGAATTTCTATTTTATATAGGCTCCATTCTGTATAGTGAAATCAAAGGCTGGATCTACCAAACACTGATACAACTGTAGGTCTATAAATTGCTTAATAAATCAAGGAATGCATATTTTCCAGAGGAGTAATCGTGAAGTTCCCACAGTTCCTTGGGCACATTCCTGGTGACACTAAATTCATCACATACTGCATAACATTTGTTTGGACAGCTTGCTGTCCTTTAGACTGGAACCTAGCTAAACGGTGAGAAAAGGTATTACACTATGTTCCCTACACTCTCCATACCTGGCATAACATCTTCCTGCATGAAAAACTTGATAAATATTCACTGAAAGCACAAGTAAACTGGCCAACCTAGAGTGGGACAAAGGAGCAGTGTGCCACAATAGCAAATCTAGGTATGGCTTTGACTGGAAAACATATTCCTCTAACTCCCTGAGCCTCAGTCACACACATATAATGAGAAGTACTGAACCAGATTCAAGATCCCCTTTGGTTGAGCAGGTGGCTCATGCGTGTAACCCCAGCACTTTGGGAGGTTGAGGAGGGAGGATTGCTTAAGGCCAAGAGTTCGAGACCAGTCTGTGCAACATAACATGACCCCATCTCTAAAAAAAACAAAACAAAACAAAAAATTTGTGGGGTATAGTGGTGCATGTCTGTAGTCCCAGCTACTTGGAAGGCTGAGGTGGGAGGACTGCTTGAGCTCAGGAGTTCACAGCTGCAGTGAGCATAATCCTACCACTGCACTCCGGCCTGGGAAACAAAGTGAGATCTTGTCTCAAAAAAGAAAAAAAAAAAAAGATCCCCTTCAACTTGGAAAGTTTTTGATTCTATAAACACTTGAAGCTGTATTCCCCAGAGTGGGGGTCAAGTAATTCTTACCCACTGGGGATGAAGTATGATGGAGGTTTCTGCCTAAAATGAAGGTAGTACGTCCTAAACATACTTGAGGAGTGCTTTGGCTAAGCAGATCACAGAGAAAAGGAATGGCTTGGAAGAGTTAAATTTAACATTGGATTAACAGGACAACCCACCATTCTCCCTTTGCAGTTAATATTCTAGTCAACAAGAACTTCCCTCAACTCTTTCTTGACTTGAAACTTTGTATTTGTTTTCCCCTCTGACTACAGTAAAAATCCTGCCCCTTCATTCCTCAGTTCAGGTGTGCTCCAGGAAGCCTTCTCTGACATCCTAAGTCTGGGTTAGACGTCTCCTATCAGAGTACCCTGTATTTGTCTAATCATACTATACTGTACTTTTTATGTCCCACACTGACTGTAAGCTCTGTGAGGACAGGGACCATGCCTGTTTTATTTTACCTTTGTATCCCTAGTACTTAGCATGGTGCCTGGCACAGAATAGAAACTTAAATAAAACATCTGCTGAACACAGCTTGGTTGGATTTGAGTACTTGCTATACTAGATGTGTTGAGTTTGTGTGGAAAAGATAGAATTAACCCATTTATGCTAGAGTCTGCAAATTTTTTTGTAAAAAATCAGACCTTGGTCATGACCTTGAGCAGTAGGATATAAATAACTCCCACAAGCTTAGCGTTCCAATAATGGAACACCAGGCATAAGTGGGCTAAGGGGAGAGAGACATCTACATACACTAAGTAGTGGTCAGTGTGGTCTAGGCATTTTCCTCACTTTCATTTATGACCAGATCTTAGCAAGACCCTCTTGAAGTCCTGGAAGGTAGGGAATGTATTTTATTCTCTACACTCCAATAGTCCTAGCATAGTACCTGACACATAGTAGACATAATAATAAAAATAGCTCCATTTATTAAGCAATAATTATGTGCCAAGTACTTTACATATATTATCTCTAATCCTCACAAATTCTGCAAGGCCAGTACTATTATTCTAATTTTATAAATAAGAAAGATAACAGGAAAGAGGTGAAGTGATTTAATTCGGGCCACATAGTTATTATAGTAAACAGCAGAGCCAAGATTTGAACTCAGGTCTGCATAAGACCAAAGTTTATTCTCTTTTTCCTGCTAAAATAAGTGCTGACTTGTGAACCCTGGTCTGCTTCAGAATCTCTGTGGTACTTTAGAGAGAAGAGAGAAAAAGCCTAGAAAGGAGGGTGGAGCCCAGCTAAATACAGCAAGAATTCCTTGTGTTGATTCAGAGAAAAGCGAGTTATGATCAGCTCTTGCTGTATTTATGAGGTTGGGTAGCAGTGGAGGAACTAAGTGAATCCAAAGCAGCAACATAGAACTCATCATCAAAACAAGGGACTCACAGCAGCACTCACCAACAGGAGCACAGGCAGAGAGAAAGGTCAGTCAATTCCCTTTACACTCTGATTTCTCTCAGGTCTTTACTAGGGTTTGAGGTTAGCTCCAAATATCACCACTGGCAAACAAAAAACTGTGACTCTGTAGGCTGTGTAGGTGACTTAAAACAAATGAAGATTTGGAAATCAGGGCCTAGCTGGAATCTTAAAGAAGCTAGACTTAGAGGAGAGATTTAGTGAGATAAAATTTTCTAAGCTGTGAGATGGTTAGAAGTCCTCATCACCTCAATTTTCCAAGTTTTCCAATCTTACTAGCATGGTGAAGAACAAACAGTGAAGGCTGTACAGCCAGTAAGAACTGGGTTCAAATACTGGCTCCACCAATTAATAGATATATGACCTTAGTCAAGCCACTAAATTTCCTTGGGCTTCAGCTTTTACAGCTATAAAATTAGACTAATTTTATTTTTACCGTCAAGAATTAGAGATGTTTGTAAAGTTCTTAGCACATTATTGCTCGGTAATAAAAACAAGAAAAACTGATACGGTATTTACTAAGTGTCAGGCCCTTACTTAATTCTCCAAAAACCCTATGAAGTAGGTACTATTATTAGCCTCAATTTTATAGATATGTAAATATGCACAGATAAGTCATTTACCCAAGGTCACACTGCTAAAGTAAGGGGCAGAATTGGCATTTGAACCCAAAGAATCTGGCTTCAGAGTCAAGCCTCTTAATGTTGCTGTGTTATGCCTCTTAATAAAACTGGGTCCAAAGACCATAATATCAGCACATCCCTCTTGGGAAGGTTCTTAAAATAAGAAAAAATATGTGGTTAGACTTTCTTCTTGTGTACTACCTGATAATGCAAGGGTCTTGGTTAATAAGCCAGAGTCAACAGAAGGCTTAATATCATCATACAAACGTGGGGGGAAGCCACTTGTATGTGGCAGGCTGTACGTTATGATGGTTGACAGATACAACAGGAAAGACTGAAATGTACTTGGATTTCTGCACTAAGCAGGTAGTCAAAATTATATAATTTTTAAGTACTTGAATTCTGTAGGAGAATAGGCCAGGTATGGTGGCTCATGCCTGTAGTGTCAGCACTTTGGGAGGCTGAGGCAGGAGATTGCGGCAGGAGATTGCTTGAGCCCAGGAGTTAGAGATAGAGGAGTTAGAGCCTGGCAACATAGTGAGACCTTGTCTGTACAAAAAAATAATTAGCAGCCAGGCGCGGTGGCTCACGCCTGTAATCCCAGCACTTTGGGAGGCCGAGGCGGGTGGATCACGAGGTCAGGAGATCGAGACCACCCTGGCTAACACGCTGAAACCCTCTCTCTACTAAAAATATAAAAAATTAGCCGGGCGTGGTGGCAGGCGCCTGTAGTCCCAGCTCCTTGGGGGGCTGAGGCAGGAGAATGGCGTGAACCTGGGAGGCGGAGCTTGCAGTGAGCCAAGATCGTGCCACTGCCCTCCAGCCTGGGCAACACAGCAAGATTCTGTCTCAAAAAAAAAAAAAAAAAAAAATTAGCTAGGCATAGTGGTATGTGCTTGCGGTCCCCGCTACTCAGGAGACTGAGATGATCATGCCACTGTACTCCAGCTTAGGTGACAGAGCAAGATCTTGTTCAAAAAAAAAAATTTTTTTTTTCTTACAGGAGAATAATGTGGCCTTCTGGGGGATTACCCTCTACCACATATCTGCATTCCCAGCACTGTCGGGAATGCTTCACTTGGTTTGGAAAAAAAAAAAAAAAAAAAAAAAAAGGAATGGTAGATTGTTAACAGGATGTGAGCTTATTTTTACAAGCAAGCAGATATTCTTTTAACAGAGTTCATACCTCCTTTATGCCAAACTTTGAAGACCAGGGTTTGTTGTGGGTCCAGAAGCAGCTCTTTTGATAGCCTATTAAGAAAAACAACCACTGTAAACTAAATGTATAGGAACTTTCTGTAGTATAAAACTTAGATTTGAAGAATATCTTGTAATTTGCAAAGCACTTTCCCAACACTATTTCATCTTCTTAGCCATCTTCTGGCATATATTTTTATCTTCACAGTTAAAATGAGGGGATGGAAGCTCAGAGAGGTGAAGTAACTTGCCAAGACTTGAAAACAGGCTCCCCTGACACAACATTTCCTCCCCACCACTCCCAAAGTTTCCCTAAGACAGAGGAGGAAGTATGGAAAAGAAGTTCCTCAACATGCATTTAAGAGTTTTACTGGAATGGGTAATGATTCCGCTTATGCCTTAGAATGAGAGAATGGAGAGAAGGGAAGAGGAAGAGAAAAAGAACATTTACTGAGTGCCTACCTTGGGCCAGGCATGGCACCACGTGTTTCATATACATTTCATCTGCACAAAAGCCTATAACATGGACATTATTATCCTTATTTTACAGATGATAAGGTTGGACTCAGAGAAGTAAAATGGTTTGCTTGAGGTCACTTAAGAGTCAGTAAGTAGTAGGGCTAGGATTTAAACCCTGGCTTGCCTGACCTCAATGCTACACCATGCAGAGGCAAGGCAACAAAATAAGAAAATGCCTAACTTTCACACCAGATAAAGAAGCTGAAGTGGAATCCACTGAACACCTCCAATACATTTATATATTACATAAATTACAGTTTTAAGTGACAAAGTGTTGGAAAGTTCCAAACCAGGTGCCAGTGCTCCAGGTAAGCAAGATGGAGATCTAGAGAAAACCAAGAGGCTTGATTTCATTCCCCAAACACCCCTGGGGAAGTGAATAGAGCCTACTTCCTGACCAATGAGCGGCACGGTGCTAAAGTGAAACAAATATTGGTCAGAGATTCTAATTCTAGCTGGGAATTAAAAGATTCACCTCTGAATGCTAGCTCTGCTATTATCACCTGAGTGACTCTGGCCATGCACTTAGCTTCTTCCAGGCCTGGTTCTCTTACCTGTTAAATGGGATAATACTATTGACCTGCAAGTTGCTATGAAGATCAAAAGAAACAATTTTGTGATAAAGGAATTATAAACAGTGCCATTATTCATTTTTCTTCCAATCCTGCCTCTGTTGCCAACAGACTATGTAGCCTCCCTGGGCCACAGTCTCCTCAAGTGTAAAGTGAAGAGATGAAATCAGGATATTGCTAATGTCCCTTCATCACGTTTGTGAAGTTTTGTAATTCTGTTAGGTTTTTAGGTTGTGAATGAACAAGTCACCTCCACTTAGAAGCTCAGTCCTCTGGTTTCCTGCCTTTTGGGGAGGATCTGATATTTTATATGAAGTACTCTGGCCACTATGGCCAGAATTTCTATAATTTCCAGTAGCTCACTATAGATAGCACTGAGTTTTCACTGCAGTTCTAGCTCCTGACTCATCCCAGCCTCTCAAATTACAAATCACTGAACCTGTGACCAACTGCTGAGACTCAATAAGTACACAAACACTGTGAGAAAACAGAAGACCAGACACCATGGGTATGGCTAGTGTTGGTGGACAAGAATTAAACTTTATAAAAGGTGATACAGTATAAATTCTAACAATGATTTTGTTACTATTATCATAACATTGCATCACATTTAATAAAGTTTAATTCATGGCTTCCTATGCCAGCCCCCTCACATTTAATTAGCCCTCTTTGTCCTAATAAAATCTGAGTGGCACCACACAGTGGCTGACAGAACTTTACCTCCTATTTTTTGAGCCTCCCAAGGGAGACCTAACATTTGTTGTATACCTGCTATATGTACCATGAGGCCCTAAATGTCATCTAATTTGGACCTAACAATGACCTTATAAAAATGATCCCCACTTTACAGATGAAGAATCTGTGGCTCAGAGATGTTATGTAACTTGATCACACAGTCAGTAAATTACAGAGATGGAGTTGGAGACCAAGTGTCTCTGGTTCAAATGCCCAGGGTCTTTCCACTACACCAGAAGTCTTTTCCAAGGATGAAAATCCACAGCCTTTTCTGATATTAGTTCTTTTTGTTTGGAATATCTTTCCGACTCTTATTCATCTGGATAACTTATATACATTCTTCAATATTTAGCTGAGGTGTCTTATTTATGAAGCCTTCCCTGAACTTCTAGGTTGTCCTAAATAATCTTTTTTTCTGAGCTCTACCAGCATCCCCTTCTTATTTCTCTTTATTGTAATTTTTTTTTTTTTTTTTGAGACATGGTCTTGCTATATTGCCCAGGCAAGTCTCGAACTCCTGGGCTCAAGTGATGCTCCCACCTGGGCTCCACCATCCTCCAATGCCACCCCTCCCCTCCCCCAGTAGCTGGGATTACAGGCATGTGTCACCAAACCCAGCTTGATGGTAATTTGTTATTGATATTTTTTCCCAGGTAAGACCATGAACTCCTCAATTGCATGGAGTATCTTAATAATCTTTAATTCCAAGTGCCTAAAACAGAGAGGTCCTCTCACTGAACAATTTTTGAGCATACTGAGAAGAGTTAAAAACACTAAAACAAAACCTTTAAACCACTGCTTCCTGTGAATTCATAAACACTAGGATTAAATAATTGCTTGGATAAGAAAAGCATTTTCCAGGTCTGCTCAAAAATTGTGTTGGTTATAGTCCTTGCTCTGACTTTGTGTCTTGGAACAAAAAGCAGATTCTGGAAGGCTGACGAATAACGGATAACACAAACCTTGACTGCTGTTGAAAATTCCAGATGGGGGAATCTGTGTTTTCAACCACTTGGGTGTATACAGGAGATGACTCATCGGCTGTTGCAAAGGATACACAACAACTGGGTATCGATACTTTCCGCTCTGTCAAGGGGCTCCCTGAAATAGAATAAAGTGCAGTGACTGTACTTTAGGGTACACAAGAAGCCTCAGATTATACAGGCACAAGCAGGACTATTCCTGGCCCTCTTCTTCCTATGGGGTCTTTGCTCAAGCTATCCCCCTGTGTCTGAAATGTTTTCAGGCTGGGTGTAGTGGCTCAAGCCTGTAATCCCAGCACGTTGGGAGACCAAGGTAGGAGGACAACTTGAGCGCAGAAATTCAAGACCAGCCTGGGCAATACAGTGAGATCCCATGTATAAAAAAAAAATTAGCCAAGCATGGTGGCACATGCCTGTAGTCCCAGCTACTCAGGAGGTGGGAGGATCTCTTGAGTCTGGGAGGCAGAGGCTGCAGTGAGCTGAGATTGCACCACTACACTCCAGACTGGGGTACAGAGTGAGACCGTGTCAATCAATCAATCAATCAATTGATGACATGTTTTCAGTGACCTTTCTGCTATTACCCTGTCTTTTTAAGGCTCAGTTCATAAATATTCTCCAAAAAGAAGTGACTTCTCTCATGTTCTGTACTTTGTGGGAAGATGGAAAATACTGTGTTGAGAGGCAAAAGACAGGACAGAACTACAAAGAGTCCTGAACCTAAGAGTCAGATGACCAAATATTGGCTCTGCCACATACATGCAATGTGATTTTGGGCAAGAAGTATCTAGGCCACAGCTTCTTCAACTGTAAAATTGGGCATATTATACTTACACTTCCAAAGATATTGTAAGGATTAAGATAAATACTAAGAGTAAGTAACACTTACATATCACTTACTGTGATATGTAAGGCACTGTTCTATGTACTTTATATATATTAACTCATTTAATCCTTACAACAACCCTATAAGATAGCTATTTCTATCCTATTGATTATTTCTATCATGTAGATTTCTATCATTATTTCTATCATTGTTATTTCTATCATTATTATTTCTATCATATAGATTTCTAAAAACTGGGTACTGAGAAATTAAATTAGTTGGTCACATATTTATTAAATGGTAGAACTGAGAGTCCAATTCAAGCATTCTGGCTCCAGAGTCCATGTTCTAAACTGTCTCCTATATTGCCTCTACTATGGGGTTAACAAATGTAAAATACTGGGTGCTGGTGAGAATACCTAATGTTAATTTTTACAAGATCAGGTTTCCAATGTGGGAGACTTGGTCAAGTTATTCTGTCTTAAGACAGTGTAAAATGAAGATGGCTGATGATACTAGATAGTCTAACTGAGCTGTCCAGGAAGATAACCCACTAGCCACATGTGGCCATTCACCTTTAAATTAATTAAAACTAAAGATAAAAAATTTACTTCCTTGGTTGCACTAGCCATATTTCAAGTGCTCGATAGCCACATGGGGCTAGTGGCTACCATACTGGACACTGAACCCACAGAACATTTCCATCATAACAGAAAGTTCTTTTGGATAGCACTGAATAATAGACACTTTACAAAATATAGACTATATATTTCACGAGATCACTTTCAGCTCTAAAATGCTATGAATGTCAGGATTACAGATGAAGGAAAAGAGATGAGCAGAGCAGAAAAGAATAGAAGAAGTATGTCCTAAACATAATCGACATGCTCCAGGGAACAGATTCTGTATGTGTATTCTAACTGGTTTGTATTCTTTATAACTGTCTAGCTCAAGAATTCTCTCCTGCCTAACATGGTGAAACCCCGTCTCTACTAAACAATACAAAAAATTAGCCAGGCGTGGTGGTGGCTGCCTGTAGTCCCAGCTACTTGGGAGGCTGAGGCAGGAGAATGGCGTGAACCTGGGAGGCGGAGCTTGCAGTGAGCCGAGATTGCACCACTGCACTCCAGCCTGGGTGACAGAGCGAGACTCTGTCTCAAAAAAAAAAAAAAAAAAAAAAAAAGAAAGATTTCTCCAAATCCATACTCCCACTTCTCCTGATAGGTGAAGTTCATCTTTGAGGCTCCACCCTTTTCTCTATCTCGCTGCTCCTTTCAGTAAGTACTCCTCCAGGGGCCTCAGTCTGTCCCTCTGGACAGAAAGCATTCTGATGAACAAATTCACACTCAGGAACCACAGATTTTATTCCTGTCCACATGCAGTTTAACATTTAACAAGTAGTCTTGAAAGAGGTTCCAAGATGGCCGAATAGGAACAGCTCCAGTCTGCAGCTCCCAGCGTGAGCAACGCAGAAGACGGTTGATTTCTGTATTTCCAACTGAGGTACCGGGTTCATCTCACCGGGGCTTATCAGACAGTGGGTGCAGCCCATGGAACAGGGCAGGGCATTGCCTCACCCAGGAAGCACAAGGGGTTGGGGAATTCCCTTTCCTGGCAAAGGGAAGCCATGATGGATGGTACCTGGAAAATCAGGATACTCCCACCCTAATACTGCACTTTTCCAACGGCCTTAGCAAACGGCACACCAGGAGACTGTATCCCGCGCCTGGCTTGGAGGGTCCCACGCCCATGTAGCCTCGCTCACTGCTAACACAGCAGTCTGAGATCGAACTGCAAGGTGGCAGTGAGGCTGGGGGAAGGATGTCCACCATTGCTGAGGCTTGAGTAGGTAAACAAAGCATCTGGGAAGCTCGAACTGGGTGGAGCCCATCGCAGCTCAAGGAGGCTTGCCTGCCTCTGTAGACTCCACCTCTGGGGGCAGGGCATAGCTGAATAAAAGGCAACAGAAACTTCTGCAGACTTAAACGTCCCTGTCTGACAGCTTTGAAGAGAGTAGTGGTTCTCCCAGCACGGAGTTTGAGATCTGAGAACGGACAGACTGCCTCCTCAAGTGGGTCCCTGACCCCTGAGTAGCCTAACTGGGAGACACCTCCCAGTAGGGGCTGACTGACACCCATACAGCTGGGTTCCCCTTTGAGACGAAGCTTCTGGAGGAAGGATCAGGCAGCAACATCTGCTGTTCTGCAATATTTGCTGTTCTGCAGCCTCCGCTGGTGATACCCAGGCAAACAGGGTCTGGAGTGGACCTCCAGCAAATTTCTAACAGACCTGCAGCTGAGGGTCCTGAAAGTTAGAAGGAAAACTAACAAACAGAAAGGACATCCACACCAAAACCCCATGTGGACGTCACCATCATCAAAGACCAAAGGTAGATAAAACCACAAAGATGGGGAGAAACCAGAGCAGAAAAGCTGAAAATTCTAAAAATCAGAGCGCCTCTCCTCCTCCAAAGGAACACAGCTCTTCGCCAGCAACGGAACAAAGTTGGACGGAGAATGACTTTGACGAGTTGAGAGAAGAAGGCTTCAGACCATCAGTAATAACAAACTTTTCCAAGCTAAAGGAGGATGTTCGAACCCATTGCAAAGAAGCTAAAAACCTTGAAAAAAGATTAGACGACTGACTAACTAGAATAAACAGTGTGGAGAAGTCCTTGAATGACCTGATGGAGCTGAAAACCATGGCACGAGAACTATGTGATGTGTGCACAACCTTCAGTAGCCCATTTGATCAAGTGGAAGAAAGGGTATCAGTGATTGAAGATCAAATGAATGAAATGAAGCGAGTAGAGAAGTTTAGAGAAAAAAGAGTAAAAAGAAATGAACAAAGCCTCCAAGAAATATGGGACTATGTGAAAAGACCAAGTCTACATCTGACTGCTGTACCTGAAAGTGACAGGGAGAATGGAACCAAGTTGGAAAACACTCTTCAGAATATTATCCAGGAGAACTTCCCCAACCTAGTGAGGCAGGCCAACATTCAAATTCAGGAAATACAGAGAATGCCACAAAGATACTCCTCGAGAAGAGCAACTCCAAGACACATAATTGTCAGATTCACCAAAGTTGAAATGAAGGAAAAAATGTTAAGGGCAGCCAGAGAGAAAGGTTGGGTTACCCACAAAGGGAAGCCCATCAGACTAACAGCAGATCTCTCAGCTGAAACTCTACAAGCCAGAAGAGAGTGGGGGCCAATATTCAACATTCTCAAAGAAAAGAATTTTCAACCCAGAATTTCATATCCAGTCAAACTGAGCTTCATAAGTGAAAGTGAAATGAAGTCCTGTAAAGACAAATGCTGAGAGATTTTTCTCACCACCAGGCCTGCCTTACAAGAGCTCCCAAAGGAAGTACTAAACATGGAAAGGAACAACCAGTACTGGCCGCTCCACAAACATGCCAAATTGTAAAGGCCATCAATGCTAGGAAGAAACTGCATCGACTAACGAGCAAAATAATCAGCTAACATCATAATGACAGGATCAAATTCACACATTAACAATATTAACTTTAAATGTAAATGGGCTAAATGCTCCAATTAAAAGACACAGACTGGCAAATTGGATAGAGTCAAGACCCTTCAGTGTGCTGTATTCAGGAGACCCATCTCACGTGCAGAGACACATACAGGCTCAAAATAAAGGGATGGAGGAAGATCTACCAAGCAAATGGAAAACAAAAAAAAAGCAGGGGTTGCAATCCTAGTCTCTGATAAAACAGACTTTAAACCAACAAAGATCAAAAGAGACAAAGAAGGCCATTACATAATGGTAAAGGGATCAATTCAACAAGAAGAGCTAACTATCCTAAATATATATGCACCCAATACAGGAGCACTCAGATTCATAAAGCAAGTCCTTAGAGATCTACAAAGAGACTTAGACTCCCACACAATAATAATAGGAGAGTTTAACACCCCACTGTCAACATTAGACAGATCAACGAGACAGAAAGTCACCAAGGATATCCAGGAATTGAACTCAGCTCTGCACCAAGCGGACCTAATAGACAGCTACAGAACTCTCCACCCCAAATCAACAGAATATACATTCTTCTCAGCACCACATCACACTTATTCTAAAATTGACCACATAGTTGGAAGTAAAGCACTCCTCGGCAAATGTAAAGCAACAGAAATTATAACAAACTGTCTCTCAGACCACAGTGCAATCAAACTAGAACTCAGGATTAAGAAATTCACTCAAAACTGCTCAACTACATGGAAACTGAACAACCTGCTCCTGAATGACTACTGGGTACATAACGAAATGAAGGCAGAAATAAAGATGTTCTTTGAAACCAATGAGAACAAAGACACAACATACCAGAATCTCTGGGACACATTTAAAGCAGTGTGTAGAGGGAAATTTATAGCACTAAATGCCCACAAGAGAAAGCAGGAAAGATCTAAAATTGACACCCTAACATCACAATTAAAAGAACTGGAGAAGCAAGAGCAAACACATTCAAAAGCTAGCAGAAGGGAAGAAATAACTAAGATCAGAGCAGAATTGAAGGAGATAGAGACACAAAAAACCCTTCAAAAAAAAAAACCAATGAATCCAGGAGCTGGTTTTTTGAAAAGGTCAACAAAATTGACAGACCACTAGCAAGACTAATAAAGAAGAAAAGAGAGAAGAATCAAATAGACACAATAAAAAATGATAAAGGGGATATCACTACTCATCCCACAGAAATACAAACTATCATCAGAGAATACTACAAGCATCTCTATGCAAATAAACTAGAAAATCTAGAAGAAATGGATAAATTCCTGGACACACACACCCTCCCAAGACTAAACCAGGAAGAAGTTGAATCCTTGAATAGACCAATAACAGGTTCTGAAATTGAGGCAATAATTAATAGCCTACCAACCAAAAACATCCAGGACCAGATGGATTCACAGCCGCATCTACCAGAGGTACAAAGAGGAGCTGGTACTATTCCTTCTGAAACTATTCCAATCAATAGAAAAAGAGGGAATCTTCCCTAATTCATTTTATGAGGCCAACATCATACTGATACCAAAGCCTGGCAGAAACACAACAGAAAAAGAGAATTTTAGACCAATATCCCTGATGAACATCAATGCAAAAATCCTCAATAAAATACTGGCAAACCGAATCCAGCAGCACATCAAAAAGCTTATCCACCATGATCAAGTTGGCTCCATCCCTGGGATGCAAGGCTGCTTCAACATATGCAAATCAATAAACGTAATCCATCATATAAACAGAACCAAAGACAAAAACCACATGATTATCTCAATAGATGCAGAAAAGGCCTTTGACAAAATTCAACAGCCCTTCATGTTAAAAACTCTCAATAAACTAGGTATTGATGGGGTGTATCTCAAAATAAGAGCTATTTATGACAAACCCACAGCCAATATCATCTGAATGGGCAAAAACTGAAAGCATTCCCCTTGAAAACTGGCACAAGACAGGGATGCCCTCTCTCACCACTCCTATTCAACATAGTGTTGTAAGTTCAGGCCAGGGCAATCAGGCAAGAGAAAGAAATATTCAATTATGAAAAGAGGAAGTCAAATTGTCCCTGTTTGCAGATGACATGATTGTATATTTAGAAAACCCCATCGTCTCAGCCCAAAATCTCTCTTTTTTAAATTTTATTATTATTATACTTTAAGTTTTAGGGTACATGTGCACAATGTGCAGGTTTGTTACATATGTATACATGTGCCATTTTGGTGTGCTGCACCCATTAACTCATCATTTAGCATTAGGTATATCTCCTAATGCTATCCCTCCCCCGTCCCACCCCACAACAGTCCCCGGAGTGTGATGTTCCCCTTCCTGTGTCCATGTGTTCTCATTGTTCAATTCCCACCTATAAGTGAGAACATGCGGTGTTTGGTTTTTTGTCCTTGCGATAGTTTGCTGAGAATGATGGTTTCCAGTTTCATCCATGTCCCTATAAGCAACTTCAGCAAAGTCTCAGAATACAAAATCAATGTGCAAAAATCACAAGCATTCCTACACACCAAAAACAGAGAGCCAAGTCATGAGTGAATTCCCATTCACAATTGCTTCAAAGAGAATAAAATACCTAGGAATCCAACTTACAAGGGATGTGAAGGACCTCTTCAAGGAGAACTACAAACCATTGCTCAATGAAATAAAAGAGGACACAATCAAATGGAAGAATATTCCATGCTCATAGATAGGAAGAATCAATATCGTGAAAATGGCCATACTGCCCAAGGTAATTTATAGATTCAATGCCATCCACATCAAGCTACCAATGACTTTCTTCACAGAATTGGAAAAAACTACTTTAAAGTTCATATGCAATCAAAAAAGAGCCCGCATTGCCAAGACAATCCTACGCCAAAAGAACAAAGCTGGAGGCATCACACTACCTGACTTCAAATTATACTACAAGGCTGCAGTAACCAAAACAGCATGGTACTGGTACCAAAACAGAGATATAGACCAATGGAACAGAATAGAGCCCTCGGAAATAATACCACACATCTACAACCATCTGATCTTTGACAAACCTGACAAAAACAAATGGGAAAAGAATTCCCTATTTAATAAATGGTGCTGGGAAAACTGGCTAGCCATATGTAGAAAGCTGAAACTGAATCCCTTTCTTACACCTTATACAAAAATTAATTCAAGATGGATTAAAGACTTAAATGTTAGACCTAAAACCATAAAAACCCTAGAAGAAAACCTCGACAATACCATTCAGGCCATAGGCAAGGACTTCATGTCTAAAACACCAAAAGCAATGGCAACAAAAGCCAAAATTGACAAATGGGATCTAATTAAACTAAAGAGCTTTTGTACAGCAGAAGAAACTACCATCAGAGTGAACAGGCAACCTACAGAATGGGAGAAAATTTTTACAATCTACCCATCTGACAAAGGGCTAATATCCAGAATCTACAAAGAACTTAAACAAAGTTACAAGAAAAAATCAAACAACCCCATCAAAAAGTGGGCAAAGGATATGAACAGACACTTCTCAAAAGAAGACATTTATGCAGCCAACAGACACATGAAAAAAACTCATCATCACTGGCCGTCAGAGAAATGCAAATCAAAACCACAGTGAGATACCATCTCACACCAGTTAGAATGGCGATCATTAAAAAGTCAGGAAACAACAGGTGCTGGGGAGGGTGTGGAGAAACTGGAACACTTTTACACTGTTGGTGGGACTATAAACTAGTTCAACTATTGTGGAAGACAGTGTGGCGATTCCTCAAGGATCTAGAACTAGAAATACCATTTGACCCAGCCATCCTATTACTGGGTATATACCCAAAGAATTATAAATCATGCTGCTATAAAGACACATGCACACGTATGTTTATTGTGGCACTATTCACAATAGCAAAGACTTGGAACCAACCCACATGTCCATCAATGATAGACTGGATTAAGAAAATGTGGCACATACACACCATGGAATACTATGCAGCCATAAAAAAGGATGAGTTCATGTCCTTTGTAAGGACATGGATGAAGCTGGAAACCATCATTCTCAGCAAACTATCCCAAGAACAAAAAAACCAAACACCGCATGTTTTCACTCATAGGTGGGAATTGAACAATGAGAACACTTGGACACAGGAAGGGGAACATCACACACCAGGGCCTGTCGTGGGGTGGGGGGAGGGGGGAGGGATAGCATTAGGAGATATACCCAAAGTAAATGATAAGTTAACGGGTGCAGCACACCAACATGGCACATGTATACATATGTAACAAACCTGCACGTTGTGCACATGTACCCTAGAACTTAAAGTATAATAAAAAATAAAATAGAAAATGTGGCACAGATACACCATGGAATACTATGAAGCCATAAGAAAGGATGAGTTCGTGTCCTTTGTAGGTACATGGATGAAGCTAGAAACCATCATTCTGAGCAAACTATCTCAAGGACAGAAAACCAAACACCACATGTTCTCACTCATAGGTGGGACTTGAACAATGAGAACACTTGGACACAGGAGGGGGGAGGGATAGTGTTAGGAGATATACCTAATGTAAATGACGAGTTAATGGGTGCAGCACACCAACATGGCACATGTATACATATGTAACAAATCTGCACACATATGTAACAAACCTGCACGTTGTGCACATGTACCCTAGAACTTAAAGTATAAAAAAAAAGTCAAAAAGAAAGAAAGAAAGAAAAAAAAACATTTAACAAGTAGTCTTTAAAAGACAGGTTCTAGTTCCATCTACTCTGACAAGCCTCTCTAGGTGCAATCACTGAACTTTATAACCCCAGTTAGAGCTTCCAACTTAAAATTTCTTTCAGGGAAAGAAAAGTAGCTACAGCTTTGCTTTGATATGTTTTCCTCAACGTAAAGAATTTCCATTAGACCAATTCTTTTTTTTTTTGAACAGAAAGAAAACTGTTTTATTACACAATTAAACTTGAATGTGACATGCATCATAGTCAATCTGCTTAAGAGACTGCAGAGACAGAAAGATGGTCACCAAAATTAGTCCACAAGTAGAAGAATTTACAGCACCATGTCATAGACCAAATTCTTTTCAAACTTTCCCACCAAAGTAACAATGATTCAGAGAAGAGTAAACATTAAACTCAGAGAAGAGTAAACATTAAACTCTGAAGTGTAGGGGTCCCTGTTGCCTTAAAACAACTACAATAAGCATAACATCTACTAGTAGGCTTGTCTTTCATTTTAGAAATTCATGAAGGTTTTATATTATATTCCATAATACAACCATATTTGTATCTGAAATGTATAAATGAAAAACAGCATTTCTGTTCCCAAATATTGGTTAAAAAATTGACATGCTATTATTTAATCTTGTGACTTCTAGCACCCAGGGCACAAAACCAGACCAGATGACATTACTTTTTCAGTCATTTGTACTGGAAATAATAAAGAAAGAAACTGGGTGATGGGAAGAGAAAAGAGAATGGAGATTTTGTGAGGAAGCTTGGGAAGGAGAACTGAAGAGAAATGCTAGCCTTGGAAGGAAGATCTAGTGGCGTCCACAAAGCAGGAGAGAACTGAGGCATGTACAAGTTGCCAACAAAGCAGGACCTGGAAAAAGGCTGAACCTGGAAAAAGGCAGAGGAGCCTTAGAACCGGGAAAGCATTAAAGATATAGAGAACTATATGAGGAGCAAAACAACAAAACAAAATAATCACTGGCTACAACTTGGCCAAACCAGTTTACAAGCATATTAAAGAAAAAAATTTTTTAAGGCTAGTCAAGGGAAGCAGTAGGAGTTACAGCATATTTTTGAAAGAACAGGGAAAGGTAATTCTAATTTAATGGTAGTAGGCAAAAAATCAGTTAATGGAAATCAATAAAATAGTATTCATATTACTAATGTAAATGTATAAAATATCACTAATAGTACCCAGTGAGCTATCTTCTTAAAAGTTTTATTTTAGTGAAACTGAACAGTATTTATGCGGATTGACTTGCTGAGCATCCACCCCCACCTACTTTTATTGCATTGTACTCCTTTATTGTACAGATTGGAAGCATTAAAAGCTACATTTCTCGGACTCTTTTGCAGCTAGGGTATGGATGCAAATTGGCCTCTACCAATCAGATGCCCTCACAAAAGATCTGGAAGGCAGGCGGGAAGCAGAGGACATCTTTCTTTTCCTTCTGCTTTTGCTAATAACAAGGATGATGATGTAGAGACATTGTGTTTTTTGATCTAGCATTTGGTCCCTGGGTGCAGAGAGGCCCTGTGGCAATGGCTATGACGAGAGCTTCTGATTCTTAGATTTCAGTTTTGGCACTGTATTCTGAACTTAAAAGATTTAGTGGTTCCCTCCTAGAAGTTTAGCCTAGAGCTCACTCCTCTAGCCCTTCTAATGACTTAAAGTACCTTAATATTCTATATTAAACTCCTCTCTGCTTAAAATGGCTGGAGTGGGTTCCATTTCCTCTGCCTGATATAGCTTTCATCTCTCATTCTTTCTCCCATTTTCCTTTTTCGGTCTTAAGCTTCAACTAATTTCTTCCAATAAAATGTCATAAATCCTCACAATTAGGAAGAGATAACCTGGCTCTACCACAGCAGCTCTCACATATTGTATAATAATCTGTGTTTCCCTCACTAGACTGAGAGCTCTTTGAATGCACAGAGTATTCCCAAGGCCCTTATTAAATGTTTGCTGACTTCCCACTGCCCTTTGTCTACAGATAGTTGCCCAGGGTTAGAGAGAGGAGTTGCCTTGTCTGCTTGCAGTACATACCCACAGAAGATAGCAACATCTTCTCAAGAAAGCTCTGAGGAAGATCAGCAGAGAGGACCAATCACTGTTCCCAGAGGCAGGACACCTAGGTTCCAATGTAGTCTGCCATTGCTTTAGTGTGACATATTGGATACACCACTTCATTCTGGCTAACTGGGCCTCGGTTTTCTCATCAGAAATAAGTGCTCTCAAACCACCTTCCACAGTAAAATTCTAATTCTAGATATATATCAACCTTGCTCACATCTCTCATGGCACTACCCCCATCCCTCTGGTTTATTTATTTATTTATTTATTTTTTGAGACGGAGTCTCACTCACTCTGTCGCCCAGGCTGGAGTGCAGAGGCACGATCTCGGCTCACTGCAACCTCCACCTCCTGGGTTCAAGTGATTCTCCTGCCTCAGCCTCCTGAGTAGCTGGAATTGCAGGCTTGCGCTCAGCTAATTTTTGTATTTTTAGTAGAGAAAGGGTTTCACCATGTTGGCCAGGCTGGTTTTGAACTCCTGACCTCAAGTGATCTGTCTGCCTCAGCCTCCCAAAGTGCTGGGATTACAGGCATAAGCCACTGCGTCCGGCCATCCTCCAGTTTATTTTTAAAGCTGCTATTTGCTAAAGGCCTTGAAACAAAACTATTTTGACTTTGGAAGAAGATAGTTCCTTATTTAGTCTTGAACAGACACATTCCTTTTAGCCAAACAGGTGGGTGAAAAAGAAATCAGCTTGGGAGAGCAGGTCTATCAGGTTTCTCTGGCTCTCCTCTTGTAGGTGGAAATTCATCTGGGCCTGTTTACATTCTGAAAAAGGTCAAGTTCTGAAATACTTTTGGAAGCAGCCCAAAAGAAGGCTGCTATACCCCCCACAGGGTTGGGACACACATTAAGAAGACCTGAGGTGAACCAGTTATGCCATTTAAGAATTTTATGCATCAAGAAAGGTGTAATTGTTTCAGTGAGATTAAAATAACAACTTCTCATATTTAGATAATGCGTTACAGCTTGCACACTGTTTTCTTACACACTAAAGTTGTGCTGATAACGTCTCTGAAAATCGCATAAGATAGGCATCTCTATCCCTATTATAAAAATAAGGCAACCAAGGAACAGAGAAGTGGCTTGCTCATCACATACCTGGTTAACTAGCATTGAGAAGAACCACGGTTTCCTGACTCGTACTTTAGATTTTTTTCCATTGCAATCATTCTAATTATCTCCATCTGGTTAAGAGAAGTGCTCTCCCTTTGGCCTGGAGTGAATGGATGGAAACTTCCCCCTTAAGCAATGTCCAATTTTTTATGTTAATAAAAACTTAGCCCAGCAGGTGTATTAAGCTAACATTAGCTGACACCTCCTCTGTGTCACACCTGTACAAGGTGAGTCAGATTTGATTCTTGATCTGCGGGAGACAAACACAGACAGATAATTACAACCCAATAAGATAAAGACTATGCTAAAAGCACATGGGAACCCAGAGGTGTCCTGAACTCTGCCTTGATGGGCTAAAGAATGCCTCTAAAAGTTGATAATATTGAAGCTGATTTTACTTTTTACTGAGTATAACTTATGCTACTTCAAATCATTTTACCTCTCTGTTCCTTATTTGTCTCATTTGTAAAACAGGGCTAGAAATACCTGTTTTGTCTAATATAAGTATACAAACCTTAAGAGTATTGAAGCTGATCTTAACCGAAGGTTCCTCAGAGCTTTTTCTAACATAAGTATCCAAGAAGTTCTTTTATTTTCAGAACCAGGACTACAGTGGTGACCACAGACCATTTCAGAGCTGCTTCAGAACTCAGCTTTGCTGAAGGCAAAGCTCCTAATTTGGGGCTGTTTGTGAATCCTCTGCATAAAGGTTTGCATGAAGGAACCACTCATTTCCTTCCTTAAGAAAGAGCTTCCAAGGCATAAAAAGGACAGACACTCTGAGAACACTATTAAGGCAAGAGGAAAGTCAGAAGTACAGAGTGTAGAATCATGGTCTCCTACCAGAAAGTTTCTGTCGCCTGTTCTCCATTCTTGCTGCCACCTTGCTTGTTTAGGCTTCAGAACTTGAACTAATGTGACGGCCCTCTCAGTGATTGCTGCTTTCGGTATTCTCCAGTATCTTTTTCATACTGCCACCAAGATTTCATGTCTGGTCAACAAATATGACCTTGCCTCTCCACAGATTAAGATTTTGTTGGTTTCATCTCACCTGCAGTGTCAGTCATGTAGCATACAAAATGCTGCCTATGTAGCCTAATTAGTCTTTCCAGCCCCATTTCTCACTACTTTTTACTCACATTTAATGACCTTTTTTTGGCCAATGTCCCATTCTCTCATACTACCAAGCTTTTGAGCATGCTGTTTCTTCTCATTAGAATGCCTTTTTCCTCTTTCATTCAGCAAACTTGCTCCTCCTCCTTCAAGAGTAGGCTAAAGTGACACCAATACTTGGAAGCCTGCCCTGACCACCCCATTAGCAAAAAAATGCCCTCTGTGTTCTCAAAGTTTTCCTATACTACCACATCCACCTCCCCACAGCTTTCCTCTTTCATATCGTTTATTCCTCTGTACTAAAAATGTTAACATGTCTCTCCATTAGGCTGTTCCTTGGGGACAGGGACTGTGTGTTGTTTGTTTATCCCAGCACTGTGATCTTCATGATGCAGCAAAGCAAACATAATGTCCTCCTGTTTTATGAATATGAGACATAACGCCTCTCACATTTCTGGCAAGAGTTGCAGACCTGTAAATCACTTGTTATTTAGCCTCTTTCTGTTTAGCCAGGTCAAGGCAAGCATAGGGTAGACATCTGACTTTCCAGACGTCACTGTTGTATCCTGATTTCCACCCTGCAGTGATAAGCCCATGCAGTCCTTCCTCCCACAGACATTTATGTGTCAGTCAGGCACTGTGCTGAGCATAGAGTGTAGACCTATAGTATAGAGATCTGCCCATTGTCTCTTTGAGTATAGACCTGCCCATCTGGTTCTGCAGAGCGCATTAACTATGTAACTTCAGGTCATTTTACCTTTTTGAACTTCGGTCTCCTCATTTGTGAAATGATTATGTATTGTAATCTCTTCAAACTATAATCCTGCTCGTGGCAAGGATTAAAGGGGATACAGGGAATAACCCTGATCTGAAATGCTTGGGGCAAGAGGTATTTCAGATTTTGTAATATCTGCATTATACTTATTCAGTATGCCAAATCTGAAAATCTGAAACCTGATATATTCCTATGAGCATTTCCTTTGAGCACCAAGTTGGTGCTTTTGGATTTGGGATACCTAACCCATAATTAATGTACAAAGACTAGAATAGAACTCAGCACACAGCAGATGATGCTCAATAAATTATTATAAAATTTTGCCAAGTGATATTATAAAACTGTAATTCACTGTCTCATTGAAAATTTGTAAGTATATTTTGCTTTTTTTTAACAATATGGGAATTCTCCTAAAATGTAACATATACCATATCTTTTGTATATTAAATTTTATTTTCAATGCAACTACAAAAAAAAACTTTCCAAAAATAAAAGAAGCTTTTTAATACTTTCCTTAAACTCATTCATCTATTGATTTTTTTGGTCTTTAAAAAAAATTTGTCAAAAATGGCTGCTTTGGTGGGGCAGAAAATTTTTTTTTCTTTAAAAACAAGTAAAAATTGTTCAATTTTGTGATTCACACTGCACTTGAAGAAGACTTTGTCCTGATATAGAATGTTTCAAGGTTTCTGATACACAATGGCTGAAATGGATGAGAACATCAAGGATCATTATGGAAGCTTATAATCCCAGGAGTAATGGCTGTTGGTAGTATAAACGGGGAGGAGTAGGAATGAGAGATAAATAATAGTTACTATGAGCACAGGTTTTGTTTCTGTTCTAAAGTAGTAAGGACACATGACACAGTTTGAGAGACACCAAAACAGAGATGACAGGAGCCAAACAGAGAGGTCAAATCTGAATCAAATGATGTATATTGAAACTTTCTGGATTCATAAGGCCATGGTTGACTGGCTCTCATAGACACCACACATCTGAACATTGTTAATCACAGCCATTTACAGATGAGAAATTCAAGACAGAGAGAAAGAATACCTTGCTCAAAGTCACACATATGTACACATACAATTTATTGGCTAGGGACACAGGGATAAATATATTCCTACTAGAATGTAATCTCCACAGGGCACAATTTTTGTCTGTCCTTTTTTTTTACTGTTTTATCCCTGGCACCAAGGACAGGGCTTAGCATGTAGCAAATACAGTAAGTTTTGTTGTAAAATAAATGAATGCATGATGAATGAACAAATGAGATGAGGTCTTTGCTTTTGAACAGTTCATATCTAGTTGAAAAGAAAACCATGGAAACAACTGCAGTACTGTGTGACATATGATATGATACAGGGGCAAAGTGCCAGGGGAGCAAATAGAAGGGGGCCTTTATATTGGGAAAGCCCTCCAGGAAATGGTGATGCCTGAGCTGGGTCTGAAGAGAGGAGCTGGAAGTAGCCAGGCAAAAGAGAAGGGTGACGGCAAAGGGGAAATTTTAGGAGATTACAATGCTGAATAAAGGTAGGGCAGGAATTCTTTGTGCCATGGACTCTGGCAATCTGGCAAGGTCTATGGGCCTCTTCTTTTAACAGTGTTTCTTTAAAATGCATAATGTAAAACACATAGGATTACAGAGAAATCCAATTATATTTACATAGAGTTATCAAAACTAAAAGAACTTTGTGATATAGTAATATATGTGCTTTAGTAACAAGGTCTAACTATAGGTAATAACTACTGTAGGTCTGGCACAGTGGCTCACGTCTGTACTCCCAGCACTTTGAGAGGCTGAGGTGGGTGGATCACTTGCGGTCAGGAGTTCGAGATCAGCCTGTCCAACATGGTGAAAACACATCTCTACTAAAAATACAAAAATTAGCCAGGAGTGGTGGCACAAGCCTGTAATCCCAGCTACTCAGGAGGCTGAGGCAGGAGAATTGCTTGAAGCTGGGAGGTGGAGGTTGCAGTGAGCCGAAATCGTGCCACTGCACTGCAGCCTGGGCGACAGAGCAAGACTTTGTTTCAAAAAAAAAAAAAAAAAAATCAAAACAAACAAAAAAACCCCCCTAACTATTGTAATTTCAAAGAAATCATAGTTATAAGTGATATTCTAAGATATCTGCAATAATGATGTGATATGGAAATACCTGTGATTTCTATTGTTGACAATATCACAGGTACTATTACTAGGATCTACTGCCTATATTCATAATGAGAGGAAATATGTTAAATTTTAGCTAGAGGTTGCTAAAAATAAAGATGTAATTATTTTCCTATCCAAGGCCACTAACCCGGAGTTTGAACTTTTCACGGATCCCTTGGATGTTTAAGGACCCAATGTTAAAAACACCTGGCCCTAGGTGCATTAGGAAGGCCTGAGTTGGCAGGAATGCAGAAGGAAGAAATCTGAGAAATTTAATAAAGAACAAGTTAGGGATCCGATGATTTGACAGTGGATAAGGAAAAGAGAAGTATCTATCTAGGTTGAGACTCAGGTGGCTGGACTGGGGAATTTACGATATGCAACAAGTTCAGAAAAGCTTTCATGTTGCTTAAACCTTTAGGCTTGAGAAATAAATATTTATCAGTTGAGATAATTAACAGATCCTGCCATGATTTGAAAGATTTGTGAAGAAAGGAGCACACCCTGAAGAGTTAGACATGCTCCTGGGTAGGTGAGGAGAGCATACCTTTCAAGCTCAAGTGCATTGCTCTTTCTACTAGGATGCTGACTGCAAACGTTCCATCCAAATCAGCAGGGCCCTCCTGCGTCAGGCGGACTTCAGCTGTGGTGCTGCTGCAGGGGACCTGGGTGGAGGCAGGAGACTTCTGGTGGCAGGAGATGACTTCTGGTGGAGAGAGCTGGACCTCATCATTCCTTCTGGGGAGCTGCTCAGACTCACTGTGGCTGCTGCAGTCCATGGAGTCCAGCTCATGAGTGGGCTCAAGGTGTGAGGAAAGAGAGGAAAGAACCACATGAACTCGCAAGGCAGCTCCTGAGAGGTTGGAAGCATTTCGTCCAAACAGAGGATACACACCTAAAAGAAGATGGAGAAGAATAAGGCTAGTCAAGCAGGAACCAAGACCAAGCTTGGAGGAAATACTCACTGAGGGTGCTGTGGTCCTTTCTCCTTTGAAAGGTCTACAAACCCCAATACAGCAATTTGCAAAAGAAACTATGAAGCTGGTAGAAAACATGAAAACTTTTACCCTGCCCTAACTATCTTCAATAATGAAAAGTAGGCTGAGTGTGGTGGCTCACACCTGTAATCCCAGCACGTTGGGAGACTGAAGTGGGCAAATTGCTTGAGTCCAGGAGTTCAAGAGTTTGGGCAACATGGTAAAACCCTATCTCTACAAAAAACACAAAAATTAGCTGAGCATGGTGGTGTGTGTCTGCAGTCCCAGCTACTCAGGAGGCTAAGGTGGGAGGATCACCTGAGCCCAGGAGGTTGAGGATGCAGTGAGCCATGACTGCGCCACTGCACTCCAGCCTGGGTGACAGAGCAAGACTCTGTCTCAAAAAACAAAACAAAATAAAACAAACAAACAAAAGTAATGAAAATAGTAAGATCTCTGATTTAAAGCCAAAGCCAAATGACTACCAGGCAGAGCTGTTGTGGAAGGGATTCATGCGCTGAGAGGCAACAAGACTTAGAGAAGTCTAAGATTTGATGAAATCAAGAGTGGTCTATTTTCTCTTCCTCGTGTCTCATGGGCTCCTGTTTTTCGACCTTCTCCCTATCAGGAGGCTGTCTTGACACTCAATTTAGCTATGTTTCACTAGGGTTCGGGCGATATTTTGGGGGGGGGTGGGGGGAAGTAGGAGGTTAGCAGGAGACCAGAAATAAATACAACGGAGTTAATATTTGTTGAGTGTTTTTCATAAGCCAGAATCTCAGAGGAGTTAAATAAACTGCCAACATCACTCTGGCAGTAAGTGGCAGATTTAAGCCCAGAGACTTGAATTTTACTAACTTGCTGAATATTAAAATGAGATTTATAAAACAGAAGGAACTAATAGTTCCTTCTGAATCTCAAAGTTTGCTTCATTAGATTCACTTCAATTCAGGAAAATGGAGTTAACTGATTCATAGATGGCAATAATATGAAACCTTTCCTGTTTTAGATAACCAGTTTTCTTCTCAAAGCAATGTGTAAATTATTATGATTATCAAAGGAAAATAAGGGCAGGTCATTACAGGTGGGAAGACACCCAAAAGCAACACAGTTAAATCCTTATCCTCAGGAAAATGAATAAAACATGGAAGTAAGGTTGGATGGATGGCTTGACGCATTCAACAAACACATCAAATGACATGCCTTGTATAAGACCCTTGCACAAGAGGATAAAAAGCTCAGACAAGAGGGATATGGAGAAGTATGAGAGAAACGGATGATCTGAAAAGCTAAATACTACCTTTGGTAGCACTCAATAAAAAGAAGTATTTGTGCTTGAGTTCCTATACTTAGATCTATATTCAGTGTCCTAAACCTACTTTCTTCAGCAGAATGAAGCTAAAAGCCTGTCTTTATAAACTTTAGTTTAAGTGAACTTGGTTCACTTCAAGGACATTTTCTGTAGTCCCTTTGAAGGGACTCTAGGCCTGCCCAGATAAAACAGAGCACATGGCATTTGATGTGCTCAAGAGAGCCAGATTTACACCTGTTAGGTCCAGAAAGAACCAGAGAATTTGGGATGATCACCTAGATACACTCAGTTCTCCTCTAGCCTGGCCCACCCACTCAACAACAGGGTCAGAGCACAGGGCTGATAGGGCTAACAAAGGGTCATGACTCAGTTTCTTCGACTGTAGAGTGGGGGAAATAACAACTAACTGGACAGCAATGTTAAGCTGAATAAAGATCATATTTGTAAAGAATCTAGTCTGGCTATCTCTAATTCATCTTAACTACAGTCACTAGCTTTATTTTTCTAAATGCAAAGCTATACACTCCTCTTGTATTCAGGAACCATTGTGCTAGTTTTCCATAATTCTCAGGAAAAAAGTCCAAACTTCAGCTGAGAAGAGAAGGCTTTCAACACAGTACTCCTGCCTACCTCCCTAGCTTCATCTCTAATCACTTCCCAATCTATGTATCCTAACATGCAGCTGTCTGAAATTACTACAGTCCCCAAAATCTATCAAACTGCCTCATTCTCCTGTACTTTGACCCATGCTGTTCCCTTCTTTAGAATATCTCTCTTTCCCCCTTTCCTTGACTTATACCTACATCCTTTGAAACTCAGGTCAAGTATCACTTTCACTGAGATGCTATCCTTAGAGGTGTCATGTCCCTGTGTTCCCATAGCACCAAGAATACCTTTTTCATAGTTCTGATGCTTCATTGTAATTATTTACTTACTACTGTATTCTCCTATTAGACTGTAAACTCTTTAAGGTTAGGAACTAGTTCTTACTCATCTTTGAATTCCCAGGTCCAAGCATATGTAACAAGTACTAAACAAATGTTTGAAAGAAAAGCACCCAGCACAAAAATGCCACCTGCAAAATGTTACCCTTTTCTTTTCTGCTCTGTTTATTACCATATAGATTTTCTTTATGGTTCCAAGATGTGGTGACCAGAGAGGAAGAATACCCTGGTCCCCTCAGTAGGTATGCTTTTCCATATAATTAATAAACTAGCATTCTAGATGATCAGATAGGCTCTTATATATGTGATTACAAGTAGTTCCCTAAATTCATTCATTATTTCATAAGTGTTAACAATGTTCTAAGCACTATGTTAAATGCAAAAATCCGATGAGTTTGGATGCACTCTAGTGCTACGAAGTTCAGAGCCAATTCTTTGACCTATGTTGACCTCACCACAGTACTGGAATAAGGTAACACCCTTTCTTAAGCAGGCAGTGGAACTTTAAAAACAATCTCTTTAGGGATGAGTTCATGTCCTTTGCAGGGACATGGATGAAGCCTGGAAACCATCATTCTGAGCAAACAAGAACAGAAAACCAAACACCGCATGTTCTCACTCATAAGTGGGAGGTGAACAATGAGAACACATGGACACAGGGAGGGGAACATCATACACTGGGGCCTGTTAGGGGTGGGAGGCTAGAGGTGGGATAGCATTAGGAAAAATACCTAATGTAGGTGACAGGTTGATGGGTGCAGCAAACCACCATGGCACATGTATACCTATGTAATAAAACTGCACATTCTGCACATGTACCCCAGAACTTACAGTATATATATATATATATATATATATATATATATATATATATATATATATATATATATATATATATATATATATATTATCTCTTTAGTTACAAGAAGCACTACTAAATTATTATTAATCTTTCAGCATGCAATAATGGAAGGAACACTTACTAGTCTGTGACCCTGGGCAGGTAACTCAATCTCTCTGAGCCTCCTTTTTTATGAATGTAAAATGGGTATAATACCTATCTCACAGGATTGCTGGGAGGGTCAAGTAAAGTAATGTCTGACAGAGTGTCTCACCTAGTGTTTGACACAGAGCAGGTGCTCAAACTACAAGAGTTGAATCAGGCTCCTCACTTACCACTGACAGTTAGCGTCCTCGCTGACCTCTCCCCAAGTCTGGCCAGGTCCACATAGGCTGAGCCAATCCAGCTGTCTGTCTGATGGGGTCTCTCCACACTGTCATTGCCATAAGCTCGCCACACTTGGATCTCTAGCCTCTCCTCCCTGAAGTACCAAAGCAGTGATGGGCCCCTGGTGACTTCTGCTCTTTTGGATGCCTTGAAAGTGACCATAATCTGCTTTTTGTTTACAGATTCCTTAGGCTTCTTGAGAGGGGTCCAAAAGGCTTCATGATCATAGAACTTGTAGCGAAGGTAGCAATATGTATTCTTATGAATGTGGTTGTGGCCAGCAAGCAGCACACAATGGATGGGCAGCCACAGCCTTGGGGTGGAGATGGTGACAGTGGCTGGCTCCCCTTCATCCATTCTGACAAAATCTTTCAGGCTGTTCTCAAAGCTCCAGCCCAAATGCTCAGCAGCTTCCAACACCCGTTCTCTATCTCCACGATGCGTGAAGGAAATCGAAAGCTCCAGACCACCCACGATCTTCTGCATGAGCTCCAGGCCATGAGGTAGGCCCCCGTCTTCTGGTAAAATGATAGGATACCATCCTGTGATCCCTTACGGGAGAAAATAAAGATTCTCAATTATAGTCTTAAAAGTAAACAAAAAACAAGTTACTTACTCTCCACCCCATAGTGTCCTATCATCCTGGCTCAAGACAGAACAGAAAACATACCCACAGTGAGTTGGAGTTTATGTTCATCTGACCATTGAGAGGCAATGAGATTAGATGGGAAGAACAAAGGCTAGGAGTTGGAAGATCTGAGTTCTCTTTGGCTATGGCTAGAACTAGTGGTTTATTATGAACAAGCCATTAATTTCTCTCAGATTTGGTTTCCTTACCTCACAAATGGGAAAACTGATGCTAGTGCTGTCTCCCAAAGTTGTTATGATTGTCCAATGAGATAATGGTTTAGAAAGAGCTTTGAGAGAGAAGTGCTTTAAAAGTGAAATGTTTATGGTACTATGAGTGCAACAGAAAAGGCAGGGGTCAAAAGAGATCTGGGGTCTAGACCCAAGTCTTCTATCAAGGGAATCGGCACTTAGAGAACACATACCAAGGACCAGGTGCTAGATTTCAAAATCTTTCTCTATTGCCCGCCTGGGCAGTGTCACCTGTAACTTTGAACTCCTGGGCTCAAGTCATTCTCCTGCCTCAGCCTCCTGAGAATATAGGACTATATGCATGTGCTACCACGCCTGGCCATTTTCCAAAAAAAGGTTTGTGGGTTTGTTTGTTTTTTTTTGTAGAGATAGGGTCGTGTTGTGATACCCAGGCTGGTCTTGAACTCATGGCCTCAAGTGATACTTGCACCTTGGCTTCCCAAGGTTTTGAGATTACAGGAGTGAGCCACTGCACCTGGACAAAAACTACTCTTTATTAAATATCTAGTATGTGTCAGAAATTCTGCTAGCCCTTTACAGATATTATTTCATTTAATTCCTCTGATAACCCTGAGAAGTTCTGAGGACTAAATGGGAGAATAATCCTTACTTTACAGATGAGAAAGTGGAAGCTCAGATACCTGTCCAACTTATTACTGCTACCAAGTAAGAGAGCTAGAATTTGACTCCAGGTCTAGCTGGCTCTAAAGTCTACATTCCACCTAGTATAGGTTCACACTATCTTATCTGAAACCTTTAAGGCCAGATTTATTTCTGAATTTAGAATTTCTCAGGTTTTAGAAAGGTAATAGAGTACATAAACTGAATATTATATAATATTATATATCAGGGCTCACAGATAGTAAACATTTTAGGCTTTGTGGGTCATATGGTCTCTACTGCAGCTACTCAACTGGGATACTGTGGTAATAAAGTGGCCACAGACACTATGTAAATTAATGGGCACAGTGTGTTTTAATAAAAGTTTACATAAATAGGCAGTTGCCTAAGTCTCATATCAGCTGAGGTCAGATTTGGCTCCTCAATGAGTTAAAAAACTTCTATTTTCAGGGTCTTTCAGATTTTGGCATTATATAAAACATTGTGGAATGATAATATTCACAGCAATTTTCTGCGAAATGTTTTACTAAGTATATTTTACAAATGAGATTTAGGCTTATTGAGATTAATTTGCTGAAGATTACTTAAGGTTTTATGACTTTTGGACAGGTATTTAACTTTTCTGGGTGTTCTTGTTCTTAGTTTTTCTCTATGAAATGAGGAGGCTGAAAATTTTGATCTCTAAGGCTCTTTTTCGGCTTGATAGTCTAAGAGCCTAGGGCTTTGGCTCTAAGATTATGTTTCCCCACAGCTTAATGGTTCTTAACATTTTTTTGGTCACAGACCCTTTTGGCTCAAATGAAAGCTATTATGCCCCCCAAAATAAACAAATATGTGTAGACACAAAATTTCACGCCATTTCAGTGTTTAAGAACTGCACAGATTATTAGATGGTTACTTTAGCTTTGCGATTCTATAATTGAGGTTATAGGTAGGAAAAAACAAAATAGAGTGCTCACTTTAGAACAAAGAGAAATGATATATCCTTAATTATCTAAAAGGTTTATATCCAAGGGGTTAATTTTAATTCACAGAGATGTGATTTCCCAGATGGTGCTTGTTCTCTCACAAACTGTAGCTAAGTTATAGAAGGAAGGAAATTGAGGTATCCTACGTACCTAGCCCTGTGCCAAGATCTTTCACATGTAAGATTTTATTAAATGCTTTAATAATCTAGTGAAATAGATCTTACTATTTCCATTACAGATGAGGAAACCATGGATCTGAAAGATGAAGTAACTTTCTTTAGATCACAAATAGTAAGTGACAGAAGGGAGATTTGAATCCCATATCAACTTGTGCAGACTTCTCTCTGGCAGGCACATACACAGTACCTGTTTATTAGGGTAGTGCTCAAATACTAACTCATAATAAAATTGGGAGATGTGTGACAGAATTCTGCAAACTAGATTACACAATCCTAGGCAGGAAGATTGACAACAGAAGGAAAACCTACACTTACTGCACACCTACTATGTGTCAGGTACTTTATATAACCAATTTAATGAATTCCTACCTTGTAGACTTGTCAGGATTAACTGTATCCATCCCACAAGATAAGAAAATGGGGGCTCAGAGAGGTCAAATCACTTGGTCAAGGTCACCCAGTTACTAGTTAAGTAGGATGGGATCAGTATTTCCAGACTGCCTTGGTGGTTGTGTCTATTTTGGGGGGCATTTATCCCATGTCCTTATTCCTTCTTCAGTGAGAGAAAAAATAGGGAAAAATAATGAGTGAATCTGGATTTCATTTCAGGTCCTGCCACTCACCAGGTATGTGGTTTTGGCAAACCACTTAATCTCTAAGTTTTCTCATGTGTCAAATGAAAATAATAAGATCCTATATCCTTACCTGTCAGGGTTATCATGAAGCTCAAACAAGATCTGAGAAAATATTTTACAAAGTGCTACATAATGTAATGGATATTGCCATATTCTTCATCATCATCATCATCATCACCATCATCATCATCATCATCACCACCATCTTTCTTAGAGAAGGATGATAGTATAATGTCTTGAGCTTCTTTGTTTTATTATAAGAACTTCAGAACGATTAGGAGAAGACTTAAAATGTTTCAAGAAAGGGAGTTCACTCATGATTTGGCTCTCTGTTTGTCTGCTATTGGTGTATAGGAATGCTTGTGATTTTTGCACATTGATTTTGTATCCTGAGACTTTGCTGAAGTTGCTTATCAGCTTAAGGAGATTTTGGGCTGAGACGATGGGGTTTTTTTTCTAAATATATAATCATGTCATCTGCAAACAGGGACAATTTGACTTCCTCTTTTCCTAATTGAACATCCTTTATTTCTTTCTCTTGCCTGATTGCCCTGGCCAGAACTTCCAACACTATGTTGAATAGGAATGGTGAGAGAGGGCATCCCTGTCTTGTGCCAGTTTTCAAAGGGAATGCTTCCAGTTCTTGCCCATTCAGTATGATACTGGCTGTGGATATTTTTTTTTTTTTTTTTGAGACGGAGTCTCGGTCTGTCGCCCAGGCTGGAGTGCAGTGGTGCGATCTCTAAATACTCCGCCTCCCGGGTTCATGCCATTCTCCTGCCTCAGCCCCCGGAGTAGCTGGGACCACAGGCGCCTGCTACCACGCCCAGCTAATTTTCTGTATTTTTAGTAGAGATGGGGTTTCACCTTGTTAGCCAGGATGGTCTCAATCTCCTGACCTTGTGATCCGCCCACCTCGGCCTCCCAAAGTGCTGGGATTACAGGTGTGAGCCACTGTGCCCGGCTGACTGTGGGTTTATCATAAATAGCTCTTATTATTATGAGATATGTTCCATCAATAGTTTATTGAGAGTTTTTAGCATGAAGGGCTGTTGAATTTTGTCAAAGGCCTTTTCTGCATCTATTGAGATAATCGTGTGGTTTTTGTCATTGGTTCTGTTTCTGTGATGGATTATGTTTATTGATTTGCATATGTTGAACCAGCCTTGCATCCCAGGGATGAAGCCAACTTGATCGTGGTGGATAAGCTTTTTGATATGCTGCTGGATTCGCCCCCCTGTCCCTCCCCCAAAGGGAATAAAATAACTAGGAATCCAACTTACAAGGGACATGAAGGACCTCTTCAAGAAGAACTACAAACCACTGCTTAACGAAATAAAAGAGGACACAAACAAATGGAAGAACATTCCATGCTCATGGATAGGAAGAATCAATATTGTGAAAATGGCCATACTGCCGAAGGTAATTTATAGATTCAATGCCATCCCCATCAAGCTACCAATGACTTTCTTCACAGAATTGGAAAAAACTACTTTAAAGTTCATATGGAACCAAAAAAAGAGCCCGCATTGCCAAGACAATCCTAAGCAAAAAGAACAAAGCTGGAGGCATCACGCTACCTGACTTCAAACTATACTACAAGGCTACGGTAACCAAAACAGCATGGTACTGGTACCAAAACAGATATATTGACCAATAGACAGAACAGAGGCCTCAGAAATAACACCACACATCTACAACCATCTGATCTTTGAGAAACCTGACAAAAACAAGAAATGGGGAAAGGATTCCCTATTTAATAAATAGTGCTGGGAAAACTGGCTAGCCATATGTAGAAAGCTGAAACTGGATCCCTTCCTTACACCTTATACAAAAATTAATTCAAGATGGATTAAAGATTTAAATGTTAGACCTGAAACCATAAAAACCCTAGAAGAAAACATAGGCAATACCATTCAGGACGTAGGCATGGGCAAGGACTTCATGACTAAAACAACAAAAGCAATGGCAACAAAAGCCAAAATTGACAAATGGTATCTAATTAAACTAAAGAGCTTCTGCACAGCAAAAGAACCTACCATTAGAGTGAACAGGCAACCTACAGAATGGAAGAAAATTTTTGCAATCTACCCATCTGACAAAGGGCTAATATCCAGAATCTATAAATAACTTAAACAAACTTACAAGAAAAAAACAAATAACCTCATCAAAAAGTGGGCAAAGGATATGAACAGACACTTCTCAAAAGAAGACATTTATGCAGCCAACAGACACATGAAAAAATGCTCATCATCACTGGTCACTAGAGAAATGCAAATCAAAACCACAATGAGATACCATCTCACACCAATTAGAATGGAGATCATTAAAAAGTCAGGAAACAACAGGTGCTGGAGAGGATGTGGAGAAATAGGAACGCTTTTACACTGTTGGTGGGAGTGTAAACTAGTTCAGCCACTGTGGAAGACAGTGTGGCGATTCCTCAAGGATCTAGAAATAGAATTACCATTTGACCCAGCCATCCCATGACTGGGTATATACCCAAAGGATTATAAATCATGCTACTATAAAGACACATGCATATGTATGTTTATTGCGGCACTATTCACAATAGCAAAGACTTGGAACCAACCCAAATATCCATCAATGACAGACTGGATTAAGAAAATGTGGCACATATACACCATGGAATACTATGCAGCCATAGAAAGGGATGAGTTCATGTCCTTTGTAGGGACATGGATGCAGCTGGAAACCATCATTCTGAGCAAACTATCACAAGGACAGAAAACTAGACACCGCATGTTCTTACTCATAGGTGGGAACTGAACAATGAGAACACTTGGACACACGGCGGGGAACATTACACCCCAGGGCCTGTCATGGGGTGGAGGGCAGGGGGAGGGATAGCATTAGGAGAAATACCTAATGTAAATGACAAGTTAATGGGTGCCATGGCACACGTATCCCTATGTAACAAACCTGCATGTTGTGCACATGTACCCTAGAACTTAAAGTATAATAAAAAAAAAAAAAAGAAAAAGAAAAAAGAAACGGGGTTTCACCATGTTAGCCAGGCTGGTCTCGAACTCCTGACCTCAGGTGATCTGCCCGCCTTGGCTTCCCAAAGTGCTGGGATTACAGGCGTGAGCCACCATGCGTGGTCTGTGTTTATCCTTTCTTCAGGACTTCTCCATCTATAAAATCAACCTCTTCTGCTCAGCTCATTGGAACACATTTTATTTTATGAAATGAAGTATTCCCGATTGCAAATAAAATTAATTAAGATCTTTAAACTAAAAAAAAAAAAGTTTCAAAAAACATTTGAGGTATTGGAGAGAGTTCAGAAGCATGTGTTAAGGGGTTGTGTTTTCTTTTGAATATCTTACATGAGAGACAGAGAAGATTACCTCTTGTAGGGAAGTGAAAGGGAAAGGGTGGCATCAGAAAGTGATAATCCAGGATCCTTACCAGATCTCTTGATCAGCAGCTCTTTTGTTGGAACTTTTACTACTCCAAGCAGATACTCTTTGCATGACTCAATACTGATTATATCACTTGCTGTTAAATCAAGCAAAAAAGAAAAATTATTTGATGGTCTATTCATCAAGGGGCTAGTTTACAGTATATCCACACAACCCTCCCCTTATATGCACTAAATCTTAGTTTTGTAAAATGCATTAGAGATTATCTTGCTCTTGCTCATGCCCCAATCAAAGCCTGAATGCCTTCATTTTTTTTTTTTTTTGGCAGGGTCTCACTCTCTCATCCAGGCTGGAATGCAGTGGTGCAATCATAACTCACTGCACCTTGAACTCTTGGGCTCAAGTGATCCTCCCACTTCGGCCTCCCAAAGTGCTGGGATTATAGGTTTGGGCCACTGTGCCCAGCCCATTTTTTAAATTAAATGTTTTGAAAAAAATTCAGGTATACAGAAAAGTTGCAAAAATATAATAATGAACTCCTACACACCCTTCATCTCGATACACCCATTAACACTGACACATTTGCTTTATTTCTCTCTACACTATCTTTCTCTTACATACTTAGTACATATCCTTATTTTTTGCTATATCTTTCAGAAATAAGTTGCAGAGATTATGACTCCTCACCTTTAAATACTGCAGTATGTATCTCCTAGGAAGGGCTATACTATTCACAATGCAGCCTCTTTTAATTTTGATTGTGACAAGTCATATGGTGCTCACCTGACTTGGTATTTTCATGATAGACAGCAAAAATAACTTCTGCAAACTCCAACAACTCTGCTAGGAAACAGGCCTCTCCACTACAGTGCTGAGTCACCAAGTTACATGTGAACTCAACGTGATGGGAGAACTCAGGGCAGAAAGAACAGGCCACAGGGTGGGTTCGGCGCTGTTCTCCCTGGGGCAGGAAGGAGAGATGAGTGGTGACAGAGGCATTGACCCCGACTGTGGCACTAAACTGTAGAGCGGGTTCCCGTTCAGCCAAAGCCCTGTAGAGGAGAAGGGTGGAAATGAGAAGATACCATGGTAACATTAGAAATCAGCTTGATTTTCTAGAAAATAACTTCATTACTTCTATGAGACCACCAAGAATAAAACCAAC